>NC_000017.11:22089410-22426544 GCF_000001405.40 Homo sapiens | reverse complement strand
ACACTCCCTCCCCATTTGAAAACCACTAATAAAAACTGGCTGCTTTTGCGGCTTGTGGGGCCTCATGGAACCTGCCGACATGTGATGTCTCCCTTGGAAACCCAGCTTTAAAATTTCTCTCTTTTGTACTCTTTCCCTTTATTTCTCAGACTGGCTGACACTTAGGGAAAATAGAAAAGTACCCACATTGAATTATCAGGGGTGGGTTCCCCCGAGGTTGCAGTGAGCTGAGGTCACACCTCTGCACTCCAGCCTGGGCAACAGAGCGAGACTCTCCCTCAAAAAAAAAAAAAAATCCTGGCTCCGTGGCTCATCCCTGTAATCCCAGCAATTTGGGAGGCTGAGGTGGGCGGATCATGAGGTCAGGATGAGGTCAGGAGATGGAGACCATCCTGGCTAACACAGTGAAACCTCTTGTCTACCAAATATACAAAAAGTAGCCAGGCGTGGTGGCATGAGCCTGGAATACCAGCTACTTGGGAGGCTGAGGCAAGAGAATCACTTGAACCCAGGAGGTGGAGGCTGCAGTGAGCTGAGATCACACCACTGCACTCCAGCCTGGGTGACAGAGGGAGACTGTCTCAAAAAAAAAAAAAAAGAATAACATAAAAACCTCCCTATAAAGAAATTCAGGCCCAGATGGTGATAGTAGTGAATTTTACCAAACATTTAAGGGAGAAGTAATAACAAGACTTCACAAACTCTTCCAAAAACTGAAGAGGAGGAAATACTTCCCAACTCAATCTATGAAATCAGCATTACCCTGATACCCTGGCCAGACAAGGATATTAGAAGAAAACAAAACTACAGACCAATAATCCTCATGAACATAGGGCAAGAATTCTATGCAAAAGTTTAGCAAATGGAATCCTAAATATAATAGAAATGTAATACATCATAATTAAGTGGTATTTATCCTAGAAATGCAAGGTTGATTTAAGAGTAAAAAAATAAATCAATGTAATTTACCACATAAACAAACTAAAAAATTATATGATCACCATAATCAATACAGAAAAAACATTTTGCAAAATCCAACATCCATTATTGATAAAAACTGAGGCAAATTAGGAACAGAGGGAACTTCCTCAAGCTGATAAAGGGCAATTCCAAAAGTCCTTCAGCTAGCATCACACTTGATTGTGGAAGACTGAATACTTTCCCCTTCACATCAGGAACACACTAGGGATGCCTGCCCTCACCACCTCTATCCAGCACTGTATTGGAGGCTGTAGACTGTGCAATCAGCCAAGAAACAGAAATAAAGGACATTCAGTTTGGAAAGAAAGACATAAATGGTCATTATTCACAGACGACATGACTGTCTGTGTAGAAAATTCAGTGGAATGTACAAGAAGTTAATAAGTGTGTTTATCAAGGTTTCAGGACAAATTAGTGTACAAAAATTGTTTAATGAGAGCTTTGTAACTTAATTGAAAATTAAAATGTAATGCATATATTATTGGTTGGATTAACCATCCCAAAATGTATACATATTGCAAAATATCATATTGTACACTATGAATAGATAAAATTTGTATTTGTCAAGTAAAAAATGAAGAAATTAAAATAAAAAAATTAACAACATTTACAATAGCATGCAAAATGTAAAGTACTTAGGAACAAATCTGACAAAAAATGTAAAAGGCCTGTACACAGAAAACTGTAAAACATTGCTATGATAAATTAAAGAAGCCATAAATAAATGGGGAGATATATGTTGTTCATGAGTGAGAAGACTCAATATTGTTAAGAGGTTATACTCTTAAAACACAGATTCAATATAGATTGACTACAATCCGAATCAAAATCCCAGCAGGCTATTTATTCGTGTCTAGATCCAGTCCATCAAAGACCTGGCACCCACAACAATCTGCCAACCCATTTGGGAAATAAGAGTTACCCCAGGTGTGCCTGAAAAGCACTGTCAGCTCCCCAGGTCACCAGAAACAAAAGTCTTAACTGGCTCTGAGTGTTGGACATCAGATTACCCTGGTTTCAGCACAACATACAGTCAAGTTCAGCTGAAACTGAAGCTGTCCACAACTGCTGCTTTATGTTGGCTTTGGGACATGGCAACCACCATTCTACTTTCTGTCTGTATGAATTTGACTGTTCTAGGTATCCATGTAATTGCAATCTTGTAGTATTTGTCTTTTTGTGACTGGTTTATTTCACTGAACGCAATGTCCTGAAGATTCATCCATGTTGTTGCATGTATCAAATTTCCTTCCTTTTAAAAGCTGAATAATATTTCATTGTATGGATATACCACATTTTGCTTATCCATTCATCTGTCAATGAACACTTAACATGGCTTCCACCTTTTAGTTATTCTGAATAATACTGCTATGAACATGTCTCTTTATGTGTTTCATGCTATTGTTTTGGGTATATACCTGAAAGTGGCAATGCTGGATCATATGTTAATTCTGTGTATGGTTTTCTGAGGAGCCATCAAACTGTTTTCCACAGCGGCTGCACCATTTTACATTCCCACCAACAATGCATGGGGGTTTCAATTTCTCCACATCCTTGCCAATGCTTGTTATTTTCTGTTTGTTTTATTTTTGGATAATAGTCATTCTAACATGTGTGAAGTGGTATCCCACCGTGGTTTACATTTGCATTCCCAGATTACTAATTATGTCAAGGGTTTTCCATGTGCTTTTTGTATATCTTCTTTGGAGAAATGTCTTCTCAAGTCCTTTGCCCATATTTAAATCAAGTTGTTTAAGTTATTTTAAGGATCAAATAAAATAGTGTATTTAGTACGCTGACTGGATCATAATAAACACTCCACAAAATGTTAAAAAATCGAGTTTTTTTTGTTGTTGTTGTCATTGAGTTGAATGATTTTTTTAATTGGAGTATATCTGCACAGATAAGCCACAGCTCCCAAGAAAACAGATTGATGAATTATCACAAAGTGAACACATCTGGGACACCAGCCCTTAGATCAAGAAATAAAACATTACCAGAGCTCCCATGCAAATACTAAGATAATCACTCTACTGACTTATAACACTATAGGTTCGTTTTGCTTATTTTGGAGCTTCACAGAAATGAAATAGTGTAGTATACATTCATTTGTATCAGGTTTCTTTCACTCAACATTATGTTGGTGGGATTCACCAACTGTGCATGGCAGTTATTAATCTATTTTCATTACCATAAAAATTCCATGATATGATATATACTTGTCCATTCTTCCATGATTAACATTGGGCTACTATGAAGAGTGCCTCTATCAGGATGCATTTCTTTTGGGTTTTCATATTGGAGTGGGATTTCAGGATCATAGGGGTGCTCACCTTTAGCAGTATTCCCAAATAATTTTCCAAAGTAGTTGTGCTATTTCACATTTCCACCAGCAGTGTATAAATGTTTCAGTTACTTCACATTCTCACCAACACTTGGTATTAACAGTCTTCTTAATTTTAGCCGTGCTGGTCGGTGTGTATTGGCTTCTCATTGTGGATCACATTTGTCTGATGGTTTATGAGGTTGGGCATTTTTATATGCTTTCTGGCCATTTGGATGTTCATTTGTTTTTCCTTACTTCCTTTTTCTTTTCTCTTTTTTAAAAATGAAGTTCCTATTCCTTTCTCTTCTTCATTTTTCTGTTGGATTCTTTATTTTATTTGTAGAAATCCTTCATGCACTCTGGACATGAGTCCTTTGCCTGTTATATTGTGACAAATATATTTCCCATTGGTGACTTATCTTTTCCCTCTCCTACTGAATTTCTTGAGGGATTCTTAATTTACTATCAACCAAAGTATTGAGATTCTCCTTTTGGGGTAGTTTTTTTTTCTGTTGAAGAAATCATTCCCTGCCTTCTGAGGAGCTTTTAAATCTACGTATGCCTACTAAACCCCACTGCTTTGATATATATTTTATGCTAGAAAATGAACAAGGCACTTTCATGATGTTATTGTCTATTTTGTGGGAAAATATCATCATCATCACTTTCCCAGGCCAGGACATGATATGTGTGCAGGATAATGCCATAGCTCCCCAACATCTGGAACTCTTCCTGCATTGGGGAGGGTGGGCCTGATGCCACAATGGGGTCAAGTGGGTGCTAATTCCCAACTCCACAGGTGCAGGGCTTGGAAAACAGAGGACAGCCAGGTCAGAGCTGTGGTCCTGCAATGGACTGAGGATATAGAAGAGTCTGTTTGTATTGCCATGGGGGTCCAGGGACTGCAGGAGGTGGGAGAGGAGCAATCAGAAGATATATCCTGTGTGAGGAAGAGCAGAGCACAAGGGATGAGGCCCCAAGAAAAGGGCAAGAAGGGAGGGACCTCTTGCTTAGCAGCTCAGTATTACAGGCATCTAGAGGTGAGGCACAGCCACTGGCTCCAAATGTACTATCTCTGACATTTGTTATTTTGGTGCAAGGACTGGGAGAAAGTTCTGCACTGTACAGAGCCTGCCTAGGAATGGTAGAGGATACCACAAAGCTTGTGGATGAGCAGTCAGGACTGTCCTGTGGGCAGGGGCTCCAGGGCACGTGAGCCACACTGGAGCTGTGGATAGGGCCAGGCCTCCCAGGAAGGGCCCACACCAGCCTTTCTCTCTCACTCTTTCTGAATCAAGAATGTTGAACACACAATGAAAAGTTCAACTGACAAAAAGAAAGTATTTGCTTGATGAGGTTAGAACTGGTATTATAAGTAGTTTTCCAATCTATATATTGTGACAGAAAGCAGATCAGTGGTTGCTTGGGGTGGAGCATGGCAGGAGAGGCAGGAGGAAGGGATCACAAAGGAGCACAAGAAAACCTATGGGGGATGGACATGCTCGCTGTCTTGATAACAGTGATGGTTTCACGGGTGCACAAGTCCTTCTATTATATGTCAGTCACCCCTCAGTGAGGCTGTTATGCATCCTCCCAACACACACACGTAGTTGCAATGAAATGGTTTAAGATACACTTCAGTTCCAAAAGTACACGCTCTCCAAGCCTGCCCATTTGGCTCTTCCAAGTGTCCCAGTCACGAGGGAGCAAGACCAACAATTGGCCTGACTCCAGCTGCAACATGGCTGCTGACACTACTTCAGGTTCAAAGTTCTGGGACTCCATGAAGCCCCAGCTTGAGGAGAGAGGCTGGCAGATGTACAGAGAAGGAAAGACTACCAACCACAGATCTGTCTTGCCCCTGACTACTACATACAGGAAATCACTGGAGCTTCTGACTTGAACTTTAAAATCTGTGGGCCCAAGACAGGAGATGTCCCTCCCAACCCCTCTCCCCTCATTCACGGGAGAAGTGGCAATTGAGAGTGGAGGAGAGGATTAAAATACTAAGGGAATGAAACACATCTGAGGGTCTTCAGTTCATTGCTGAGAATGGCTGTTGGAATGATAACCACGCACCTTAGAGAACAAGAATTGTGGGTAATTTTCCTTCCTGCAAACAGTATGTTTCTTTACTAGTTTCTTACCGCAGGAGGCTTTAACGCTCCATAGAATATCTTCAGTAATAAGGAACAAAACGAAAAATAAAAAACAATGGTAATTTTCACAGCTAACAGATTGCTATTAGCAAAGATTTTCAGCAAGGTGTAAAAGTCAGCAGGCTATATTCTTACCTAAATGATCCCTGCAGTCTATGAAGAGGTGCCTCAAAGGAAGCTAAGACACTGACCTGCCGTCACGGGACATTCCCGCCCTAGTCCGTGAGGCCTGAGCTGACCCTGTCCACTTCAGCTCCTCTGTGAAGTGATCGACTCTGGTGCTGATCACTTGTTCCCTCTGGTAATCGACAGCTCTTGCCAGGAAGCTGACCAAGGACATTGCTGAGGACCAGACAGGGGCAAACAGGCTCCCACCCTGGGACTATTAGCTCAGGGCTCTCACCATCTGAGCACCAGCTCCAGAGAAAAAGGAGAAAGAGTTGGTAATGTTACCGGAAGGTGTGGGGTCTTCAGTTCTTGTCTTCTTGAAGGAAAGAATTCAGCCAAGAAGTAATCAGTGACAGTGAAGCAGCTGCAGAGTTTATTTAAAGAGAGAGTACCCTCTAAAAGCCAAGTCAGAGCGGGCTGCTTGGAAAAAGAAACAGCGTTGATCGGCACTGGGGAAGCTCCCTTATGAGGGTCTTATATGATTATTCATGAAAGGGGTTGTGAAGGGGTGTTACTAGCAAACATGTTTTGGGTGGTCTCCTGGGTGCACATGCTGTATGGTCATACACGCTAGTACATATATCACACGTCTTAGTAATGTCTGAAATCTCCACCCAGGGGTGTGTTTTTTTTTTACCATTATAATGAGTAAATGTTACCTTCAGGGCAAGCCAAGTTGAAGTGTGCATGTTTGCTATTAGGGAAAGTCCCTACTGAAGTTATCTCCTGTCAGGGTCAGATAAGTCCCAGTTAGGACCAGAGAAGCCAAACCTCAAGTCCAGATGTGGACTTGGGTGACTGAGGGTCTGAGGAGTGAATTGTTTGCTTCACAGTAAAATCTAAAACATTAATGCAGTACGTGAGTCGATGCATCTTCAACACAGGAGTGTCCAGCCTGGAAAACCAGGGGCCACCCTAGGGAAAGACCCAATGACATTACAATCTTTAAATAGGAATGAGAGGAACAAGGCTGGTGGACATCTCCCTGAGGGCATTAGTTTCCAAATATTTGAGCAAGGCCTCCTTTGCAAATCTCGGTGATGGTTATCAAGATAGGAACAAGAGGTATCCAGCAACAGGTGTATTTTATAAAAATTAGTTATGTAAACATGCTTGTAAAAATTAAAACACCACAGCAATGTATTTGAAAAGTAAACATTTCTCCTTATTACACCTACTAGAGATAACTAGCGATGGCTAAACGAAAAGGTCGTGTGTGTTCTGTGTACACTGACTGCCTGAACCTTCCAAGTCTATTTGGCTTCTGATTTGGATAGGGAGAGTCAGGCACCAAGCTTGACTCAGGAGGGAGAGCACTATCCAAATGAATGTAGCTCCAGTATGAATAGCAAGAGTTTATATAGAAAGGGACTCACCTAAAAAGTTATCTGATTTTATTAGATTATTGAGCTTGATAGTAAAAGGTTGGATAAAAAGGGATAGCTGTAATAACACATACGACGAGAACACAAACTGCTTCTAATATTCATAAACGAGTAAGTATCTGAGACAGGTATCAATCAATTTAGAAGTTTATTTTGCCAAGATTAAGGACAAGTTGGAAGGAAAAAACACAGAATAATAGAAACAATCTGTGGTCTGTGCCTTTTTCCAAAAATGATGCTGAGGCTTCAATACTTAAAGGGGAAGAGTTTGCTGGAGGGGAAAGAGGAAGGGTATGGTCACATTACTGAATCCACACATTGCAAAAGAAAAGGATAAGGCAGGGGAATAGTCAATTTGGTATTCATCTTATGCTCAGTAAATCAGCACTTCACATAAGGTAAGATGAGGACAGAGCACCTACCTGTGGGAATATTTTACCTTCTATCTGGAGCTGTGTGCTTAAGAGCAAAAGGAAAGTCAGCTTCTCACATGACTCAGCTTTCAGCTTAACTTTCTCCTTTTGGCAGAGTGAATTGGGGTCCCAAGTTTCTATTTTCCTTTCACACATTTGAAACTAGACTTGATTTTGCTTAGAAATGTGACATTTATTTATACTTCTAAACAAAATCACGGCTAGTTATCAATTGTCCATTTTCAGAGAATGAGAAAGCCCAAGAGCTCATGACTCCTTCCCATTTCCTTGGGTTATGGATACCAGGACCCTGGGTTCTGCAGAGCCTGGGGACAGTGGATGAGAGAATGCTGTTTCTGAGCATGATATGGTTGCTGTCAGATCCCTGCTCCTAAACTTACTAGGGAGTGACTGGTCAACAAAAAGAGTCAAACTCTAAAATATTTGAAGAGATTTATTCTGAGCCAAATATAAGTGACCAATGGGCCATGACACAGCCCTCAGGAGACCCTGAGAACATGTGCACAAGATGGTCAGGGCACAGCCTAGTTTTACACATTTTAGGGAGACATGAGACATCAGTCAATACATGTAAGGTATATATTGTTTCAGTCTGGAAGTGCAGGACAACTCGAAGTGGGGACTTCCAGGTTATAGGTAGATTTTAAAATTTTCTGATTGGCAATTGGTTGAAAGAGTTATTATCAGTAGAAAGGAATGTCTGGGTTAAGATAAGGAGTTGGAGAAACCTAGATATTATCAGGCAGATAAAGCCTCCAGGTAGCAGGCTTCAGAGAAAATAGATGTTAAATATTTCTGATCAGACTCTTAGGTCTGATGTTGATGTCTTAAGGTCTGTGTTGATGTTAATGCTAGAGAAATATAATGAGGCATGTCCAATGCTCTCTTCCATCATGGCCTGAACAAGATTTTCAGTTTCAATCTGGAATTCCTATGGCCGAGAGGAGGGGTACATTCAGATGGTTGAAGGGCTTAGAATTTTATTTTTGGCTTACATTCTTCCATTTATGGCCAATATTTGCCAGCATCAGCATCAATGGCTATTATTTTTTTTCCCCTAGCACTGCTTGGGTGGCATATCTGCCTGCCCTGTGTCCATCCTGCCCTTCAGTGAGACTCTCTATGGTGGAGGGACTTGAAGTCAAATACTTATAGACAAGTAAGCGTTCTAGGAAAGACAGGAATGGACTCGGACAGGCATTCATTACCCCTTAAAAGATATATTTAAAGTAAAGAGCCAAAAACAAAAAGCCAATGGCGAGTTTACAAAAATTGACTTTTCTTTCACTTCTATGCATTGAGCTACTATAATCTTGGTTTTCATTACAGACTTACAGTGATTAACTATACAAAACATATACATTTTTCTAAAAAATAATTTTATATATCTAAATATATATATATCTGCAAAACTTATAACTGGGAGTATTATGCCCAGGAGGCTTGGTCATGAGGTATCTTTATCCTCTTAATAATTATTTTGTTTTAATTCCAGGAAGCAGGACATTTTTCATGGTTGGGGTGGATAAAAAGGTGCCACATAATAGCTGAGAAAGCAAAGTTCTTTGTTTTACAAGCTGTTTAGGCACCTGTGTACCCTCCTTGATTTGGAGTGTCTGAGCTAACTGTATCCCTCATAACCAGCCCTTACAATCTCATGCACCCATCTCCTCTGCAACAGTCTCTGGGCCTAGAGGGAGGGTCCTTGCATAGTCTTAGCAGCAGGACATTTGCAATGAAAAACAGATCGGGTCCAGTGGGATGCCAAATAATGGAGATTTGCATCTCTAACTTTCAGAATGCCATGATTCTGGTTTCCTTTGAAGTGAAACAAGGAGAGATAAATAACTTACTATTTTGACCATCAGAAGAGTACTTGTGTGTCAAAAGAGAAAAAATACGCTATTTCATTAGGTCACCAACTGAAAATATGAAGAAAAATGATAATCCTGTACTCATTAGAAGATTATTATAACTATGAAAACTTTCAGGATTCTCAGGATCATCTTGGCTATACGGGGTCTTCTTTGGTTCTGTATGAAATTTAAAGTAGATTTTTCTAATTTTGTGAAGAATGTCAGTGGTAGTTTGATGGGAATAGCACTGAATCTATAAATTACTTTGGGCAATATGGCTATTTTTATAGTATTGATTTTTCCTATCCATGGGGATGGAATCTTTTTCCATTTGTGTATGTCCTCTTATTTCCTTGAGCAGTGGTTTGTAGTTCTCCTTGAAGAGGTCTTTCACATCCCTTGTTAGCTGTATTTCTAGGTATTTTATTCATTTTTTTAGCAATTGTGAATGGGAGTTCATTCATTATTTGTCTCTCTACTTGTCTATTGTTGGTGTAAAGGAATGCTTGTGATTTTTGGACATTGATTTTATATCATGAGACTTTGCTGAAGTTGCTTATCAGTTTAAGGGGTTTTGGGGCTGAGATTATGGAGTTTTCTAAATATAGCAGCATATCATCTGCAATCAGAGGCAACTTGACTTCCTCTCTTCCTATATGAATACCCTTTATTTCTTCCTCTTGCCTGATTGCCCTTGCCAGAACTTCCAATACTATGTTGAATAGAAGTGGTGAGAGAGGGCTTCCTTGTCTTGTACCAGTTTTCAAAGGCAATGCTTACAGCTTTTGCCCATTGACTGTGATATTGGCTGTAGGGTTGTCATAAATAGCTCTTATTATTTTGAGATATGTTCCATCAATACCTAGTTTATTGAGAGTTTTTAACATGAAGTGGTGTGGAATTTTATCAAAGGCCTTTTCTGCACCTATTGAGATAATCACGTGGTTTTTGTCTTTGGTTCTGTTTATGTTGATGGATTATGTTTATTTATTTGTGCATGGTGGAACAGTCTTGCATCCCAGGGATGAAGCTGACTTGATTGTGGTAGATAAGTGTTTTGATATGCCGCTGAATTCGGTTTGCTAGTATTTTATTGAGGATTTGTGCATCGATGTTCATCAGGGATATTGGCCTGAAGTGTGTGTGTGTGTGTGTGTGTGTGTGTGTGTGTGTCTTCCTGATTCTGCTATCATGATGATGCTGGCTTCATAAAATGAGTTAGGGGGAAGTCACTCCTTTTCAATTGTTTGGAATAGCAAAAAGAACAAAGTTGGAGGCATCACACTACTTCAAACTATACTACAAGGCTACACTAACCAACACAGCATGGTACTTGTACCAAAACAGACATATACACTAATGAAACAGAACAAAGACCTCAGAAATAACACCACACATCTACATCCATATGATCTTCAACAAACCTGACAAAAAGAAGCAATGAAGAAAGAATCTCCTATTCAATAAATAGGGCTGGGAAAATTCACTGGCCATATGCAGAAAACTGAAACTGGAACCCTTCCTTAAACCTTAAACTTAAGACTTTAAACCTTAAACATAAGACTTAAATGTCAAGCCCCAAACCATAAAAACACTAGAAGAAAACCTGGGCAATACCATTCAGGACATAGGCATGAGCAAAGACTTCATGACAAAAATGCCAAAAGCAACTGCAACAGAAGCCAAGATTGACAAATGAGATCTAAGTAAACTAAAGAGCTTCTGCACAGCAAAAGAAACTATCATCAGAGTGAATAGGCAAACAACAGAATGGGAGAAAAATTTTGCAATCTACCCATCTGACAAAGGTCTAATAGCCAGAATTGACAAGGAAATTAAACAAATTCACAAGAAAAAAACAAATAACCCAATCAAAAAATGAGCAAAGAACATGAACAGACACTTCTCCAAAGAAGATATTTACATGGCCAACAAATATATAAAAAAAGCTCAACATCACTGATTATTTGAGAAATGCAAATCAAAACTACAATGAGATACCATCTAACACCAGTCGGATGGCAGTTATTAAAAAATCAAGAAACAGTAGAAGCTGACCAGGCTGTGGAGAAATAGGAATGCTTTTACACTGTTGGTGGGCATGTAAATTAGTTCAACCATTGTGGAAGACAGTATGACGATTCCTCAAGGATCTAAAACCAGAAATACCATTTGACCCAGCAGCCCCATTACTGGATATATACCCAAAATAATATAAATTATTCTACTCTAAAGACACATGCACACATATGTTTATTGCAGCACTATTTACAATAGCAAAGTCATGGAACTAGTCCAAATGCCCATCAAGGATAGACTGGATAAACAAAATGTAGTACATATACATCATGGAATACTATGCAGCCATAAAAGGAATGAGATCATGCCCTTTGCATGGACATTGATGAAGCTGGAAGCCATCATCCTTAGCAAACTAAAACAGGAACAGAAAACCAAACACCACATGTTCTCACTCATAAGTGGAAGTTGAACAATGAGAACACATGGACACAGGGAGCAGAAAAGCACACACCAGGGCCTGTTGGGGGGTGAGGGGTGAGGGGAGGGAACTTAAAGGATGGGTCAATAGGTATAGCAAACTACCATGGCACGTGTATACCTACTTAACAAACCTGCACATTCTGCACATGTATTCTGGAACTTAAAGGAAAATAAAATAAAATAAAAAAATTTTATGATTCAATTTGTACTCAATAAAATAAAAGCCAGAGCTGACATTTAGTAACAAGCATTACCCTTTTCCCTTGAAACAATCTGTAGGAGAAGTCATAGTGAGAACAATTTGTGTGAAAAATAAGTTTTAGGCTTATTATGGTTGGCTTGTGATATGGCTTGACTCTGTGTGCTCACCCAAATCTCATTTCAAATTGTCATCCCTCCTGGTGGGAGGTGATTGTATCATGGGAGTTGTTTCACCCATGCTGTTTTCATGATAGTGAGTTATGAAATCTGATGATTGTATAAGTGTTTGACATTTTATCCTTTACACACACACACACACAGTCTCTCCTGCCACCTTTTGAAGAAGGTGCCTACTTTCCTTTCTATCATAACTGTAAGTTTTCTGAGGCCTCCCCGGCTATGCAGAACTGTCAGTTAAACCTCTCTTGTTTATAAATTACCCAGTCTCAGGTAATATCTTTATAGCAGTGTGAGAAGGGACTAGTACAGCCTGAGTATTTGCTTAAAGTGCAGAAACAATTAATTGGTCATATAGACTCCTCTTAAGTTGGGTTTGTTGGGATTTACCTAAAATTAAGTTATTCTAGTCAAAGCCTGGGTAAAATAACCAGTGTCTCCATTTGTCCCATTTTACAATAAAAGATGTACTTAAGCAAATAACTATATTGTCACCTAATCAGAATACTCACAGCTTTCAAATTACGGATAACCTAGAGAAAAATAAATTTGCTCACAAAAACACACTTCACCCAATTTTTCTAAACTATAAATAACTCAAAATAAAAACATTTGCTTGACTCTTCTTTAATAAGAGCAGTGGCTTTCAAACACAATGTCATTTGTTCATCTTGGAACTGCTATCCACAAGCCAAACAGCTCCTGTTAGATAGGCACCGCCTATTAAGCACTGTAGAATATGTAGCAGTTCTTCACATAGTTAGAGTCAGTCCTATGGGAAAACAGAGGCTCTGCTTATGAGTATTATTCTCCTTGCGTTCCTCAGGTAGCAAGATGCTATATCAAAAGTATTTGGGTCCCCAGCAGGGATTTGGGCCAAAGGACTCAGGGCGTTTGGTTGATCTTCACCTTATTTGTCTCAACATTGCCCCAGGCAATATTATCTTCCTCATTATAACTTTTGCCTTTTGATTAACAAACATTTTCTATCTGGGGCAAATAATGAATAAGTATTCAAACATATCTATGATTCTTCTGGGGCAGGTCCTTGGATTTCCTTTTCCTTTCAATTTGTTTCTTATTTCCCTAATAATTTATCAAGCATCTTTAAGAGCCCTGAGGGACAGCAAATTTGATAAGGCTTCTCTACCATATGATTGTGCTGAAGCGATGTTACCCAGAGTGCCATTGAAAAAGGGGCCCTTTCAACCGGTAAATTTCTTATTGCATGAGTCCAAGCCACATTTTGAAAAGCCTGCTGGAGGAGTAAAGAGGTTTATGCAAAGTTCAATCCACCCCCAATCCTCCAATGCCCAGGTAGCCCTGACAGAACCTCCCCTGCATCCAGCTCCAGCCCCAGCCCAGTCCCATTGGATCCCTGACTTTCATTACAGCCAAAAGATTCAAGGAGTCAGTCCACCCATGAGCAGAGGGGAGGATGTTTCTCAAGAATGAGACAGGAAGTGCAGAGGAAATGCGACATGTCCCTGCCCTAGAAGACAAGGCCAGTCACAGTCACCTACTGCTCATTCTAGGCAATCCACTCACCCATGAGGTGAAACATGGAGACCAAGCTAGCTTCCCTGTCTGAGATACGTATGGAAGCCAAGAGCCCCAGGATCATCAACCCTGGCTAATCAAGCAGAAACAGGTTTGGAGGGAGAAACAATCATGACACGGATCTCCAGGAAGTGTCGCCCTGGAGGACTGGGAAGTGGTCTTTGTTGAAGACATTCAGACAGATCAAGAAACATCAAGGCCCCTCAGAAACAGGGGAGACAGAGCAAGAGGGAGGACAGAGCAGAGGCCAGAGCCCAGGCAGGATATAGCACCATGCCATCGGTACAGGCATAAGGGGAGGGGTGCCAAACTGGTGACTTGTCCAGAGAGACCAGTGTTCCAGTGACAGGGATTGTTGCCATCTCCCATTCCTAGCTTCTTCTTCAAGATTCTATCGTTGTGTGGCTTCGTTCTCAGAGAAGAGCTGTGAAAAGATACAACAATCTTCTTTGACTTTGGTTGGCTCCACCCCTGCAGAAAAATGACCTCCTGTGAGCATTTTGTCCTTGGCTGGAGTGTGGTCATATTGATCCTAGAAAAGAGGCTGCTCAGGATGGGGATGAGATTTCAATTGCCCCGGGACTGACGCATCTCCTCACGTGGTCGAGGTCTCCACGAACCCAAAGTGGAAACGCCGAGAAAACGATAGACAGCCGGCCACATGACCCAGGCAGAGACCCAGAAAGAGGCTCAACAAAGACCAGACGACATGCAAAAATAGCTTCTTTGGCGCACAAGGCACATTCGTCCAAACAAACACACGCACAAGGACACAAACAAACCGACAGAGAGAGGGAAAGAGTAAGAGACAGAGAGAGAGGAGAGAATAGGAGACACACACACACACACACACACACAGAAACAAAAACACACAGTCATACAGCACTGGCACAGAAACACACCACACCCCAAGGCAACCTCTGAGGCAGCAGGGTTCTGCTCCACATGAGAACGACCCTCAGGTGAGAGAGCAGCCCATAGGCATGCAAGCAGACCGGTCCTTGAGATCACGGGGGCACGACTTCTGGGGAGACTCACCCGAACACCGTCCTGGCAGGCCTGAGGCTGGCATGCCATGCCGCTTCCCCCGGACTTCGCCTGTGGTTTCGTCATCCTGGTCGGCCCTTTGCGACTCCTGGCAGCCAGAGATGTTCCTGTCGACCCCGTGGAGAGGTCAGGCCGGAGCCTCGGAGCCCCGACACCCAAGCACTGCCACGGAGGGCTCCTACTTTGCCAAGCCTCAGGGACGGGTTTCTAAGACAACCGTGGGAATAACTGTGACTGGAGCATGCGCCAGGGCCTTGCGCATGCGCATTGGAGGGGCCGAGTCGCACTCCGCTCCTGGCAGTCAGGCTGCGACCCCTTTAAACAATAGCGGCTACGCAGAGGAAGGGCGGCTCGCATTGCAGCCCTGGCGGTGGCTGGATCAGGGGTCCAGTACGGGGCAGCGTGGGAGAGGAGGCCACAGGCGTCCCAAGGCCAAACCCCCAGGAGTCCGGTCTTGAGGACCTCCTTAAGCCGACTTCCGGGGTGGAGGTGGAGCTTCTGGGCGCCTGCTGGGGTCCCAGAACTCCTCTTGAGATCCGACTTTGGACCCCTCCGGGTGAGAAAGGATGGGCTCACCACATCTGCTAGGAAGGCAGGGCCTCGCTGCATCCCAGAATGATCCCATGGGCCCCAAGGCGAGGTGTCAGCTGAAAATTCACTGATGCCTCCCTTCTCCTTTGAAAAAAGAAAAGCCCTGGTGCACTTGAAAGCTGATACCACTTTCCAGGACACGTGAACACAGGGACAGGGGAAATTCCGAGGTGGAGCCAATGAGACCATACGTGGCATGGTGTACCGCAGAGCAGATGGCATAAATGTGTGTCACCGAGGGCGTATGGGGCGATGGCGAAACAAAAAATGGTGTCCAGGCATGTGGCCGGCGGAAGCGGGGCACAAGTGACCTTTCCATCAATGCGAAGGAAAATCAAAGAACACCTGGGATGCAGGAGGGGGCCAAAAGATTCAGGGACTCAGTACACCCAGGAGCAGAGGACAGCATGTCCCTAAAGGATGAGACAGGAAGTGCAGAAGAAATGCGGCACCTCTCCTGTCCTAGAAGACAAGACCAGTCACTGTCGCCTACAACTAATTCTAGAAAATCCACCCACAAATGAGGTGAAACATGGAGACCGAGGAAGCTTCCCTGGCTGAGACACGTATGGAAGACAAGAGCTCCAGGGTCACCAGACCTAACCAACCCAGCAGAAACAGGTTTGGAGAGAGAAACAGTCATGACACCGATTTCCAGGAAGAGAGTCCCTGATGGACTGGGAAGTGATCTTTGTAGAAGATATTCAGCCAGGCCAAGAGGCACCTAGGCCGCTCAGAAACAGGGGAGACAGAGCAAGAGGGAGGACAGAGAGGAGGCCAGAGCCCAGGTAGGATACAGCGCCGTGCCACCGCCACGGGCATAACAGGAGGGGTGCGAAGTGCGTGGCTTGTCCAGAGAGGCCAGCATTCCAGGGACACAGATTGTTGCAGTCTCCCATTCACGGCTTCCTCTTCAAGATTGTGTCGTTCTGTGGCTTCATTTCGCAGAGAAGAGGCGTGGAAAGGTACAACCATCTTCTTGGACGTGGGTCTGCTCCTCTCCTGCCGGACAATGTGCTACCGTGGGGCATTTGTCCTGGGCTGGAGTGTGGTCCTCTTGATCCTAGAAAAGAGGACGCTCATGATGGGGATGAGACTTCCATTGCTCCCGGCCGACGCATCCCCTCACGTGATCGAGGATTTCGCAAACCCAAAGTGGAACCGCCGTGAAAACGATGGACAGCTGGACAGGACCCAGGGAGAGACGCAGAAAGAAACCCACCAAAGACCGGCAGACAAGCAAGAAATCCCTTTCTGACGCACAAGGCACATTCGTTCAAAGACACACACGCACACTGGCACACACACACACACACACACAGAGGAAAAGAAGCACACAGAGGGTGAGAGACAGAGAGAGAAGGGAGAATGGGAGACACACCCCCACACACAGTCCTACCGCGGTGGCCGAGAAATACATGCCCCCAGGCAACCCCTGCGGCTGCCGGGTTCTGCTCCTGACGGGAACGACCCTCCGATGACAGAACAGCCCTCGGGCACGCAGGCGGACCTGTCCTCGAGATCACGGGGGCACGACTTCTCGGGAGACTCACCCGAACACCGTCCTGGCAGGCCTGAGGCTGGGATGCCACGCTGCTTCCACCGGACTCCGCCTGTGGTTTCCTCATCCTGCTCAGCCCCTTGCGACTCCTGGCAGCCAGAGACGTTCCTGTGGACCCCGTGGAGAGGTCAGGCCGAAGCCTCGGAGGCCCGACACCCAAGCGCTGCCACGGAGGGGTCCCGCGTTGCCAAGGGACTGGTTCCTAAGACAACCGTGAGAACCACTATGACGCGAAAAGCGGCGAGCCACTCGAGCATGCGCATTGGCTGGGTCGACTCGCATGGGCTCCTGGCCCTCAGGCAAGCTGTGTCAGCTTTAAATAACCGCAGGTGCGGGGCGGCAGGGGGCGCGCCTGCGCAGCCGCGGCTGCGGCTGGATCCGGGGTACAGTTTCGGGGCGCCTGTGACAAGGGGCCGCGGGTGTCCCCGGGCAAAGCCCCCAGGAATCCCGTATTCAGGACCTCCTTGAGCCAACTTCCGCCGATGGACGGGGAGCTTCAGGGCGCCTGCTGGGTTCTCAGGACTCCTCTTCAGATGCCATTTTGGACCACTCCGGGTGAGAAAGGAGGGGCTCACCACATTTGCTGAGGCAGGCAGGGCCTGGCTGCAGCAGAGAATGATCCCATGGCCCTCAAGGCCTGCTGTCAGTGGAAAATTCACTGAATCGTGAGCCCTCTGCCTCCCTCCTCCTTTGAAACAGCAGTGAACTGGCCCGCTTCTGAAAGCCCTGGGGCTCCTGCAAGCCGATACCGCTTTCCAGGACACGTGCAGACAGGGACGGGGCGAATGCCAGGTGGTGACAATGCGGTCACGCCTGGCACTGGCATATACCAGAGCAGATGGCGTGAATGTATGTCACCGGAGGCATATGGGGCAAGGGAGAAACCAACATTGCTGTCCAGGAATGTGCCCGGTGGAAAGGGGGATCAACTGGCCTTTCCCTGAGTGCCAAGGGAACTCAAAGAAGACCTGGGAACATGGACGGGGCCTGTGCCTCAGTCCAAGCCACATTTTGAAATGCCTGCCAGAGGACAACAGGGGTTTCTGCAACAGTCACCCCACCCCCAACCATCCACCACCCAGCTAGCCCTGACACAACCTCCACTGCACGCAGCCCCAGCCCCAGTCCCAGCGCAGTCCCTCTGTTTCCTGACATTCGTTACAGCCAAAAGATCCAGGGAGTCTGTCCACCTGTGAGCGGAGGAGAGGATGTCCCTCAAGAGTGAGACAGGAAGCGCAGGGGAAATGCACTTGTCCTAGAAGACAAGGCCAGTCTCGCCGGCCTAGCGCTCGCTCATCCTAGGCAATCCACCCACCCATGAGGTGAAACACGGAGACCGAGGAAGCTTCCCTGTCTGAGACACGTATGGAAGCCAAGAGCCCCAGGGTCATCAGACCTGCGCAATCCAGCAGAAACAGGCTTGGAGAGAGAAACAGTCATGACACGGATCTCCAGGAAGTGTCTCCCTGATGGACGGCGAAGTGATCTTCGTAGAAGATATTCAGCCAGACCGAGAGGCATCTAGGCCGCTCAGAAACAGGGGAGACAGAGCAAGAGGGACGACAGAGCAGAGGCCATAGCCCAGGCAGGATACAGCGCCGTGCCACCGCCACGGGCATAAGAGGAGGGGTGCGAAGCGGGTGGCTTGTCCAGAGTGGCCAGCGTTCCAGGGATGGGGCTTGTTGCCGTCTCCCATTCCAGGCTTCCTCTTCAAGACTGTGTGGTGGTGTGGCTTCATTTCGCAGAGAAGGGGCGTGGAAAGGTAAAACCATCTTCTTGGACGTGGGTCTGCTCCTCTCCTGCCGGACAATGTGCTACCGTGGGGCTTTTGTCCTGGGCTGGAGTGTGGTCCTCTCGATCCTAGAAAAGAGGCCGCTCAGGATGGGGATGAGACTTCCATTGCTCCGGGCCCGATGCATCCCCTCACGTTATCGAGGCCTGCACAGACCCAAAGTGCAACCGCCGCGAAGACGATGGACAGCTGGCCGCAGGACCCAGGGAGAGACGCAGAAAGAGGCTCACCAAAGACCGGTCCACATAAAAGACATCCCTTTTTGACGCACAGGGCACATTCGTCCAAAGACACACACACACACACACACACACACACACACACACACACACAGAGGGAAAGAAGCACACAGAGGGTGAGAGACAGAGAGAGAAGGGAGAATGGGAGACACAGCCCCAGCCCCAGTCCCAGCGCAGTCCCTTTGTTTCCTGACATTCGTTACAGCCAAAAGATCCAGGGAGTCTGTCCACCTGTGAGCGGAGGAGAGGATGTCCCTCAAGAGTGAGACAGGAAGCGCAGGGGAAATGCACTTGTCCTAGAAGACAAGGCCAGTCTCGCCGGCCTAGCGCTCGCTCATCCTAGGCAATCCACCCACCCATGAGGTGAAACACGGAGACCGAGGAAGCTTCCCTGTCTGAGACACGTATGGAAGCCAAGAGCCCCAGGGTCATCAGACCTGCGCAATCCAGCAGAAACAGGCTTGGAGAGAGAAACAGTCATGACACGGATCTCCAGGAAGTGTCTCCCTGATGGACGGGGAAGTGATCTTCGTAGAAGATATTCAGCCAGACCGAGAGGCATCTAGGCCGCTCAGAAACAGGGGAGACAGAGCAAGAGGGACGACAGAGCAGAGGCCATAGCCCAGGCAGGATACAGCGCCGTGCCACCGCCACGGGCATAAGAGGAGGGGTGCGAAGCGGGTGGCTTGTCCAGAGAGGCCAGCGTTCCAGGGACGGGGCTTGTTGCCGTCTCCCATTCCAGGCTTCCTCTTCAAGACTGTGTGGTGGTGTGGCTTCATTTCGCAGAGAAGGGGCGTGGAAAGGTAAAACCATCTTCTTGGACGTGGGTCTGCTCCTCTCCTGCCGGACAATGTGCTACCGTGGGGCTTTTGTCCTGGGCTGCAGTGTGGTCCTCTCGATCCTAGAAAAGAGGCCGCTCAGGATGGGGATGAGACTTCCATTGCTCCGGGCCCGATGCATCCCCTCACGTTATCGAGGCCTGCACAGACCCAAAGTGGAACCGCCGCGAAGACGATGGACAGCTGGCCGCAGGACCCAGGGAGAGACGCAGAAAGAGGCTCACCAAAGACCGGTCGACATAAAAGACATCCCTTTTTGACGCACAGGGCACATTCGTCAAAAGACACACACACACACACACAAACACACACACACACACACACAGAGGGAAAGAAGCACACAGAGGGTGAGAGACAGAGAGAGAAGGGAGAATGGGAGACACAGCCCCACACACAGTCCTACCGCGGTGGCCGAGCAATACACGCCCCCAGGCAACCCCTGCGGCTGCCGGGTTCTGCTCTGGAGGGGAACAACCCTCGGCTGAGAGAACAGCCCTCGGGCACGCAGGCGGACCTGTCCTCGAGATCACGGGGGCACGACTTCTCGGGAGACTCACCCGAACACCGTCCTGGCAGGCCTGAGGCTGGGATGCCACGCTGCTTCCCCCGGACTCCGCCTGTGGTTTCCTCATCCTGCTCGGCCCCTTGCGACTCCTGGCAGCCGGAGACGTTCCTGTGGACCCCGTGGAGAGGTCAGGCCGGAGCCTCGGAGGCCCGACACCCAAGCGCTGCCACGGAGGGCCCGATGCATCCCCTCACGTTATCGAGGCCTGCACAGACCCAAAGTGGAACCGCCGCGAAGACGATGGACAGCTGGCCGCAGGACCCAGGGAGAGACGCAGAAAGAGGCTCACCAAAGACCGGTCGACATAAAAGACATCCCTTTTTGACGCACAGGGCACATTCGTCAAAAGACACACACACACACACACAAACACACACACACACACACACAGAGGGAAAGAAGCACACAGAGGGTGAGAGACAGAGAGAGAAGGGAGAATGGGAGACACAGCCCCACACACAGTCCTACCGCGGTGGCCGAGCAATACACGCCCCCAGGCAACCCCTGCGGCTGCCGGGTTCTGCTCTGGAGGGGAACAACCCTCGGCTGAGAGAACAGCCCTCGGGCACGCAGGCGGACCTGTCCTCGAGATCACGGGGGCACGACTTCTCGGGAGACTCACCCGAACACCGTCCTGGCAGGCCTGAGGCTGGGATGCCACGCTGCTTCCCCCGGACTCCGCCTGTGGTTTCCTCATCCTGCTCGGCCCCTTGCGACTCCTGGCAGCCGGAGACGTTCCTGTGGACCCCGTGGAGAGGTCAGGCCGGAGCCTCGGAGGCCCGACACCCAAGCGCTGCCACGGAGGGCTCCCGCGTTGCCAAGCCTCGGGGACTGGTTCCTAAGACAACCGTGGGAAGCACTGTGAAGCAAAAAGCGGCGCACGCCTCGCGCATGCGCTTTGGCTGGGCCGACTCGCGCTTGGCTCCTGGCAGTCAGGCAGGCTGCGTCCCCTTTAAATACGGGCGGCTGCGCGGCGGCAGGGGGCGCGCCTGCTGCAGCCGCGGCTGCGGCTGGATCCGGGGTCCAGTTTGGGGCCGCGTGGGAGAGGGGGCCACGGGTGTCCCAGGGCCGAGCCCCCAGGAGTCCCGTCTTCAGGACCTCCTTGAGCCGACTTCCACCGATGGACGGGGAGCTTCAGGGCGCCTGCTGGGTTCTCAGGACTCCTCTTCAGATGTGATTTTGGACCACTCTGGGCGAGAAAGGATGGGCTCACCACATCTGCTGAGGCAGGCAGGGCCTCGCTGCAGCACAGAATGATCCCATGGCCCTCAAGGCCTGCTGTCAGCGGAAAATTCACTGATCCGTGAGCCCTCTGCCTCCCTCCTCCTTTGAAAGAGCGGTGGCCTGGCCCGCTTCTAAAAGCCCTGGGGCTCCTGCAAGCCGACACCGCTTTCCAGGACACGTGCAGACAGGGACGGGGCGAATCCCAGGTGGAGACAATGCGATCACGCCTGGCACTGGCGTATACCAGAGCAGATGGCGTGAATGTATGTCACCGGAGGCATGTGGGGCGAGGGCGAAAGCAACAGTGGTGCCCAGGCATGCGCCCGGTAGAAAGGGGATCAAGTGGCCTTTCCCTGAGTGCCAAGGGAACACAAAGAAGACCTGGGAACCTGGACGGGGCTTGTGCCTCAGCCAAGCCACATGTTGAAATGCCTGCCAGAGGACCACAGAGGTTTCTGCAACAGTCACCCCACCCCCAACCCTCCACCACCCAGCTAGCCCTGACGCAACCTCCCCTGCACGCAGCCCCAGCGCCAGTCCCAGCGCAGTCCCTTTTGTTTCCTGACATTCGTTACAGCCAAAAGATCCAGGGAGTCTGTCCACCTGTGAGCGGAGGAGAGGATGTCCCTCAAGAGTGAGACAGGAAAGCGCAGGGGAAATGCACTTTGTCCTATAAGACAAAGGCCAGTCTCGCCGGCCTAGCGCTCGCTCATCCTAGGCAATGCACGCCCCCAGGCAACCCCTGCGGCTGCCGGGTTCTGCTCTGGAGAGGAACAACCCTCGGCTGAGAGAACAGCCCTCGGGCACGCAGGCGGACCTGTCCTCGAGATCACGGGGGCACGACTTCTCGGGAGACTCACCCGAACACCGTCCTGGCAGGCCTGAGGCTGGGATGCCACGCTGCTTCCCCCGGACTCCGCCTGTGGTTTCCTCATCCTGCTCGGCCCCTTGCGACTCCTGGCAGCCGGAGACGTTCCTGTGGACCCCGTGGAGAGGTCAGGCCGGAGCCTCGGAGGCCCGACACCCAAGCGCTGCCACGGAGGGCTCCCGCGTTGCCAAGCCTCGGGGACTGGTTCCTAAGACAACCGTGGGAAGCACTGTGAAGCAAAAAGCGGCGCGCGCCTCGCGCATGCGCTTTGGCTGGGCCGACTCGCGCTTGGCTCCTGGCAGTCAGGCAGGCTGCGTCCCCTTTAAATACGGGCGGCTGCGCGGCGGCAGGGGGCGCGCCTGCTGCAGCCGCGGCTGCGGCTGGATCCGGGGTCCAGTTTGGGGCCGCGTGGGAGAGGGGGCCACGGGTGTCCCAGGGCCGAGCCCCCAGGAGTCCCGTCTTCAGGACCTCCTTGAGCCGACTTCCACCGATGGACGGGGAGCTTCAGGGCGCCTGCTGGGTTCTCAGGACTCCTCTTCAGATGCGATTTTGGACCACTCTGGGCGAGAAAGGATGGGCTCACCACATCTGCTGAGGCAGGCAGGGCCTCGCTGCAGCACAGAATGATCCCATGGCCCTCAAGGCCTGCTGTCAGCGGAAAATTCACTGATCCGTGAGCCCTCTGCCTCCCTCCTCCTTTGAAAGAGCGGTGGCCTGGCCCGCTTCTAAAAGCCCTGGGGCTCCTGCAAGCCGACACCGCTTTCCAGGACACGTGCAGACAGGGACGGGGCGAATCCCAGGTGGAGACAATGCGATCACGCCTGGCACTGGCGTATACCAGAGCAGATGGCGTGAATGTATGTCACCGGAGGCATGTGGGGCGAGGGCGAAAGCAACAGTGGTGCCCAGGCATGCGCCCGGTAGAAAGGGGATCAAGTGGCCTTTCCCTGAGTGCCAAGGGAACACAAAGAAGACCTGGGAACCTGGACGGGGCTTGTGCCTCAGCCAAGCCACATGTTGAAATGCCTGCCAGAGGACCACAGAGGTTTCTGCAACAGTCACCCCACCCCCAACCCTCCACCACCCAGCTAGCCCTGACGCAACCTCCCCTGCACGCAGCCCCAGCCCCAGTCCCAGCGCAGTCCCTTTGTTTCCTGACATTCGTTACAGCCAAAAGATCCAGGGAGTCTGTCCACCTGTGAGCGGAGGAGAGGATGTCCCTCAAGAGTGAGACAGGAAGCGCAGGGGAAATGCACTTGTCCTAGAAGACAAGGCCAGTCTCGCCGGCCTAGCGCTCGCTCATCCTAGGCAATCCACCCACCCATGAGGTGAAACACGGAGACCGAGGAAGCTTCCCTGTCTGAGACACGTATGGAAGCCAAGAGCCCCAGGGTCATCAGACCTGCGCAATCCAGCAGAAACAGGCTTGGAGAGAGAAACAGTCATGACACGGATCTCCAGGAAGTGTCTCCCTGATGGACGGGGAAGTGATCTTCGTAGAAGATATTCAGCCAGACCGAGAGGCATCTAGGCCGCTCAGAAACAGGGGAGACAGAGCAAGAGGGACGACAGAGCAGAGGCCATAGCCCAGGCAGGATACAGCGCCGTGCCACCGCCACGGGCATAAGAGGAGGGGTGCGAAGCGGGTGGCTTGTCCAGAGAGGCCAGCGTTCCAGGGACGGGGCTTGTTGCCGTCTCCCATTCCAGGCTTCCTCTTCAAGACTGTGTGGTGGTGTGGCTTCATTTCGCAGAGAAGGGGCGTGGAAAGGTAAAACCATCTTCTTGGACGTGGGTCTGCTCCTCTCCTGCCGGACAATGTGCTACCGTGGGGCTTTTGTCCTGGGCTGCAGTGTGGTCCTCTCGATCCTAGAAAAGAGGCCGCTCAGGATGGGGATGAGACTTCCACTGCTCCGGGCCCGATGCATCCCCTCACGTTATCGAGGCCTGCACAGACCCAAAGTGGAACCGCCGCGAAGACGATGGACAGCTGGCCGCAGGACCCAGGGAGAGACGCAGAAAGAGGCTCACCAAAGACCGGTCCACATAAAAGACATCCCTTTTTGACGCACAGGGCACATTCGTCCAAAGACACACACACACACACACACACACACACACACACACACACACACACACACAGAGGGAAAGAAGCACACAGAGGGTGAGAGACAGAGAGAGAAAGGGAGAATGGGAGACACAGCCCCACACACAGTCCTACCGCGGTGGCCGAGAAATGCACGCCCCCGGACTCCGCCTGTGGTTTCCTCATCCTGCTCGGCCCCTTGTGACTCCTGGCAGCCGGAGACGTTCCTGTGGACCCCGTGGAGAGGTCAGGCCGGAGCCTCGGAGGCCCGACACCCAGGCGCCGCCACGGAGGGCTCCCGCGTTGCCAAGCCTCGGGGACTGGTTCCTAAGACAACCGTGGGAAGCACTGTGAAGCAAAAAGCGGCGCGCGCCTCGCGCATGCGCTTTGGCTGGGCCGACTCGCGCTTGGCTCCTGGCAGTCAGGCAGGCTGCGTCCCCTTTAAATACGGGCGGCTGCGCGGCGGCAGGGGGCGCGCCTGCTGCAGCCGCGGCTGCGGCTGGATCCGGGGTCCAGTTTGGGGCCGCGTGGGAGAGGGGGCCACGGGTGTCCCAGGGCCGAGCCCCCAGGAGTCCCGTCTTCAGGACCTCCTTGAGCCGACTTCCACCGATGGACGGGGAGCTTCAGGGCGCCTGCTGGGTTCTCAGGACTCCTCTTCAGATGCGATTTTGGACCACTCTGGGCGAGAAAGGATGGGCTCACCACATCTGCTGAGGCAGGCAGGGCCTCGCTGCAGCACAGAATGATCCCATGGCCCTCAAGGCCTGCTGTCAGCGGAAAATTCACTGATCCGTGAGCCCTCTGCCTCCCTCCTCCTTTGAAAGAGCGGTGGCCTGGCCCGCTTCTAAAAGCCCTGGGGCTCCTGCAAGCCGACACCGCTTTCCAGGACACGTGCAGACAGGGACGGGGCGAATCCCAGGTGGAGACAATGCGATCACGCCTGGCACTGGCGTATACCAGAGCAGATGGCGTGAATGTATGTCACCGGAGGCATGTGGGGCGAGGGCGAAAGCAACAGTGGTGCCCAGGCATGCGCCCGGTAGAAAGGGGATCAAGTGGCCTTTCCCTGAGTGCCAAGGGAACACAAAGAAGACCTGGGAACCTGGACGGGGCTTGTGCCTCAGCCAAGCCACATGTTGAAATGCCTGCCAGAGGACCACAGAGGTTTCTGCAACAGTCACCCCACCCCCAACCCTCCACCACCCAGCTAGCCCTGACGCAACCTCCCCTGCACGCAGCCCCAGCCCCAGTCCCAGCGCAGTCCCTTTGTTTCCTGACATTCGTTACAGCCAAAAGATCCAGGGAGTCTGTCCACCTGTGAGCGGAGGAGAGGATGTCCCTCAAGAGTGAGACAGGAAGCGCAGGGGAAATGCACTTGTCCTAGAAGACAAGGCCAGTCTCGCCGGCCTAGCGCTCGCTCATCCTAGGCAATCCACCCACCCATGAGGTGAAACACGGAGACCGAGGAAGCTTCCCTGTCTGAGACACGTATGGAAGCCAAGAATTCGTCGAAATTCACTGATCCGTGAGCCCTCTGCCTCCCTCCTCCTTTGAAAGAGCGGTGGCCTGGCCCGCTTCTAAAAGCCCTGGGGCTCCTGCAAGCCGACACCGCTTTCCAGGACACGTGCAGACAGGGACGGGGCGAATCCCAGGTGGAGACAATGCGATCACGCCTGGCACTGGCGTATACCAGAGCAGATGGCGTGAATGTATGTCACCGGAGGCATGTGGGGCGAGGGCGAAAGCAACAGTGGTGCCCAGGCATGCGCCCGGTAGAAAGGGGATCAAGTGGCCTTTCCCTGAGTGCCAAGGGAACACAAAGAAGACCTGGGAACCTGGACGGGGCTTGTGCCTCAGCCAAGCCACATGTTGAAATGCCTGCCAGAGGACCACAGAGGTTTCTGCAACAGTCACCCCACCCCCAACCCTCCACCACCCAGCTAGCCCTGACGCAACCTCCCCTGCACGCAGCCCCAGCCCCAGTCCCAGCGCAGTCCCTTTGTTTCCTGACATTCGTTACAGCCAAAAGATCCAGGGAGTCTGTCCACCTGTGAGCGGAGGAGAGGATGTCCCTCAAGAGTGAGACAGGAAGCGCAGGGGAAATGCACTTGTCCTAGAAGACAAGGCCAGTCTCGCCGGCCTAGCGCTCGCTCATCCTAGGCAATCCACCCACCCATGAGGTGAAACACGGAGACCGAGGAAGCTTCCCTGTCTGAGACACGTATGGAAGCCAAGAGCCCCAGGGTCATCAGACCTGCGCAATCCAGCAGAAACAGGCTTGGAGAGAGAAACAGTCATGACACGGATCTCCAGGAAGTGTCTCCCTGATGGACGGGGAAGTGATCTTCGTAGAAGATATTCAGCCAGACCGAGAGGCATCTAGGCCGCTCAGAAACAGGGGAGACAGAGCAAGAGGACAGTCCTACCGCGGTGCCCGAGAACACACGCCCCCAGGCAACCCCTGCGGCTGCCGGGTTCTGCTCTGGAGGGGAACAACCCTCGGCTGAGAGAACAGCCCTCGGGCACGCAGGCGGACCTGTCCTCGAGATCACGGGGGCACGACTTCTCGGGAGACTCACCCGAACACCGTCCTGGCAGGCCTGAGGCTGGGATGCCACGCTGCTTCCCCCGGACTCCGCCTGTGGTTTCCTCATCCTGCTCGGCCCCTTGTGACTCCTGGCAGCCGGAGACGTTCCTGTGGACCCCGTGGAGAGGTCAGGCCGGAGCCTCGGAGGCCCGACACCCAAGCGCCGCCACGGAGGGCTCCCGCGTTGCCAAGCCTCGGGGACTGGTTCCTAAGACAACCGTGGGAAGCACTGTGAAGCAAAAAGCGGCGCGCGCCTCGCGCATGCGCTTTGGCTGGGCCGACTCGCGCTTGGCTCCTGGCAGTCAGGCAGGCTGCGTCCCCTTTAAATACGGGCGGCTGCGCGGCGGCAGGGGGCGCGCCTGCTGCAGCCGCGGCTGCGGCTGGATCCGGGGTCCAGTTTGGGGCCGCGTGGGAGAGGGGGCCACGGGTGTCCCAGGGCCGAGCCCCCAGGAGTCCCGTCTTCAGGACCTCCTTGAGCCGACTTCCACCGATGGACGGGGAGCTTCAGGGCGCCTGCTGGGTTCTCAGGACTCCTCTTCAGATGCGATTTTGGACCACTCTGGGCGAGAAAGGATGGGCTCACCACATCTGCTGAGGCAGGCAGGGCCTCGCTGCAGCACAGAATGATCCCATGGCCCTCAAGGCCTGCTGTCAGCGGAAAATTCACTGATCCGTGAGCCCTCTGCCTCCCTCCTCCTTTGAAAGAGCGGTGGCCTGGCCCGCTTCTAAAAGCCCTGGGGCTCCTGCAAGCTGACACCGCTTTCCAGGACACGTGCAGACAGGGACGGGGCGAATCCCAGGTGGAGACAATGCGATCACGCCTGGCACTGGCGTATACCAGAGCAGATGGCGTGAATGTATGTCACCGGAGGCATGTGGGGCGAGGGCGAAAGCAACAGTGGTGCCCAGGCATGCGCCCGGTAGAAAGGGGATCAAGTGGCCTTTCCCTGAGTGCCAAGGGAACACAAAGAAGACCTGGGAACCTGGACGGGGCTTGTGCCTCAGCCAAGCCACATGTTGAAATGCCTGCCAGAGGACCACAGAGGTTTCTGCAACAGTCACCCCACCCCCAACCCTCCACCACCCAGCTAGCCCTGACGCAACCTCCCCTGCACGCAGCCCCAGCCCCAGTCCCAGCGCAGTCCCTTTGTTTCCTGACATTCGTTACAGCCAAAAGATCCAGGGAGTCTGTCCACCTGTGAGCGGAGGAGAGGATGTCCCTCAAGAGTGAGACAGGAAGCGCAGGGAAATGCACTTGTCCTAGAAGACAAGGCCAGTCTCGCCGGCCTAGCGCTCGCTCATCCTAGGCAATCCACCCACCCATGAGGTGAAACACGGAGACCGAGGAAGCTTCCCTGTCTGAGACACGTATGGAAGCCAAGAGCCCCCAGGGTCATCAGACCTGCGCAATCCAGCAGAAACAGGCTTGGAGAGAGAAACAGTCATGACACGGATCTCCAGGAAGTGTCTCCCTGATGGACGGGGAAGTGATCTTCGTAGAAGATATTCAGCCAGACCGAGAGGCATCTAGGCCGCTCAGAAACAGGGGAGACAGAGCAAGAGGGACGACAGAGCAGAGGCCATAGCCCAGGCAGGATACAGCGCCGTGCCACCGCCACGGGCATAAGAGGAGGGGTGCGAAGCGGGTGGCTTGTCCAGAGAGGCCAGCGTTCCAGGGACGGGGCTTGTTGCCGTCTCCCATTCCAGGCTTCCTCTTCAAGACTGTGTGGTGGTGTGGCTTCATTTCGCAGAGAAGGGGCGTGGAAAGGTAAAACCATCTTCTTGGACGTGGGTCTGCTCCTCTCCTGCCGGACAATGTGCTACCGTGGGGCTTTTGTCCTGGGCTGCAGTGTGGTCCTCTCGATCCTAGAAAAGAGGCCGCTCAGGATGGGGATGAGACTTCCATTGCTCCGGGCCCGATGCATCCCCTCACGTTATCGAGGCCTGCACAGACCCAAAGTGGAACCGCCGCGAAGACGATGGACAGCTGGCCGCAGGACCCAGGGAGAGACGCAGAAAGAGGCTCACCAAAGACCGGTCCACATAAAAGACATCACTTTTTGACGCACAGGGCACATTCGTCCAAAGACACACACACACACACACACACACAGAGGGAAAGAAGCACACAGAGGGTGAGAGACAGAGAGAGAAGGGAGAATGGGAGACACAGCCCCACACACAGTCCTACCGCGGTGGCCGAGCAATGCACGCCCCCAGGCAACCCCTGCGGCTGCCGGGTTCTGCTCTGGAGGGGAACAACCCTCGGCTGAGAGAACAGCCCTCGGGCACGCAGGCGGACCTGTCCTCGAGATCACGGGGGCACGACTTCTCGGGAGACTCACCCGAACACCGTCCTGGCAGGCCTGAGGCTGGGATGCCACGCTGCTTCCCCCGGACTCCGCCTGTGGTTTCCTCATCCTGCTCGGCCCCTTGTGACTCCTGGCAGCCGGAGACGTTCCTGTGGACCCCGTGGAGAGACGCAGAAAGAGGCTCACCAAAGACCGGTCCACATAAAAGACATCCCTTTTTGACGCACAGGGCACATTCGTCCAAAGACACACACACACACACACACACACAGAGGGAAAGAAGCACACAGAGGGTGAGAGACAGAGAGAGAAGGGAGAATGGGAGACACAGCCCCACACACAGTCCTACCGCGGTGGCCGAGCAATGCACGCCCCCAGGCAACCCCTGCGGCTGCCGGGTTCTGCTCTGGAGGGGAACAACCCTCGGCTGAGAGAACAGCCCTCGGGCACGCAGGCGGACCTGTCCTCGAGATCACGGGGGCACGACTTCTCGGGAGACTCACCCGAACACCGTCCTGGCAGGCCTGAGGCTGGGATGCCACGCTGCTTCCCCCGGACTCCGCCTGTGGTTTCCTCATCCTGCTCGGCCCCTTGTGACTCCTGGCAGCCGGAGACGTTCCTGTGGACCCCGTGGAGAGGTCAGGCCGGAGCCTCGGAGGCCCGACACCCAGGCGCCGCCACGGAGGGCTCCCGCGTTGCCAAGCCTCGGGGACTGGTTCCTAAGACAACCGTGGGAAGCACTGTGAAGCAAAAAGCGGCGCGCGCCTCGCGCATGCGCTTTGGCTGGGCCGACTCGCGCTTGGCTCCTGGCAGTCAGGCAGGCTGCGTCCCCTTTAAATACGGGCGGCTGCGCGGCGGCAGGGGGCGCGCCTGCTGCAGCCGCGGCTGCGGCTGGATCCGGGGTCCAGTTTGGGGCCGCGTGGGAGAGGGGGCCACGGGTGTCCCAGGGCCGAGCCCCCAGGAGTCCCGTCTTCAGGACCTCCTTGAGCCGACTTCCACCGATGGACGGGGAGCTTCAGGGCGCCTGCTGGGTTCTCAGGACTCCTCTTCAGATGCGATTTTGGACCACTCTGGGCGAGAAAGGATGGGCTCACCACATCTGCTGAGGCAGGCAGGGCCTCGCTGAAGCACAGAATGATCCCATGGCCCTCAAGGCCTGCTGTCAGCGGAAAATTCACTGATCCGTGAGCCCTCTGCCTCCCTCCTCCTTTGGAAGACTGTGTGGTGGTGTGGCTTCATTTCGCAGAGAAGGGGCGTGGAAAGGTAAAACCATCTTCTTGGACGTGGGTCTGCTCCTCTCCTGCCGGACAATGTGCTACCGTGGGGCTTTTGTCCTGGGCTGCAGTGTGGTCCTCTCGATCCTAGAAAAGAGGCCGCTCAGGATGGGGATGAGACTTCCACTGCTCCGGGCCCGATGCATCCCCTCACGTTATCGAGGCCTGCACAGACCCAAAGTGGAACCGCCGCGAAGACGATGGACAGCTGGCCGCAGGACCCAGGGAGAGACGCAGAAAGAGGCTCACCAAAGACCGGTCCACATAAAAGACATCCCTTTTTGACGCACAGGGCACATTCGTCCAAAGACACACACACACACACACACACACACACACACACACACACACACACACACAGAGGGAAAGAAGCACACAGAGGGTGAGAGACAGAGAGAGAAGGGAGAATGGGAGACACAGCCCCACACACAGTCCTACCGCGGTGGCCGAGCAATGCACGCCCCCAGGCAACCCCTGCGGCTGCCGGGTTCTGCTCTGGAGAGGAACAACCCTCGGCTGAGAGAACAGCCCTCGGGCACGCAGGCGGACCTGTCCTCGAGATCACGGGGGCACGACTTCTCGGGAGACTCACCCGAACACCGTCCTGGCAGGCCTGAGGCTGGGATGCCACGCTGCTTCCCCCGGACTCCGCCTGTGGTTTCCTCATCCTGCTCGGCCCCTTGTGACTCCTGGCAGCCGGAGACGTTCCTGTGGACCCCGTGGAGAGGTCAGGCCGGAGCCTCGGAGGCCCGACACCCAAGCGCTGCCACGGAGGGCTCCCGCGTTGCCAAGCCTCGGGGACTGGTTCCTAAGACAACCGTGGGAAGCACTGTGAAGCAAAAAGCGGCGCGCGCCTCGCGCATGCGCTTTGGCTGGGCCGACTCGCGCTTGGCTCCTGGCAGTCAGGCAGGCTGCGTCCCCTTTAAATACGGGCGGCTGCGCGGCGGCAGGGGGCGCGCCTGCTGCAGCCGCGGCTGCGGCTGGATCCGGGGTCCAGTTTGGGGCCGCGTGGGAGAGGGGGCCACGGGTGTCCCAGGGCCGAGCCCCCAGGAGTCCCGTCTTCAGGACCTCCTTGAGCCGACTTCCACCGATGGACGGGGAGCTTCAGGGCGCCTGCTGGGTTCTCAGGACTCCTCTTCAGATGCGATTTTGGACCACTCTGGGCGAGAAAGGATGGGCTCACCACATCTGCTGAGGCAGGCAGGGCCTCGCTGCAGCACAGAATGATCCCATGGCCCTCAAGGCCTGCTGTCAGCGGAAAATTCACTGATCCGTGAGCCCTCTGCCTCCCTCCTCCTTTGAAAGAGCGGTGGCCTGGCCCGCTTCTAAAAGCCCTGGGGCTCCTGCAAGCCGACACCGCTTTCCAGGACACGTGCAGACAGGGACGGGGCGAATCCCAGGTGGAGACAATGCGATCACGCCTGGCACTGGCGTATACCAGAGCAGATGGCGTGAATGTATGTCACCGGAGGCATGTGGGGCGAGGGCGAAAGCAACAGTGGTGCCCAGGCATGCGCCCGGTAGAAAGGGGATCAAGTGGCCTTTCCCTGAGTGCCAAGGGAACACAAAGAAGACCTGGGAACCTGGACGGGGCTTGTGCCTCAGCCAAGCCACATGTTGAAATGCCTGCCAGAGGACCACAGAGGTTTCTGCAACAGTCACCCCACCCCCAACCCTCCACCACCCAGCTAGCCCTGAGGCAACCTCCCCTGCACGCAGCCCCAGCGCCAGTCCCAGCGCAGTCCCTTTGTTTCCTGACATTCGTTACAGCCAAAAGATCCAGGGAGTCTGTCCACCTGTGAGCGGAGGAGAGGATGTCCCTCAAGAGTGAGACAGGAAGCGCAGGGGAAATGCACTTGTCCTAGAAGACAAGGCCAGTCTCGCCGGCCTAGCGCTCGCTCATCCTAGGCAATCCACCCACCCATGAGGTGAAACACGGAGACCGAGGAAGCTTCCCTGTCTGAGACACGTATGGAAGCCAAGAGCCCCAGGGTCATCAGACCTGCGCAATCCAGCAGAAACGGGCTTGGAGAGAGAAACAGTCATGACACGGATCTCCAGGAAGTGTCTCCCTGATGGACGGGGAAGTGATCTTCGTAGAAGATATTCAGCCAGACCGAGAGGCATCTAGGCCGCTCAGAAACAGGGGAAACAGAGCAAGAGGGACGACAGAGCAGAGGCCATAGCCCAGGCAGGATACAGCGCCGTGCCACCGCCACGGGCATAAGAGGAGGGGTGCGAAGCGGGTGGCTTGTCCAGAGAGGCCAGCGTTCCAGGGACGGGGCTTGTTGCCGTCTCCCATTCCAGGCTTCCTCTTCAAGACTGTGTGGTGGTGTGGCTTCATTTCGCAGAGAAGGGGCGTGGAAAGGTAAAACCATCTTCTTGGACGTGGGTCTGCTCCTCTCCTGCCGGACAATGTGCTACCGTTGGGCTTTTGTCCTGGGCTGCAGTGTGGTCCTCTCGATCCTAGAAAAGAGGCCGCTCAGGATGGGGATGAGACTTCCATTGCTCCGGGCCCGATGCATCCCCTCACGTTATCGAGGCCTGCACAGACCCAAAGTGGAACCGCCGCGAAGACGATGGACAGCTGGCCGCAGGACCCAGGGAGAGACGCAGAAAGAGGCTCACCAAAGACCGGTCCACATAAAAGACATCACTTTTTGACGCACAGGGCACATTCGTCCAAAGACACACACACACACACACACACACACACACACACACAGAGGGAAAGAAGCACACAGAGGGTGAGAGACAGAGAGAGAAGGGAGAATGGGAGACACAGCCCCACACACAGTCCTACCGCGGTGGCCGAGAAATACACGCCCCCAGGCAACCCCTGCGGCTGCCGGGTTCTGCTCTGGAGGGGAACAACCCTCGGCTGAGAGAACAGCCCTCGGGCACGCAGGCGGACCTGTCCTCGAGATCACGGGGGCACGACTTCTCGGGAGACTCACCCGAACACCGTCCTGGCAGGCCTGAGGCTGGGATGCCACGCTGCTTCCCCTGGACTCCGCCTGTGGTTTCCTCATCCTGCTCGGCCCCTTGCGACTCCTGGCAGCCGGAGACGTTCCTGTGGACCCCGTGGAGAGGTCAGGCCGGAGCCTCGGAGGCCCGACACCCAAGCGCTGCCACGGAGGGCTCCTGTGTTGCCAAGCCTCGGGGACTGGTTCCTAAGACAACCGTGGGAAGCACTGTGAAGCAAAAAGCGGCGCGCGCCTCGCGCATGCGCTTTGGCTGGGCCGACTCGCGCTTGGCTCCTGGCAGTCAGGCAGGCTGCGTCCCCTTTAAATACGGGCGGCTGCGCGGCGGCAGGGGGCGCGCCTGCTGCAGCCGCGGCTGCGGCTGGATCCGGGGTCCAGTTTGGGGCCGCGTGGGAGAGGGGGCCACGGGTGTCCCAGGGCCGAGCCCCCAGGAGTCCCGTCTTCAGGACCTCCTTGAGCCGACTTCCACCGATGGACGGGGAGCTTCAGGGCGCCTGCTGGGTTCTCAGGACTCCTCTTCAGATGCGATTTTGGACCACTCTGGGCGAGAAAGGATGGGCTCACCACATCTGCTGAGGCAGGCAGGGCCTCGCTGCAGCACAGAATGATCCCATGGCCCTCAAGGCTGGTGTCAGCGGAAAATTCACTGATCCGTGAGCCCTCTGCCTCCCTCCTCCTTTGAAAGAGCGGTGGCCTGGCCCGCTTCTAAAAGCCCTGGGGCTCCTGCAAGCCGACACCGCTTTCCAGGACACGTGCAGACAGGGACGGGGCGAATCCCAGGTGGAGACAATGCGATCACGCCTGGCACTGGCGTATACCAGAGCAGATGGCGTGAATGTATGTCACCGGAGGCATGTGGGGCGAGGGCGAAAGCAACAGTGGTGCCCAGGCATGCGCCCGGTAGAAAGGGGATCAAGTGGCCTTTCCCTGAGTGCCAAGGGAACACAAAGAAGACCTGGGAACCTGGACGGGGCTTGTGCCTCAGCCAAGCCACATGTTGAAATGCCTGCCAGAGGACCACAGAGGTTTCTGCAACAGTCACCCCACCCCCAACCCTCCACCACCCAGCTAGCCCTGACGCAACCTCCCCTGCACGCAGCCCCAGCGCCAGTCCCAGCGCAGTCCCTTTGTTTCCTGACATTCGTTACAGCCAAAAGATCCAGGGAGTCTGTCCACCTGTGAGCGGAGGAGAGGATGTCCCTCAAGAGTGAGACAGGAAGCGCAGGGGAAATGCACTTGTCCTAGAAGACAAGGCCAGTCTCGCCGGCCTAGCGCTCGCTCATCCTAGGCAATCCACCCACCCATGAGGTGAAACACGGAGACCGAGGAAGCTTCCCTGTCTGAGACACGTATGGAAGCCAAGAGCCCCAGGGTCATCAGACCTGCGCAATCCAGCAGAAACAGGCTTGGAGAGAGAAACAGTCATGACACGGATCTCCAGGAAGTGTCTCCCTGATGGACGGGGAAGTGATCTTCGTAGAAGATATTCAGCCAGACCGAGAGGCATCTAGGCCGCTCAGAAACAGGGGAGACAGAGCAAGAGGGACGACAGAGCAGAGGCCATAGCCCAGGCAGGATACAGCGCCGTGCCACCGCCACGGGCATAAGAGGAGGGGTGCGAAGCGGGTGGCTTGTCCAGAGAGGCCAGCGTTCCAGGGACGGGGCTTGTTGCCGTCTCCCATTCCAGGCTTCCTCTTCAAGACTGTGTGGTGGTGTGGCTTCATTTCGCAGAGAAGGGGCGTGGAAAGGTAAAACCATCTTCTTGGACGTGGGTCTGCTCCTCTCCTGCCGGACAATGTGCTACCGTGGGGCTTTTGTCCTGGGCTGCAGTGTGGTCCTCTCGATCCTAGAAAAGAGGCCGCTCAGGATGGGGATGAGACTTCCACTGCTCCGGGCCCGATGCATCCCCTCACGTTATCGAGGCCTGCACAGACCCAAAGTGGAACCGCCGCAGGGGAAATGCACTTGTCCTAGAAGACAAGGCCAGTCTCGCCGGCCTAGCGCTCGCTCATCCTAGGCAATCCACCCACCCATGAGGTGAAACACGGAGACCGAGGAAGCTTCCCTGTCTGAGACACGTATGGAAGCCAAGAGCCCCAGGGTCATCAGACCTGCGCAATCCAGCAGAAACAGGCTTGGAGAGAGAAACAGTCATGACACGGATCTCCAGGAAGTGTCTCCCTGATGGACGGGGAAGTGATCTTCGTAGAAGATATTCAGCCAGACCGAGAGGCATCTAGGCCGCTCAGAAACAGGGGAGACAGAGCAAGAGGGACGACAGAGCAGAGGCCATAGCCCAGGCAGGATACAGCGCCGTGCCACCGCCACGGGCATAAGAGGAGGGGTGCGAAGCGGGTGGCTTGTCCAGAGAGGCCAGCGTTCCAGGGACGGGGCTTGTTGCCGTCTCCCATTCCAGGCTTCCTCTTCAAGACTGTGTGGTGGTGTGGCTTCATTTCGCAGAGAAGGGGCGTGGAAAGGTAAAACCATCTTCTTGGACGTGGGTCTGCTCCTCTCCTGCCGGACAATGTGCTACCGTGGGGCTTTTGTCCTGGGCTGCAGTGTGGTCCTCTCGATCCTAGAAAAGAGGCCGCTCAGGATGGGGATGAGACTTCCATTGCTCCGGGCCCGATGCATCCCCTCACGTTATCGAGGCCTGCACAGACCCAAAGTGGAACCGCCGCGAAGACGATGGACAGCTGGCCGCAGGACCCAGGGAGAGACGCAGAAAGAGGCTCACCAAAGACCGGTCCACATAAAAGACATCCCTTTTTGACGCACAGGGCACATTCGTCCAAAGACACACACACACACACACACACACACACACACACGAGAGAGAAACAGTCATGACACGGATCTCCAGGAAGTGTCTCCCTGATGGACGGGGAAGTGATCTTCGTAGAAGATATTCAGCCAGACCGAGAGGCATCTAGGCCGCTCAGAAACAGGGGAGACAGAGCAAGAGGGACGACAGAGCAGAGGCCATAGCCCAGGCAGGATACAGCGCCGTGCCACCGCCACGGGCATAAGAGGAGGGGTGCGAAGCGGGTGGCTTGTCCAGAGAGGCCAGCGTTCCAGGGACGGGGCTTGTTGCCGTCTCCCATTCCAGGCTTCCTCTTCAAGACTGTGTGGTGGTGTGGCTTCATTTCGCAGAGAAGGGGCGTGGAAAGGTAAAACCATCTTCTTGGACGTGGGTCTGCTCCTCTCCTGCCGGACAATGTGCTACCGTGGGGCTTTTGTCCTGGGCTGCAGTGTGGTCCTCTCGATCCTAGAAAAGAGGCCGCTCAGGATGGGGATGAGACTTCCACTGCTCCGGGCCCGATGCATCCCCTCACGTTATCGAGGCCTGCACAGACCCAAAGTGGAACCGCCGCGAAGACGATGGACAGCTGGCCGCAGGACCCAGGGAGAGACGCAGAAAGAGGCTCACCAAAGACCGGTCCACATAAAAGACATCCCTTTTTGACGCACAGGGCACATTCGTCCAAAGACACACACACACACACACACACACAGAGGGAAAGAAGCACACAGAGGGTGAGAGACAGAGAGAGAAGGGAGAATGGGAGACACAGCCCCACACACAGTCCTACCGCGGTGGCCGAGCAATGCACGCCCCCAGGCAACCCCTGCGGCTGCCGGGTTCTGCTCTGGAGGGGAACAACCCTCGGCTGAGAGAACAGCCCTCGGGCACGCAGGCGGACCTGTCCTCGAGATCACGGGGGCACGACTTCTCGGGAGACTCACCCGAACACCGTCCTGGCAGGCCTGAGGCTGGGATGCCACGCTGCTTCCCCCGGACTCCGCCTGTGGTTTCCTCATCCTGCTCGGCCCCTTGTGACTCCTGGCAGCCGGAGACGTTCCTGTGGACCCCGTGGAGAGGTCAGGCCGGAGCCTCGGAGGCCCGACACCCAGGCGCCGCCACGGAGGGCTCCCGCGTTGCCAAGCCTCGGGGACTGGTTCCTAAGACAACCGTGGGAAGCACTGTGAAGCAAAAAGCGGCGCGCGCCTCGCGCATGCGCTTTGGCTGGGCCGACTCGCGCTTGGCTCCTGGCAGTCAGGCAGGCTGCGTCCCCTTTAAATACGGGCGGCTGCGCGGCGGCAGGGGGCGCGCCTGCTGCAGCCGCGGCTGCGGCTGGATCCCGGGTCCAGTTTGGGGCCGCGTGGGAGAGGGGGCCACGGGTGTCCCAGGGCCGAGCCCCCAGGAGTCCCGTCTTCAGGACCTCCTTGAGCCGACTTCCACCGATGGACGGGGAGCTTCAGGGCGCCTGCTGGGTTCTCAGGACTCCTCTTCAGATGCGATTTTGGACCACTCTGGGCGAGAAAGGATGGGCTCACCACATCTGCTGAGGCAGGCAGGGCCTCGCTGCAGCACAGAATGATCCCATGGCCCTCAAGGCCTGCTGTCAGCGGAAAATTCACTGATCCGTGAGCCCTCTGCCTCCCTCCTCCTTTGAAAGAGCGGTGGCCTGGCCCGCTTCTAAAAGCCCTGGGGCTCCTGCAAGCCGACACCGCTTTCCAGGACACGTGCAGACAGGGACGGGGCGAATCCCAGGTGGAGACAATGCGATCACGCCTGGCACTGGCGTATACCAGAGCAGATGGCGTGAATGTATGTCACCGGAGGCATGTGGGGCGAGGGCGAAAGCAACAGTGGTGCCCAGGCATGCGCCCGGTAGAAAGGGGATCAAGTGGCCTTTCCCTGAGTGCCAAGGGAACACAAAGAAGACCTGGGAACCTGGACGGGGCTTGTGCCTCAGCCAAGCCACATGTTGAAATGCCTGCCAGAGGACCACAGAGGTTTCTGCAACAGTCACCCCACCCCCAACCCTCCACCACCCAGCTAGCCCTGAGGCAACCTCCCCTGCACGCAGCCCCAGCCCCAGTCCCAGCGCAGTCCCTTTGTTTCCTGACATTCGTTACAGCCAAAAGATCCAGGGAGTCTGTCCACCTGTGAGCGGAGGAGAGGATGTCCCTCAAGAGTGAGACAGGAAGCGCAGGGGAAATGCACTTGTCCTAGAAGACAAGGCCAGTCTCGCCGGCCTAGCGCTCGCTCATCCTAGGCAATCCACCCACCCATGAGGTGAAACACGGAGACCGAGGAAGCTTCCCTGTCTGAGACACGTATGGAAGCCAAGAGCCCCAGGGTCATCAGACCTGCGCAATCCAGCAGAAACAGGCTTGGAGAGAGAAACAGTCATGACACGGATCTCCAGGAAGTGTCTCCCTGATGGACGGGGACGTGATCTTCGTAGAAGATATTCAGCCAGACCGAGAGGCATCTAGGCCGCTCAGAAACAGGGGAGACAGAGCAAGAGGGACGACAGAGCAGAGGCCATAGCCCAGGCAGGATACAGCGCCGTGCCACCGCCACGGGCATAAGAGGAGGGGTGCGAAGCGGGTGGCTTGTCCAGAGAGGCCAGCGTTCCAGGGACGGGGCTTGTTGCCGTCTCCCATTCCAGGCTTCCTCTTCAAGACTGTGTGGTGGTGTGGCTTCATTTCGCAGAGAAGGGGCGTGGAAAGGTAAAACCATCTTCTTGGACGTGGGTCTGCTCCTCTCCTGCCGGACAATGTGCTACCGTGGGGCTTTTGTCCTGGGCTGCAGTGTGGTCCTCTCGATCCTAGAAAAGAGGCCGCTCAGGATGGGGATGAGACTTCCATTGCTCCGGGCCCGATGCATCCCCTCACGTTATCGAGGCCTGCACAGACCCAAAGTGGAACCGCCGCGAAGACGATGGACAGCTGGCCGCAGGACCCAGGGAGAGACGCAGAAAGAGGCTCACCAAAGACCGGTCCACATAAAAGACATCCCTTTTTGACGCACAGGGCACATTCGTCCAAAGACACACACACACACACACAAACACACACACACACACACACACACACAGAGGGAAAGAAGCACACAGAGGGTGAGAGACAGAGAGAGAAGGGAGAATGGGAGACACAGCCCCACACACAGTCCTACCGCGGTGGCCGAGCAATACACGCCCCCAGGCAACCCCTGCGGCTGCCGGGTTCTGCTCTGGAGGGGAACAACCCTCGGCTGAGAGAACAGCCCTCGGGCACGCAGGCGGACCTGTCCTCGAGATCACGGGGGCACGACTTCTCGGGAGACTCACCCGAACACCGTCCTGACAGCCCTGAGGCTGGGATGCCACGCTGCTTCCCCCGGACTCCGCCTGTGGTTTCCTCATCCTGCTCGGCCCCTTGTGACTCCTGGCAGCCGGAGACGTTCCTGTGGACCCCGTGGAGAGGTCAGGCCGGAGCCTCGGAGGCCCGACACCCAAGCGCTGCCACGGAGGGCTCCCGCGTTGCCAAGCCTCGGGGACTGGTTCCTAAGACAACCGTGGGAAGCACTGTGAAGCAAAAAGCGGCGCGCGCCTCGCGCATGCGCTTTGGCTGGGCCGACTCGCGCTTGGCTCCTGGCAGTCAGGCAGGCTGCGTCCCCTTTAAATACGGGCGGCTGCGCGGCGGCAGGGGGCGCGCCTGCTGCAGCCGCGGCTGCGGCTGGATCCGGGGTCCAGTTTGGGGCCGCGTGGGAGAGGGGGCCACGGGTGTCCCAGGGCCGAGCCCCCAGGAGTTCCGTCTTCAGGACCTCCTTGAGCCGACTTCCACCGATGGACGGGGAGCTTCAGGGCGCCTGCTGGGTTCTCAGGACTCCTCTTCAGATGCGATTTTGGACCACTCTGGGCGAGAAAGGATGGGCTCACCACATCTGCTGAGGCAGGCAGGGCCTCGCTGCAGCACAGAATGATCCCATGGCCCTCAAGGCCTGCTGTCAGCGGAAAATTCACTGATCCGTGAGCCCTCTGCCTCCCTCCTCCTTTGAAAGAGCGGTGGCCTGGCCCGCTTCTAAAAGCCCTGGGGCTCCTGCAAGCCGACACCGCTTTCCAGGACACGTGCAGACAGGGACGGGGCGAATCCCAGGTGGAGACAATGCGATCACGCCTGGCACTGGCGTATACCAGAGCAGATGGCGTGAATGTATGTCACCGGAGGCATGTGGGGCGAGGGCGAAAGCAACAGTGGTGCCCAGGCATGCGCCCGGTAGAAAGGGGATCAAGTGGCCTTTCCCTGAGTGCCAAGGGAACACAAAGAAGACCTGGGAACCTGGACGGGGCTTGTGCCTCAGCCAAGCCACATGTTGAAATGCCTGCCAGAGGACCACAGAGGTTTCTGCAACAGTCACCCCACCCCCAACCCTCCACCACCCAGCTAGCCCTGACGCAACCTCCCCTGCACGCAGCCCCAGCCCCAGTCCCAGCGCAGTCCCTTTGTTTCCTGACATTCGTTACAGCCAAAAGATCCAGGGAGTCTGTCCACCTGTGAGCGGAGGAGAGGATGTCCCTCAAGAGTGAGACAGGAAGCGCAGGGGAAATGCACTTGTCCTAGAAGACAAGGCCAGTCTCGCCGGCCTAGCGCTCGCTCATCCTAGGCAATCCACCCACCCATGAGGTGAAACACGGAGACCGAGGAAGCTTCCCTGTCTGAGACACGTATGGAAGCCAAGAGCCCCAGGGTCATCAGACCTGCGCAATCCAGCAGAAACAGGCTTGGAGAGAGAAACAGTCATGACACGGATCTCCAGGAAGTGTCTCCCTGATGGACGGGGAAGTGATCTTCGTAGAAGATATTCAGCCAGACCGAGAGGCATCTAGGCCGCTCAGAAACAGGGGAGACAGAGCAAGAGGGACGACAGAGCAGAGGCCATAGCCCAGGCAGGATACAGCGCCGTGCCACCGCCACGGGCATAAGAGGAGGGGTGCGAAGCGGGTGGCTTGTCCAGAGAGGCCAGCGTTCCAGGGACGGGGCTTGTTGCCGTCTCCCATTCCAGGCTTCCTCTTCAAGACTGTGTGGTGGTGTGGCTTCATTTCGCAGAGAAGGGGCGTGGAAAGGTAAAACCATCTTCTTGGACGTGGGTCTGCTCCTCTCCTGCCGGACAATGTGCTACCGTGGGGCTTTTGTCCTGGGCTGCAGTGTGGTCCTCTCGATCCTAGAAAAGAGGCCGCTCAGGATGGGGATGAGACTTCCATTGCTCCGGGCCCGATGCATCCCCTCACGTTATCGAGGCCTGCACAGACCCAAAGTGGAACCGCCGCGAAGACGATGGACAGCTGGCCGCAGGACCCAGGGAGAGACGCAGAAAGAGGCTCACCAAAGACCGGTCCACATAAAAGACATCCCTTTTTGACGCACAGGGCACATTCGTCCAAAGACACACACACACACACACAGAGGGAAAGAAGCACACAGAGGGTGAGAGACAGAGAGAGAAGGGAGAATGGGAGACACAGCCCCACACACAGTCCTACCGCGGTGGCCGAGAAATACACGCCCCCAGGCAACCCCTGCGGCTGCCGGGTTCTGCTCTGGAGGGGAACAACCCTCGGCTGAGAGAACAGCCCTCGGGCACGCAGGCGGACCTGTCCTCGAGATCACGGGGGCACGACTTCTCGGGAGACTCACCCGAACACCGTCCTGACAGCCCTGAGGCTGGGATGCCACGCTGCTTCCCCCGGACTCCGCCTGTGGTTTCCTCATCCTGCTCGGCCCCTTGCGACTCCTGGCAGCCGGAGACGTTCCTGTGGACCCCGTGGAGAGGTCAGGCCGGAGCCTCGGAGGCCCGACACCCAAGCGCTGCCACGGAGGGCTCCCGCGTTGCCAAGCCTCGGGGACTGGTTCCTAAGACAACCGTGGGAAGCACTGTGAAGCAAAAAGCGGCGCGCGCCTCGCGCATGCGCTTTGGCTGGGCCGACTCGCGCTTGGCTCCTGGCAGTCAGGCAGGCTGCGTCCCCTTTAAATACGGGCGGCTGCGCGGCGGCAGGGGGCGCGCCTGCTGCAGCCGCGGCTGCCGCTGGATCCGGGGTCCAGTTTGGGGCCGCGTGGGAGAGGGGGCCACGGGTGTCCCAGGGCCGAGCCCCCAGGAGTCCCGTCTTCAGGACCTCCTTGAGCCGACTTCCACCGATGGACGGGGAGCTTCAGGGCGCCTGCTGGGTTCTCAGGACTCCTCTTCAGATGCGATTTTGGACCACTCTGGGCGAGAAAGGATGGGCTCACCACATCTGCTGAGGCAGGCAGGGCCTCGCTGCAGCACAGAATGATCCCATGGCCCTCAAGGCCTGCTGTCAGCGGAAAATTCACTGATCCGTGAGCCCTCTGCCTCCCTCCTCCTTTGAAAGAGCGGTGGCCTGGCCCGCTTCTAAAAGCCCTGGGGCTCCTGCAAGCCGACACCGCTTTCCAGGACACGTGCAGACAGGGACGGGGCGAATCCCAGGTGGAGACAATGCGATCACGCCTGGCACTGGCGTATACCAGAGCAGATGGCGTGAATGTATGTCACCGGAGGCATGTGGGGCGAGGGCGAAAGCAACAGTGGTGCCCAGGCATGCGCCCGGTAGAAAGGGGATCAAGTGGCCTTTCCCTGAGTGCCAAGGGAACACAAAGAAGACCTGGGAACCTGGACGGGGCTTGTGCCTCAGCCAAGCCACATGTTGAAATGCCTGCCAGAGGACCACAGAGGTTTCTGCAACAGTCACCCCACCCCCAACCCTCCACCACCCAGCTAGCCCTGACGCAACCTCCCCTGCACGCAGCCCCAGCCCCAGTCCCAGCTCAGTCCCTTTGTTTCCTGACATTCGTTACAGCCAAAAGATCCAGGGAGTCTGTCCACCTGTGAGCGGAGGAGAGGATGTCCCTCAAGAGTGAGACAGGAAGCGCAGGGGAAATGCACTTGTCCTAGAAGACAAGGCCAGTCTCGCCGGCCTAGCGCTCGCTCATCCTAGGCAATCCACCCACCCATGAGGTGAAACACGGAGACCGAGGAAGCTTCCCTGTCTGAGACACGTATGGAAGCCAAGAGCCCCAGGGTCATCAGACCTGCGCAATCCAGCAGAAACGGGCTTGGAGAGAGAAACAGTCATGACACGGATCTCCAGGAAGTGTCTCCCTGATGGACGGGGAAGTGATCTTCGTAGAAGATATTCAGCCAGACCGAGAGGCATCTAGGCCGCTCAGAAACAGGGGAGACAGAGCAAGAGGGACGACAGAGCAGAGGCCATAGCCCAGGCAGGATACAGCGCCGTGCCACCGCCACGGGCATAAGAGGAGGGGTGCGAAGCGGGTGGCTTGTCCAGAGAGGCCAGCGTTCCAGGGACGGGGCTTGTTGCCGTCTCCCATTCCAGGCTTCCTCTTCAAGACTGTGTGGTGGTGTGGCTTCATTTCGCAGAGAAGGGGCGTGGAAAGGTAAAACCATCTTCTTGGACGTGGGTCTGCTCCTCTCCTGCCGGACAATGTGCTACCGTGGGGCTTTTGTCCTGGGCTGCAGTGTGGTCCTCTCGATCCTAGAAAAGAGGCCGCTCAGGATGGGGATGAGACTTCCATTGCTCCGGGCCCGATGCATCCCCTCACGTTATCGAGGCCTGCACAGACCCAAAGTGGAACCGCCGCGAAGACGATGGACAGCTGGCCGCAGGACCCAGGGAGAGACGCAGAAAGAGGCTCACCAAAGACCGGTCCACATAAAAGACATCCCTTTTTGACGCACAGGGCACATTCGTCCAAAGACACACACACACACACACAAACACACACACACACACACACACACACAGAGGGAAAGAAGCACACAGAGGGTGAGAGACAGAGAGAGAAGGGAGAATGGGAGACACAGCCCCACACACAGTCCTACCGCGGTGGCCGAGCAATACACGCCCCCAGGCAACCCCTGCGGCTGCCGGGTTCTGCTCTGGAGGGGAACAACCCTCGGCTGAGAGAACAGCCCTCGGGCACGCAGGCGGACCTGTCCTCGAGATCACGGGGGCACGACTTCTCGGGAGACTCACCCGAACACCGTCCTGGCAGGCCTGAGGCTGGGATGCCACGCTGCTTCCCCCGGACTCCGCCTGTGGTTTCCTCATCCTGCTCGGCCCTTTGTGACTCCTGGCAGCCGGAGACGTTCCTGTGGACCCCGTGGAGAGGTCAGGCCGGAGCCTCGGAGGCCCGACACCCAAGCGCTGCCACGGAGGGCTCCCGCGTTGCCAAGCCTCGGGGACTGGTTCCTAAGACAACCGTGGGAAGCACTGTGAAGCAAAAAGCGGCGCGCGCCTCGCGCATGCGCTTTGGCTGGGCCGACTCGCGCTTGGCTCCTGGCAGTCAGGCAGGCTGCGTCCCCTTTAAATACGGGCGGCTGCGCGGCGGCAGGGGGCGCGCCTGCTGCAGCCGCGGCTGCGGCTGGATCCGGGGTCCAGTTTGGGGCCGCGTGGGAGAGGGGGCCACGGGTGTCCCAGGGCCGAGCCCCCAGGAGTCCCGTCTTCAGGACCTCCTTGAGCCGACTTCCACCGATGGACGGGGAGCTTCAGGGCGCCTGCTGGGTTCTCAGGACTCCTCTTCAGATGCGATTTTGGACCACTCTGGGCGAGAAAGGATGGGCTCACCACATCTGCTGAGGCAGGCAGGGCCTCGCTGCAGCACAGAATGATCCCATGGCCCTCAAGGCCTGCTGTCAGCGGAAAATTCACTGATCCGTGAGCCCTCTGCCTCCCTCCTCCTTTGAAAGAGCGGTGGCCTGGCCCGCTTCTAAAAGCCCTGGGGCTCCTGCAAGCCGACACCGCTTTCCAGGACACGTGCAGACAGGGACGGGGCGAATCCCAGGTGGAGACAATGCGATCACGCCTGGCACTGGCGTATACCAGAGCAGATGGCGTGAATGTATGTCACCGGAGGCATGTGGGGCGAGGGCGAAAGCAACAGTGGTGCCCAGGCATGCGCCCGGTAGAAAGGGGATCAAGTGGCCTTTCCCTGAGTGCCAAGGGAACACAAAGAAGACCTGGGAACCTGGACGGGGCTTGTGCCTCAGCCAAGCCACATGTTGAAATGCCTGCCAGAGGACCACAGAGGTTTCTGCAACAGTCACCCCACCCCCAACCCTCCACCACCCAGCTAGCCCTGACGCAACCTCCCCTGCACGCAGCCCCAGCCCCAGTCCCAGCGCAGTCCCTTTGTTTCCTGACATTCGTTACAGCCAAAAGATCCAGGGAGTCTGTCCACCTGTGAGCGGAGGAGAGGATGTCCCTCAAGAGTGAGACAGGAAGCGCAGGGGAAATGCACTTGTCCTAGAAGACAAGGCCAGTCTCGCCGGCCTAGCGCTCGCTCATCCTAGGCAATCCACCCACCCATGAGGTGAAACACGGAGACCGAGGAAGCTTCCCTGTCTGAGACACGTATGGAAGCCAAGAGCCCCAGGGTCATCAGACCTGCGCAATCCAGCAGAAACAGGCTTGGAGAGAGAAACAGTCATGACACGGATCTCCAGGAAGTGTCTCCCTGATGGACGGGGAAGTGATCTTCGTAGAAGATATTCAGCCAGACCGAGAGGCATCTAGGCCGCTCAGAAACAGGGGAGACAGAGCAAGAGGGACGACAGAGCAGAGGCCATAGCCCAGGCAGGATACAGCGCCGTGCCACCGCCACGGGCATAAGAGGAGGGGTGCGAAGCGGGTGGCTTGTCCAGAGAGGCCAGCGTTCCAGGGACGGGGCTTGTTGCCGTCTCCCATTCCAGGCTTCCTCTTCAAGACTGTGTGGTGGTGTGGCTTCATTTCGCAGAGAAGGGGCGTGGAAAGGTAAAACCATCTTCTTGGACGTGGGTCTGCTCCTCTCCTGCCGGACAATGTGCTACCGTGGGGCTTTTGTCCTGGGCTGCAGTGTGGTCCTCTCGATCCTAGAAAAGAGGCCGCTCAGGATGGGGATGAGACTTCCATTGCTCCGGGCCCGATGCATCCCCTCACGTTATCGAGGCCTGCACAGACCCAAAGTGGAACCGCCGCGAAGACGATGGACAGCTGGCCGCAGGACCCAGGGAGAGACGCAGAAAGAGGCTCACCAAAACCGGTCCACATAAAAGACATCCCTTTTTGACGCACAGGGCACATTCGTCCAAAGACACACACACACACACACAAACACACACACACACACACACACAGAGGGAAAGAAGCACACAGAGGGTGAGAGACAGAGAGAGAAGGGAGAATGGGAGACACAGCCCCACACACAGTCCTACCGCGGTGGCCGAGCAATACACGCCCCCAGGCAACCCCTGCGGCTGCCGGGTTCTGCTCTGGAGGGGAACAACCCTCGGCTGAGAGAACAGCCCTCGGGCACGCAGGCGGACCTGTCCTCGAGATCACGGGGGCACGACTTCTCGGGAGACTCACCCGAACACCGTCCTGACAGCCCTGAGGCTGGGATGCCACGCTGCTTCCCCCGGACTCCGCCTGTGGTTTCCTCATCCTGCTCGGCCCCTTGTGACTCCTGGCAGCCGGAGACGTTCCTGTGGACCCCGTGGAGAGGTCAGGCCGGAGCCTCGGAGGCCCGACACCCAAGCGCTGCCACGGAGGGCTCCCGCGTTGCCAAGCCTCGGGGACTGGTTCCTAAGACAACCGTGGGAAGCACTGTGAAGCAAAAAGCGGCGCGCGCCTCGCGCATGCGCTTTGGCTGGGCCGACTCGCGCTTGGCTCCTGGCAGTCAGGCAGGCTGCGTCCCCTTTAAATACGGGCGGCTGCGCGGCGGCAGGGGGCGCGCCTGCTGCAGCCGCGGCTGCGGCTGGATCCGGGGTCCAGTTTGGGGCCGCGTGGGAGAGGGGGCCACGGGTGTCCCAGGGCCGAGCCCCCAGGAGTTCCGTCTTCAGGACCTCCTTGAGCCGACTTCCACCGATGGACGGGGAGCTTCAGGGCGCCTGCTGGGTTCTCAGGACTCCTCTTCAGATGCGATTTTGGACCACTCTGGGCGAGAAAGGATGGGCTCACCACATCTGCTGAGGCAGGCAGGGCCTCGCTGCAGCACAGAATGATCCCATGGCCCTCAAGGCCTGGTGTCAGCGGAAAATTCACTGATCCGTGAGCCCTCTGCCTCCCTCCTCCTTTGAAAGAGCAGTGGCCTGGCCCGCTTCTAAAAGCCCTGGGGCTCCTGCAAGCCGACACCGCTTTCCAGGACACGTGCAGACAGGGACGGGGCGAATCCCAGGTGGAGACAATGCGATCACGCCTGGCACTGGCGTATACCAGAGCAGATGGCGTGAATGTATGTCACCGGAGGCATGTGGGGCGAGGGCGAAAGCAACAGTGGTGCCCAGGCATGCGCCCGGTAGAAAGGGGATCAAGTGGCCTTTCCCTGAGTGCCAAGGGAACACAAAGAAGACCTGGGAACCTGGACGGGGCTTGTGCCTCAGCCAAGCCACATGTTGAAATGCCTGCCAGAGGACCACAGAGGTTTCTGCAACAGTCACCCCACCCCCAACCCTCCACCACCCAGCTAGCCCTGACGCAACCTCCCCTGCACGCAGCCCCAGCCCCAGTCCCAGCGCAGTCCCTTTGTTTCCTGACATTCGTTACAGCCAAAAGATCCAGGGAGTCTGTCCACCTGTGAGCGGAGGAGAGGATGTCCCTCAAGAGTGAGACAGGAAGCGCAGGGGAAATGCACTTGTCCTAGAAGACAAGGCCAGTCTCGCCGGCCTAGCGCTCGCTCATCCTAGGCAATCCACCCACCCATGAGGTGAAACACGGAGACCGAGGAAGCTTCCCTGTCTGAGACACGTATGGAAGCCAAGAGCCCCAGGGTCATCAGACCTGCGCAATCCAGCAGAAACAGGCTTGGAGAGAGAAACAGTCATGACACGGATCTCCAGGAAGTGTCTCCCTGATGGACGGGGAAGTGATCTTCGTAGAAGATATTCAGCCAGACCGAGAGGCATCTAGGCCGCTCAGAAACAGGGGAGACAGAGCAAGAGGGACGACAGAGCAGAGGCCATAGCCCAGGCAGGATACAGCGCCGTGCCACCGCCACGGGCATAAGAGGAGGGGTGCGAAGCGGGTGGCTTGTCCAGAGAGGCCAGCGTTCCAGGGACGGGGCTTGTTGCCGTCTCCCATTCCAGGCTTCCTCTTCAAGACTGTGTGGTGGTGTGGCTTCATTTCGCAGAGAAGGGGCGTGGAAAGGTAAAACCATCTTCTTGGACGTGGGTCTGCTCCTCTCCTGCCGGACAATGTGCTACCGTGGGGCTTTTGTCCTGGGCTGCAGTGTGGTCCTCTCGATCCTAGAAAAGAGGCCGCTCAGGATGGGGATGAGACTTCCATTGCTCCGGGCCCGATGCATCCCCTCACGTTATCGAGGCCTGCACAGACCCAAAGTGGAACCGCCGCGAAGACGATGGACAGCTGGCCGCAGGACCCAGGGAGAGACGCAGAAAGAGGCTCACCAAAACCGGTCCACATAAAAGACATCCCTTTTTGACGCACAGGGCACATTCGTCCAAAGACACACACACACACACACAAACACACACACACACACACACACAGAGGGAAAGAAGCACACAGAGGGTGAGAGACAGAGAGAGAAGGGAGAATGGGAGACACAGCCCCACACACAGTCCTACCGCGGTGGCCGAGCAATACACGCCCCCAGGCAACCCCTGCGGCTGCCGGGTTCTGCTCTGGAGGGGAACAACCCTCGGCTGAGAGAACAGCCCTCGGGCACGCAGGCGGACCTGTCCTCGAGATCACGGGGGCACGACTTCTCGGGAGACTCACCCGAACACCGTCCTGGCAGGCCTGAGGCTGGGACGCCACGCTGCTTCCCCCGGACTCCGCCTGTGGTTTCCTCATCCTGCTCGGCCCCTTGCGACTCCTGGCAGCCGGAGACGTTCCTGTGGACCCCGTGGAGAGGTCAGGCCGGAGCCTCGGAGGCCCGACACCCAAGCGCTGCCACGGAGGGCTCCCGCGTTGCCAAGCCTCGGGGACTGGTTCCTAAGACAACCGTGGGAAGCACTGTGAAGCAAAAAGCGGCGCGCGCCTCGCGCATGCGCTTTGGCTGGGCCGACTCGCGCTTGGCTGCTGGCAGTCAGGCAGGCTGCGTCCCCTTTAAATACGGGCGGCTGCGCGGCGGCAGGGGGCGCGCCTGCTGCAGCCGCGGCTGCGGCTGGATCCGGGGTCCAGTTTGGGGCCGCGTGGGAGAGGGGGCCACGGGTGTCCCAGGGCCGAGCCCCCAGGAGTCCCGTCTTCAGGACCTCCTTGAGCCGACTTCCACCGATGGACGGGGAGCTTCAGGGCGCCTGCTGGGTTCTCAGGACTCCTCTTCAGATGCGATTTTGGACCACTCTGGGCGAGAAAGGATGGGCTCACCACATCTGCTGAGGCAGGCAGGGCCTCGCTGCAGCACAGAATGATCCCATGGCCCTCAAGGCCTGCTGTCAGCGGAAAATTCACTGATCCGTGAGCCCTCTGCCTCCCTCCTCCTTTGAAAGAGCAGTGGCCTGGCCCGCTTCTAAAAGCCCTGGGGCTCCTGCGAGCCGACACCGCTTTCCAGGACACGTGCAGACAGGGACGGGGCGAATCCCAGGTGGAGACAATGCGATCACGCCTGGCACTGGCGTATACCAGAGCAGATGGCGTGAATGTATGTCAACGGAGGCATGTGGGGCGAGGGCGAAAGCAACAGTGGTGCCCAGGCATGCGCCCGGTAGAAAGGGGATCAAGTCGCCTTTCCCTGAGTGCCAAGGGAACACAAAGAAGACCTGGGAACCTGGACGGGGCTTGTGCCTCAGCCAAGCCACATGTTGAAATGCCTGCCAGAGGACCACAGAGGTTTCTGCAACAGTCACCCCACCCCCAACCCTCCACCACCCAGCTAGCCCTGACGCAACCTCCCCTGCACGCAGCCCCAGCCCCAGTCCCAGCGCAGTCCCTTTGTTTCCTGACATTCGTTACAGCCAAACGATCCAGGGAGTCTGTCCACCTGTGAGCGGAGGAGAGGATGTCCCTCAAGAGTGAGACAGGAAGCGCAGGGGAAATGCACTTGTCCTAGAAGACAAGGCCAGTCTCGCCGGCCTAGCGCTCGCTCATCCTAGGCAATCCACCCACCCATGAGGTGAAACACGGAGACCGAGGAAGCTTCCCTGTCTGAGACACGTATGGAAGCCAAGAGCCCCAGGGTCATCAGACCTGCGCAATCCAGCAGAAACAGGCTTGGAGAGAGAAACAGTCATGACACGGATCTCCAGGAAGTGTCTCCCTGATGGACGGGGAAGTGATCTTCGTAGAAGATATTCAGCCAGACCGAGAGGCATCTAGGCCGCTCAGAAACAGGGGAGACAGAGCAAGAGGGACGACAGAGCAGAGGCCATAGCCCAGGCAGGATACAGCGCCGTGCCACCGCCACGGGCATAAGAGGAGGGGTGCGAAGCGGGTGGCTTGTCCAGAGAGGCCGGCGTTCCAGGGACGGGGATTGTTGCCATCTCCCATTCCCGGCTTCCTCTTCAAGACTGTCGTTTCCTAGAAGACACATCCAGTCACGGTGGACACCCCCACCCACAGTCCTACAGGGGTGGCATAGAAATACTGGCCCCCAGGCAACCCCTGTGGCTGCCGGGTTCTGCTCTCGTCGGGAACGAAACTTGTGTGAGCGAATAGCCCCCGGGCACGCTGGCAGTCCTGTCCTGGAGATCTCACGGGCACGACTTCTGGGGAGACTCACCCGAACACCGTCCGGGCAGGCCTGAGTCTGGGATGTTGCGCTTCTTTCACAGGACTCCGTCTGTTCTTTCTGCTTCCTGGTTAGCCCTCAGTGTATCGTGGTGTCCTGAAACTGTTTTTTCGACCCCCTGGGTTGGTCATGCTAGATCCTCAACACCGACGCACTGTCCGAAAGTGCTCTTGCTTTGATAAGGTTTAAGGAGTGGTCCTCAGCCAACTGTTGGAGTCACTGTGACTGGAGAATGGGCTGGCGCCTCGCGCATTTGCATTTCCCATGCGGAGTCGGGCTTTGCTCTTCAAAGTCCGGCTGTGGCTCCTTTAAACAGGTTTTGCGATGTGTGGTCGGGGGTTTTTGTGGCAGTCACGGTGTTTGCTTGAGCTGGGATGTAGTAGGGGGCGTTGTGGGAGTGGGGCTTCGGGCCCCCCAGAGCCGGACTCCCGGGAGTCCTTTCCTCAGGACCTCCTTGGGCCGATTTCTACAGGTGGAGGTGGACCCTGCTTAAGGGTGCTGGTTCGGGTCTCCGGACTCACAGGCTGGCGTGCATTGTTGTGATCACAGCTCATTGCAGTGTCAATCTCCCAAGCTTAAGCAATTTTCTTGTCTCAGGCTCCCACGTACCTAGGACTACAGGCATGTGTCCCCACACTCAACTACTTTTCTTCAAAACATTTTTGAACGAATGCGGACTTAGTATGTTTCCTGGCTCTTGTCAAACTCCTGGGCTCAAGCTGTCCTCCTGCGTTGACCTCCTCAAGTGCTGAGATTACAGGTGTGAGCTTCCACATGCAGCTAAATTCTTATACCTTAAATCCCTACCTCCCACAATAAGCAGATGTTAGGCCCACTTATTTTATAACTTTTTGCTGTTTATGTCTCTTTTTGTCCCTGGACACTGGGATTAGCAGCCCACTCTCCACCAAATTTGAAATCATTAGGGGCATTATGCTGTGTCCCAGGAGTGGCTGAGGCTTCAAGGACCTGCTGCTCTAACATAGGCCTGCTGAGGAGTACAATTCATGTTGCGTTTCTGTGTTGTTTAACAACCTTCCTGAGCTCCTCTAAGTCAGTCCATCCTGCCACAACTGGGAAGAATCAAGAAACTCTCCAAAAAAATGTTTCTCAACTTGCCTGTTGTCAAATAGAAGACAGGTCTGCTGACCGTGGCAGGCATGGCAGTGTATGACAGTGAGCGCCCCCCACCGTGTTTGCTCTTTACTGCATGTTCCACCTGAACTTTCCCGTCTGCTCAGTGAGTCTTGACAGTGGGGTACAGGGGACTCACTGTCAAATACCAAGGCTGACCCTCTCTGAATACAATGCCATGACCTAGTTACTGTCACTGTGGTTTTGTCGTCAGGGACTAAAGGATACAATAAGAATTTGTTCCTTTAATTTTCCTGTTGATGCACAAAATACTTAAATGCTTCTACATAGGTCTGCTCTTTAGTGCCACAGAGCACTAAGGGAAAGTCCCCACAATAAGGGTGCTTTTCACCTGAGCTTCTAGATGTGACAGTTAAGCAGCTAAAGGTTAAAAAAAATCAAAGCTCCCCAAATGTTGTGGGTATGACAGCTGGTCCAACTTCATGGTCTGTACTTTCCCTCTGTAACAGCATGGATCAATACAGAGATAACTAGCAACTGGTACCCTAGTGTGCCAAGCAATCAATGTATCTGTGTGATTAAAAACCAGCATTTTACCATACTCTAGATACATTAAAAATCAACCCCACACTCATAGACTAGAATTCTACTTTGCCTCCAGATGGCAGTTACAATTGGAAAGGAAATACCTAGTTTACAGGAGGCGTTAATACTTCATTGTTGCAGAAACGGAAGCCTTAAAAGAAGGTATTCTGGACTTTCTGACCTGGATGCTAACAAATATTGGAAAATATGTGTCTAAGAATACACTTGGAACAGAAATGTGAAAAACCAAAAGTAAGAGATATGATGAAGGATCAAATATAAAATGCCCCAGTGCTAAAGAGGCAGCAAAGAAAATTGTAGAAGAAAATGACAAGAGGCATTATGCCTTAATGAGTTTCTGCTACTATATAAAAAATACACTAGGCTGGGTAATTTCTGAAGAACAGAAATGTATTTCTCACAGTTCCATAAGCTAGAAGTCCAAGATCAAGGTGCCAGCAGGATTGGTGTCTGGTGAGGGCCTGGTCTCTACATCCAAGATGGTATCTTCTGCACTGTGTCTTCAGGAGGAGATGCACTGTGTCCTCACATGGCAGAAGGCGGAAGGGCAAAACAGGGGAAGCCCACTCCCTCCAATCCTTGTGTAAGGATCCTAAACTCATTCGTGAAGACTCTCCCTTCATGAAGGAATCACTACCTAAAAGCTCTACTTCCTAATCCTATGACATTGGTGATTAATTTTAGGGGGACACATTCAGAGCAAAACACCCTATATTCAATTTCTTAAAAATTATTTTGTTGTTTTGCTTTTCTGTTTTTCAAATGGCTTAAAGTGCACAAAATTGGATTAATCATAATCCTTGGCTCATAGCATACCTTGGCTCCTATTTCATCCTTGTCTGTGCCTGGGCCTCTGAGTAAATGTATTTGAACAATATGGTAATCACTTATGAACCCAAGAACTAGGGTTCTGACCCTAACATCTGCTCCTCCTCTGTCCTTTTTCCTGATTTTCACCCTTCAGCCCGAGGGTAACTACTACCCTGAATTTATGTTTAGGATTCCCTTCCTTTAAAAAAACATTGTTTTATTGCATACATATGATTGCCTTAAATGACATATTATTTAGTTTTTAAGGGTATAATTTATTTACCCATTCTTCTATCAGTTTACCCATTCTCCTATTAATGAACATTTGGCTTATTTCTAGATTTTTGCTATTATGAATGGCATTACATGAGCATTTATTTTTTTACTACTTCTGGTGCATATGGGCAAGAGTTTCTCCAGGGCCTATGGTAGAGGAATTACTTTGCCATAACATATGAGAATGCTCAAATTTATAAGATAATCCAAATTTCTTTCCAAAGTGGTTGTTCTAATTTAAACTCTCACCTCCTGTATTAGTTTGAGATGATCTTGTTGATCCACAGTCTCTCCATATTTGGTGATATGGTTTGGCTGTGTCCACACCCAAATCTCAGCTTGAATTCTATCTCCAGAATTCCCACATGTTATGGGAGGGACCCAGGGTGAGGTAATTGAATCACGGAGGCCAGTCTTTCCTGTGCTAGTCTCGTGATAGTGAATAAGCCTCATGAGATCTGATGGGTTTATCAGGGGTTTCTGCTTTGGCTTCCTCCTCATTTTCTCTTGCTGCTGCCATGTAAGAAGTGCCTTTCACCTCCTACCATGACTCTGAGGCCTCCTCCACCATGTGGGACTGTAAATCCAATTACAGTTCTTTTTCTTTACACCTCTTTTTCTTCTCAGACTTGGGTATGTCTTTTTCAGCAGTGTGAAAACAGACTAATACAGTAAATTGGTACCAGTGGAGTGGGATGCTGCTGAAAAGACATCCAAAAAATGTGCAAGCGACTTTGAAACTTGGTAACAGGCAGAGGTTGGAAGAGTTTGGAGGGCTCAGAAGAAGACTGGAAAATGTGGGAAAATTTGGAACCTCCTAGAGACTTGCTGAATGGCTTTGACAAAAATGCTGATAGTGTTTTGAACAATAAGGTCCAGGCTGAGGTAGTCTCAGATGGAGATGAGGAACTTGTTGTGAACTGGAGCAAAGGTGACTCTTGTTGTGTTTTAGCAAAGAGAATGGCAGCATTTTGCCCCTGCCCTAGAGATTTGTGGAACTTTGAACTTGAGAGTGATAATTTAGGGTATCTGCTGGAAGAAATTTCTAAGCAGTAAAGCATTCCAGAGGTGACTTGGGTGATATTAAAGGCCTTCAGTTTTATAAAGAAAGCAGAGCATATAAATTTGGAAAATTTGCAGCCTGACAATGTGATAGAGAAGAAAATCCCATTTTCTGAGGATAAATTCCAGCTGTTGGCAGAAATTTGCATAAGTAACGAGAAGCTGAATGTTAATCCCCAAAACAATGGGGAAAATGTCTACAGGAGATGTCACAGGTCATCACAGCAGCCCCTCCCATCACAAGCCTGGAGGCCTAGGAGGAAAAAATGGTTTTCTGGGCTGGGCCGGGTTCCCTGTGCTGTGTGTAGCATAGAGCCTTGTTTCTCTGTGTTTCAGCCCCTCCAACCATGGCTGAAAGGGGCCAACATAGAACTCAGGCCATGGCCTTGAGAGTGCAAGCACCAAGCCTTGGTAGCTTCCACGTTGTGCTGAGTCTGCACATGCATAGAAGTCAAGAATTGAGGTTTGGAAACCTCCACCTAGATTTCAGAGGATGTATGAAAACACCTGGATGTCCAAACAAAAATTTGCTGCAGGGGTGATGCTCTGATGGAGAACCTCTGCTAGGGCTGTGCAGAAAGGAAATGTGGGGTTGAAGCCCCTACACAGAGTCCCTACTGGGGTACTTCCTCGTGGAGCTTTGAGGAGAGGGCCACACTCCTCCAGACCCCAGAATTGTAGATTCACTGACAACTTGCACCATGAGCCTGGGAAAGCTGCGGACACTCGACATCAGCCCATGAAAACAGCCAGGAGGTGGGTTATACCCTGCAAAGCCACAGGGGCAGAACTACCCAAGGCTGTGGGAGCCCACCTCTTGCATCAGCATGACCTTGATGTGAAACATGGAGTCAAAGGAGATCATTTTGGAGCTTTAAAATTTAACTACCTTGCTGGATTTTGGGCTTGCACAGGGCCTGTAACCCCTTTGTTTTGGACAATTACTCCCATTTGGAACAGCTGTATTTTCTCAACTATCTGTACCCCCATTGTATCTAGGAAGTAACTAGCTTGATTTGGATTTTACAGGGTCATAAGCAGAAGAGACTTGCCTTGTTTCAGATGAGACTTTGGACAGCAGACATTTGGGTTAATGCTGAAATGAGTTAAGACTTTGGGGGACTGTTGGGAAGGCATGATAGGTTTTGAAATGTGAGGACATGAGATTTGGAGGGGCCAGGGGCAGAATAATATGGTTTGGCTATGTCCCTACCCAAGTCTCAACTTGAATTGTATTGCTCAGGATGCCCATGTGTTCGGGGAGGGACCCAGGGGGAGGTAGTTGAATCTTTGGGGCCAGTCTTTCCCATGCTATTCTTGTGATAGTGAATAAATCTCACAAGATCTGATGGGTTTTTTGCTTATTTTGCTTCCTTCTCATATTCTCTTGTCACTGCCATGTAAGAAGTGCTGTTCATCCACCACCATAACTCTGAGGCTTCCTCAGCCATGTGGAGCCCTTAAACCAATTAAGCCTCTTTTTCTTCCCCATCTCAGGTATGTCTTTATCAGCAGTGTGAATATGGACTAATACATTTGGTATCATCAAACTTCTCAATATTTGTGGAGAGAATAGATGTGTAGTATCTTGGGCATTTTTCTGATTACTAATGAGGTTGAGAAAATTTTTATATTTTGTGGGCTTTCTCTTTTGTGAAATCCCTATTAATGCCTTTTCCCAATTTTCTGTTGGTTTGCTATTTTTAAAATTAATTCATAGGAGCTCCTTATTCAAAAATAATTCATATGAGCACTTAGTTGATATGATATTAACCTTTTGTAGGTTTTAGGTACTGCAAATAACTTCTTCTAATTTATAGTTTATCTTTTCACTTTTTTACTTTTATTTTTTAATTTCTATTTTTTTTTTTTTTTGAGACAGAGTCTTACTCTGTTATTCAGGCTGGAGTGCAGTGGCTCACTGCAACCTCCACCTCCCGGGTTCAGACGATTCTTGTGCCTCAGCTTCCCAAGTAGCTGAGATTACAGGTGTCTGCCACTAATGCCTGGCTAATTTCTTGTATTTTTAGTAGAGATGAGGTTCCACCATGTTGGCCAGCCTGGTTTCAAACTCCTGACCTCAGGTGATCTACTGTTGGGATTACAGGTTTGAGACACCATGCCCAGACTATCTTTCCAATTTTGATGTAAAAAGTTCTTAATTTTGTGATAGTCAAAATGTCTAATCTTTTTTAATTGTTAAGTGGCTTTTTGTGTCTCATTCACTTACATTTTCTACTAAAAGTTTTAAAGTTTTGTTTCTGACATGTAAGTCTTCTGTCCATCTGGAATTTAATGTTTGTATATAGAGTGAAGTAGGAATATAATTTCATTTTGTTTCCTACATCAATAACCATTATTTTTCTATCCTATTTATTGAAAAGTCCTTTCTTTCCTTGCTGATCTGCCATGTCACCTACATCACATATCGAAGATTAAATTTGTGGAGATTTGCTTGGGAGCTCTCTATTCTGTTTCATTAGTCAGTTTATCAGTGAAGACCACACTGTCTTAATTGTTGTAGCTTTATAAAAGTTCTGATATTTGGCAGGACGAATCTTTCCTCTTCTTCAATAATGTCTTTGATATTCTTGGCCCCTTCCCTTTTCCATATATATATGGGTTCCACATATTATATATATATAAATATATATAAAGAGAGAGAGAGAGAGAGAGAGTCTCACTTTGTTGCCCAGGCTTGAGGACTGTGGTGCAATCATAGCTCACTGCAGACTTGAACTCCTAGGCTCAAGAGCTCCTCCTACCTCATCCTCCCAAGTAACTGGGACTCTAAGGCATGCACCACCACATCCAGATAATTTTTTTTAAAATTATTATTTTTTGCAATGATGGGGATCTTGCTATGCTACCCAGGCTTGTCTCAAACTTTTGTCCTCAAGCAACCCTCCCACTTCAGGCTCCCAAAGTGTTGGGATCACAAGAGTGAGCCACCACACCTGGCTTCATTTTCCATATTTTAAGACTATTTTTAAAAAGCTGCTCAAGACTGCTTTTTTCTCTTGGTGTTACTTGCAACTCCCTTACTTAGCCTTGGAAATACTGTTAGTGAAGAAAATCTAAAGAGTCAAAAAATAAAATATTCTTTCTTTTCTTCCAATTGCAAAAGTGCAGACACCCTTCTGAATCATAAAGCTAGTTTTGATAAATTGGTGAACTGAGAGCATACACAGTATTATTAATTCTGTTCTAATTTCTGCTTCACTGTGGAGTGTCTTCACAGAGTCTTAAAAGATTTTTGCTATGAAATATTCTTATACATGTAACCCATAACCTCTACAATTCTGCAGTTGTACTTGGCTGTCTTACCTAATAATCAGTTGCTTTGCTTCATAATACTTAAATTGGCATCTCTAATTTCCAAAAGACATAAATACTAGTATAGATTTTTAGTTAAGCCAGAAGAAAGTAGACTTTATTTACTAACATAACTTATATGTAACAGTTTAATAAATCTCCCTGCTTCTTTTCTTTTGCATCATAACAACCACTGAAAATAATATTTCTATAGAAGTTGGGTGTAAATGAGCAATGACTTTTGTGGCCAGAGGTGAATGGCCCAGGGGCTCCTGCACTCCAGGTCCCACTGAGCCTACCACACAGCTGAGGGCATCGGTATTTCCACACACCTATAGTGCACACTGTCTCAGAACACAGATCACACGCTCTCCTTTATTCAAATGGGGAGTTGAGAGTATTGTCATTGTAATTAAATTAATAAATACATATTTATACACTGTTAAAATCTGGTTGGATTTGTGTCCCTTCACAAAACAAATTGCTTAAATGAAACCACAGAGTTAATATAATTGAGTACATTTGCTTCTATGAGATGCTCTTTTAAATGGAATTAGAATCTAATTTGAAATGTCAGTTAAAAGTTTAAATATTCAACTCAATTACATTTAGATTTTTGTTTTGTTTTGTTTTGTTTTGAGACAGAGTTTAGCTCTTGTCACCCAGGCTGGAGTGCAATGGTGCAATCTCAGCTCACTGCAAGCAGCTTCTCCTGGGTTCAAGTGATTCTCCTGCCTCAACCTCCCGAGTAGCTGGGATTACAGGTGCCTGCCACCACACCCGGCTAGTTTTTGTATTTTCAGTAGAGATGAGGTTTCACCATGTTGGCCAGGCTGGTCTCAAACTCCTGACCTCAGGTGATCCACCCACCTCAGCCTCCCAAAGTGCTTGGATTACAGTCATGAGCCACCATGCTTGGCCTTTTTAGATTATTTTACTTTATTTTAGTTACTTGTTTTTATGACTTTATTGTTATAAAAATGCTAATTTAAAAAATCAATCAATATAACAAAGAACATAGAAGATGATCAACAAGCATTCCCACCTCCATGATCTAGAAATAACTGTCATCAATCCAAAAGCTTACACATGGTGAATCCCTTCACACCAGTTCCCAGTATAAAGTAACCCCTTGCTTGTAGAAAACATTATTATTATTATTTTTGAGATGGAATTTGTCTCTGTAGTCCAGGCTGGAGTGCAATGGCATGATCTCATCTCACTGCAACCTCTGCCTCCCAGGTTCAAAGGATTCTCCTGCCTCAGCCTCCCAAGAAGCTGGGATTACCAGCATGCACCACCATGGCTTGCTAATTTTTTGTAATTTTGTAGAGACGGGGATTCACCATGTTGGCCAGGCTGATCTCGAACTCCTGACCTCAGGTGATCCACTTGCCTGGATCTTCCAAAGTGTTGGGATTACAGGCAGGTGCCACCACACCCAGACTAGAAAACATTATTCAATAGCAAACAATAGCAGTATGCTTGGGGGTTTTAGGATTGATTATTTTCAAATTTCTAGAAAAGCTCAATGCATTACCTTGGACTATAATCTCAGGGCAGAGTCTCATCTATTAATGGGGGCTGGCCTAAGGGTCCTTCTAGCTCTCAGGTTAATGGTTTCCCATGTTGAACTGCTCCCTGCCACCCACCATCCTTGGTTTTGTTTGTTTGTTTGTTTTTACAGAGACCAGGTCTCACTATATTACCCATGCTGGTCTTGAACTACTGGCCTCAAGCGATCCTCCTGCCTTGGCTTCCCAAAGTGCTAGAGTTACAGATGTGAGCCTCTGTGCTCAGCCCATCATTGGCTGTTCAAGTGTGGAGGTAAATAGTAGATGACAAATTTACCTCCAGGTCAGAAGGGGCAGATGTCCCAGGGCAGAATCATAACCCTAACCAGGCCTCCCACTGCATGAAGACATTATGTTCTGAAGCTTAAACCTGGACAAAGGTCTGACCAGTAGCACTGTGTTCATGAATATCAGGTCAAAAATTTAAAACTGGGATTATCCAGAAGAACCTGGTAGATGCAGGTGCAGTCCACAGTCCAATGGTCAGCCATGATAACAGGCCACCTGTACTTTCTCTTTATCATGGAGTCCTTGATGTAAAAATTGATGACACTTTCTTGCTTCTGGTGTGCTTCCCTTTCTTTTTCATTTTCCTTAAGTAGCTCCCTCCATCCCACCTCCCAACAGGCCACAGTCAATTCAGGATATTTTAACCATGAAAATGAGTCTCCATAACACGAATTTAGAGGCCATGCAGGGTGGATCATGCCTGTAATCCCAGCACTCTGGGAGGCTGAAGTGGGAGAATGGCTTGAGCTTAGGAGTTTGAGACCAGCCTGGGCAACATGGTGAACCCTGTCTCTAACAAAATAAATAAATAAAAATAAGCCATGTATGGTGGTGCATGCTACTAGTCCCAGCTACTCAGGAGGCTGAGGCGGGAGGATTGTGGAGCCAAGGAGGTCAAGTCTGGAGTGGGCCAAGATCATGCCACTGCAATCCAGCCTGGGCAATGGAGTGAGACATTATCTCAAGAAAAATAAAAAAGATTTAAAGGACAGGCTGACTTTCTTGTTACAAGCCAATGCTTATTTGCCATTCCATAAATCCTAGGACACCTCTTAAGAATTACGCTAAATCTACTCTACCTGTGCTCTATAAATGGAACAACAACACTTGGATGATATCAGAGCTGTTTACCACATGGGTTACTGAGTATTTTAATCCCACTGTTGAGACCTACAGCTCAGAAAAAAGATTCATTTCAAATACTTCAGCTTTTTGACAATGTACCTGGTGACTAAAGAGCTCTAATGGAGATGTACAGGGAAACGCATGCTGGTTTCATGCCTGCCAACACAACATCTATTCTGTAGTCAATGGATTGAGGCATCATTTTGACTTTCAAGTCTTATTATTTGAGAAATATATTTTATAAGGCTGTTACTGCCATAGGTCATGATTCCTTTGATGGATCTGGGCAAAGTCAATTGGAAACCTTCTGGAAAGGATTCACTATGGTAGATGCCACTAAGAACATTTATGATTCACCAGAGGAGGTAAAAATAGCAGCATTAATAGGAGTTTGTAAGAAGTTGATTCTGACCCTCATAAATGACTTTGAGGGGTTCAAGACCTTAGCAGAGGAAGTAACCACAGTTGTGGTGAAGATAGCAAGAGAACTAGAATTACAAGTGGAGCCTGAAGATGTGAGTGAACTGCTGCAATCTTTTTTTTTTTTTTTTTTTTGAGATGGAGTTTTGCTCTTGTTGCCCAGGCTGGAGTGCAATGGCATGATCTCAGCTCACCACAACCTCCGCCTCCTGGGTTCAAGTGATTCTCCTGTCTCAGCCTCCTGAGTAGCTGGCATTATAGGCATGTGCCACCACATCTGGCTAATTCTCTATTTTTAGTAGACATGGTGTTTCACCATGTTGGTTAGTCTGGTCTTGAACTCCCAACCTCAGATGATCCGTCCGCCTCAGCCTGGGATTACAGGCATGAACCACCGTGCCTGGCCGAATTGCTGCAATCTTAATGGAAATAAATGGAATTAGATGGAAAAAAGTTTAGCCTGGGGCTCAGGATCGGCTCTCCCTTTACTACCACATTCCTGTGCAGAGCACCAAGGAATCAGAATTCTACACTCGACTTTGGCCTTGTGGGTTATTATGGCAGTATATTTATTGAAGTAGGAGAATAGAACATATTTAACTATTTGTTAGCTTCATTTATAACTCATAATTATTTGGACATAATGCAAATGTGGGCTGGAATTCTTGTTCTGATTTTTTGTGGCCTTGAGCTAAGGAAAAGCGACCCAGGGGAATAGGCTTTATATGCTTGGATGGCTTCATGGAATCCCCAAATTCTTTAGCTTCTATGATGACTCAAGATTGTTACTAAAATCCACTTTGTATTATCTTTAAAAACCAAGCGATATTATTTTTGCTTATATTATATTACATATTATATATTATAGCATATTATATATATTATAATATATAATATAATAAATATATAATATGTATATTATATAATTATATATATTATGTATAAAATAATGTATTATTATTGCTTGTTATGAATGAGCAAAGAAATTGGTTTCTTGGGATGGAATCTACTCCTGGTGAAGATGCTGTGAACATTGTGGAAAGAACAACAAAGGACTTAGAATATTCCATAAACTTAGTTGATAGAGGAGTGGCAGGGTTTGAGAGGATTGGTTGCAATTTTGATATAAATTCTACTGTGGGTAAAATGCTACCAAACTGCATAGCATGCTACAGTGAAATCTTTTGTGAAAGAAAGAGTCAGTCAATGCGCAAACTTCATTGTCATCTTATTTTAAGAAATCGCCACTCCCTCTCCAGCCCTCAGCAACCACCACCCCGATCAGTCAGTAGCTATCAACATTGAGGCAAGACCATCCAGCAGCAAAATGATGACTTGCTGAAGGCCCAGATGATGGTTAGCATTTTTTGGCAATCACATATTTTCAAAGTAAGGTATATACATTGTATTTTAGACATAATGCTATTGCACACTTAATTGACTACAGTAGTTTAAACATAACTTTTTTTTGAGACGGTGTCTGGCTCTGTTTCCCAGGTCGGAGTGCAGTGGTGCAATCTTGGCTCACTGCAAACTCTGCCTCCCAGGTTCAAACAATTCTCCTGCCTCAGCCTCCTGAGTAGCTGGGACTACAGGCACGCACCACCATTTTTGTATTTATGGTAGGCACAGGGTTTCACCATGTTGGTCAGGCTGGTCTCGAACTTCTGACCTCAGGTGATGCACACACCTCGGCCTCCCAATGTGCTGGGATTACAGGCATGAGCCGCCATGCCTGGCAACATAACTTTTATATGCACCAGAAAGCAAAAAATTTTGTGTGACTTGCAAAAAATTTCGTGTGACTTGCACTGTTGTGATATTCGCCCTATTGTGGTTACCTAGAACGTGTAATATCTCCAAGGTGTGTCTGTATCCCTAAAAGCAGAGCTGGAGTAAGGACTTGGGTGTGGGTGGTTTATTTGGGAAGTGATTCCAAGAAGCAGGAGTCAGAAGTGGGAAGAGTGAGACAGGCAAGAAAGAAAAGTCAAAATAATGGCTTGCTATTGAGGCTCCTGCCATGCAGTTTTTTCTGCAGGACCTTCTGAGAGGCTCCAGAAAGTTATCCAGAACTGTCCACCTGAAACATGAGCCTGGAGCATTTGCCCACCTGTCCCACACTGGTTGAGGTCTTCCCCTGAGGCTGTTAACCTGCAAGTGTTTCTGGGCTGTATTTGTGCTCAGGAAAAATCCTACAATAATGGAGATGCCCTAAGGCAGAAAGTGTAGTTTGAGTTGGCTGGCAGCACAAGGGAAGCCTGCGCTTCCATGGAACTTCCCACGGTGGCAGAGACTGAATGAAAGGTGAACTGAGAAGACATGACGCAGGCGCCATTGCACTAAGCAGTCATAGCCTTCCATCTGGGCAAGAGGACTCCTGCCCTGAATCCTGCGCTTGAGAAGGTGCCTCTCTGGCCCTCCACTGACTGTACCCTGGCCCACCCAGAGCTCTCACCCTCTCTTCTAGGGCACACACTGGGGACTCAGGCTCCTGGCCAAATGTGTCTGAGCCTGCATGGCCTCTTCTCTGGGTCCATTTCAAAGCGCAAACTGTGCTTGTCCAAATGGTGCCCAAGGCTCTGCTGTCTGAAGGGGTGAGAATTGTGGATGGAGCTTGCATGGGGCCTAGGGAGTCCCCCATACAGGGGTACACAAGGCTTCTCAAGAGAGTACAGGGCTAGCTACGATGAAAGAAAAAAGTTTAGCTTGGGGCTGAGGATCAGCTCTCCCTTTACTACCACATTCCCGTGCAGAGCACCAAGAAATCAGAGAATTCTACACTCGACTTTGACGTTGTGGGTAATTATGGCGGTATATTTATCGAAGTAGGAGAATAGAATATATTTAACTGTTAGCTTCATTTATAACTCATAGTTATTTAGACATAATGCAAATGTGGGCTGGAATTCAAGTTCTGATTTTTTGTGGCCTTGAGCTAAGGAAAAGGGACCCAGGGAAATGGGCTCTATATGCTTGGATGGCTTCATGGCATCCCCAACTTCATTAGCTTCTGTGACGACTCAAGATTGTTACTAAAATCCACTTTGTATTATCTTTAAAAACCAAGGGATATTATGTAAGTCAGTAGTTAGAAGGCATTTGACTCAAAATATATACGAACCAAAGGATATAAATGACTAAAAGCAGGAGGATTATTACCTGAAAGGGTTGATCTCAGGATATGATCTGTGAGATCCTTCCTGCTGGCTCAGTGCTGACTGAACGTGGGGTAGGAGAGCACCAGGAACAACACATATCTGGGGCAGCAGGGAATGCGGGGAGGAAGGAAAGAGAAATAGGCCTTTCTGTTTTTATTGATACATGACAATGATACATATTTCTAGGGTACATGTGATATTTTGATACATGCATACAATATGTAGTGATCAAATCAGGATAATTTGCATATCCATCACCTCAAACATTTATCATTTATTTGTGTTGAGAACATTCCACATCTTTCCTCTAGTCATTTTGAAATATATAAGTTATTGTTAATGATCATCACCCTACTGTGCTATTGAACACTAGAAATTCTTCTGTTCTTTCCATCTAACTGTATTTTTGGGCCCATTAACCAACTTCTGGGAAGGGCAAAAGAGTGAGAGGATGAAAAGGGCCCTTTTTAAGGAAAAGTAAATTTTACAAGAAGTGAAGACATTTTAGGAGGAAAAATAAAAAGGTGGACCATGGACTTAGAGTGGGGACTGCAGAAATTGAATGGCAAAGAGAAAAAACCAACTTAGCGATGTGAAAATACATCTCAATGTCATTCCTTTCACAGGTCCAATGTCTGATATTCTTTGGGGAAGCTGGATATGAGGTAGCAATCTTTCTTTGAGTCATATATTTTTATGATTATGATTATTATTGAATGATAGCTGACAATTATTGAGCTTTGACAAGCTCTTTTCAAAGACCTTTACATATATTTTCTCCACTTCTAATTGTTAGATGTTCTTATTATTCCCATTTTGTAGATGAAGGATGCACAGGCATAAAGCCTATGTGGAGGCAGAGAGCAGCTAAGTAACCTGACCATGGCCCAACAGCAAACAAATGATGGGGCCACATGCAAATCCAGGCAGAACCCTTCTATTATATGAAGCTCAATGTTTTCTTGTTTTCATCTTGTTATGAAAACACCTATTTGCAAAGGGCTTTTGAAGCTACTTTAAAACATTTTGTGGCTGTGTGGTGGCTGACACCTGTAATCCCAGCATTTTGGGAGACAAAGGTGGGCAGACTGCCTGAGCTCAGGAGTTTGAGACCAGCCTGGCCAAAATGGTGAAACCCTCTGTCTATTAAAAATACGAAAAAAAAATAGCCAGGTGTGTTGGTGTGCACCTGTAATCCCAGCTACTCTGGAGAATGAGGCAGGAGAATCGCTTGAACCGGGGAGACGAAGGTTGCAGTAAGCCAAGATCGTGCCACTGCACTCCAGCCTGGGTGACAGAGTGAGACTCTGTCTCCAAATAAACAAATAAATAAGTAAATAAATAAATAAGATTGAATTTTGAGCCCCTGACCATGTCCCTAGATTGTACTCGTACATATTTTGATGTCTAATAAGATTTATTCTTAGTGCATTTTTTAAGTTAAAGTATTTATTGAGCATCTACTGTATATCATGTGCTGAGATAGGCAACAGTGGTGCAGGGAACATATGGCAGAGTCTCTGACCTCAGGTAACTTTCACTCTCATACATATGTATTAGGACACCAACACATGTGTGAATATAAGATAGTATGATAGACATTGCAACAGATAATTATTTACTGTAAACCTATTTTATAGGATTTTAAACTTAAAGTACTTTCACTCTATTTCCAAAAAAGTATTGCATAACTTTAAATGGATTCTTAGTTTGAAATCATCATACAAACTGCAGTAGCATCTGCTGGTGAAATACTGCTTTGTATCTATTAGAATAGTCCAAACAACTGGGAGAGAACTGCATTATTAGAGCTGTAAAAGTTATTGTCTAGAAATCTCAGAAAAAAAGAGGAAGTTCTATGGTAGATGAATAAGATGACATCTAAACTGTTCTCTTAAGCTACTGAAGTTCTGTGGATATCTCACAGCACAAAGTTCAAGTGTATGCCCACAACTCCTCATGCCACAAGATGTGACACCTTTCCAAACTCTTTTTGCAAAAGTTTCCAATTATGTCTCTTATAAAGGTACTTTTTATACCCACATATTCCGGATTTTGTAGTGCACACAAATACAAGATGGGAAGGAGCTTCCATTTGTTGATGCCAGCTGCTCCATGGACCAGGCCCTGCCCATGCATCCCTGTTGGTTCTTTTATCCCCACATCAGCCGTAGCCCATAGGCATTAACCTCCATTGTACAGACGAAGAAATTGAAAATCTAAGAGAATATGCAATCAACCCAGAGTCATGCAGCTTGTGTATGTGAGGGTTGGAATGAAAATCCAATCTGTGTGAGTCTCAAGTCCCCTTCCACCATATAGTTTCCATTTCATTTTGCAATCACCTTGGCTGGGATATGTCTGCCCTAAAAGATAGTAAGTAGGAATACTTGTCTCTATACCTTAACCTAACATCCATGGGCTTGCTTTTTGTATTTGGAGGTGTCATAACATTATAATAATAATTTGATTTTATTTTAATAGTGAATATTATACTACTCAGTCTAGAGATTTATGACATCCCAGTCTAAACTGGATGACAGCAATGAAGCTTCTTCAAGGAGACAAGTATGAGTAATAAGGTAGAAATAAGTTGAATTTCTATGGAGTTGCTACTTCTGAATTTAAAGCTAGCTGAGGTTAAGTAGATATTCAAAAAGATCGCTATAATCTTCACTTGAATAATATAAACATTTATTATTTTTTACATATTTATTTATTTATGGAACATAGATGTAATTTTAAAACAGAATTTTTGCAAATTGTATTAAAATATATTAAAAACATAACACATTATGACCCAACAGAGTTTCTCAAAGTAACTCAGTGTTAGTTTAAAATGTGAAATTCAATCGATATAATTCACCATAGAATACAGTGTGTATGTCAGTATAATATATATCAAAATTGGAAAGAAGCAAATTTATCTTTGTTTTTTAATAAGATGAAATTACAATTTTAATGAATTTCAACTTTCATTTTAGATTCTGGAGGGTACCTGTGCAGGTTTATTACATGGGTGTATTGTGTGATGCTGAGATTTGGGGTATGAATGAAGGAGTGAGTGCCTGTCTTGAACTTGCACCTAGATCAACCTCCCCTGATCAGCAGAGGGTAAACTAACTTGAATTACACTTGAATTTTTTAGGAGAGCAGGTCACAAAGGGCAAATTGTGGTCCAGAGACAAAAGTGCTCGATGGTCTAAAATGAGCTTGCCATATCACTGAGGGTACAGGTCTTCACACAAATATATTTCAGAAAGGGGTCAAACCCTTGTTTAAAGATAAATGTAAGCTGGGTGTGGAGGCACACGTCTATAATTCCAGCTACTCAGGAGGCTGAGACAGGTGAATCCCTTGAGTTCAGGAGTTTAAGACCAGGCTGAACAACACAGGAAGATCCCATTTCAATTTTTAAAAATGAGAAAAAAATAGATAAACTTAAGCATATTAAATTTTTAAAGAGTTTATTTGAGCAAACAGAGATTCATGGATCAGGCAGCTCCAAACTGAAAGTGGTTGGAGGATCTACTGGAGGTGTTTGTAGGGAAGGCTTTTATAGGGTGAATATAGAAGTAGAGTAGAGAAATTATTTGATTGGCAAAAATTTGGGCAGTTGCATTATTTGAAGTATCCTGGTGGTAGGTCTCTCATTACACAGCTAATACTCAGCGGGCCACTTGTTGATGGGCTAAGCTTTTCATTTTGCCTATGTAGGAACCCAGGCCATGGGAACTATCTCAGCCTAATGCTCTCCCATTAAGTTATTTTACAGCTTCTCTCTGTATCAGGGTAAGTGGGGGTCTTCCCCACAAGTGTTCTTACCACCCTGTTTCCCTCAGCAAAATGAAACTGTCCCTTTTGCCTCTGTAGGCAATCTTCTGAACAAGGCTTTCCTAATATCTTATATCATCTTATTTTATCTCATCCTTTTCTCTGTACCTTGTTTACACGCTTCTGGAACACTTGTGTATCTTGCAACCATCCCCTGCATTATTTAGGCAATCCCAAGAGAAGACCTCTAGGATGGATTGGTAGAGAACTGCTGGCATATTGAGCTCTCTCTCTTTGTATCTGGAACTTTCATAATTACCTTAGTTCTCCATGCCAATTGTGCAATTATCTTTGTCCTCCACTTCAAAATACATTTACCTCTGACAGAAGCTGAGTACATAAAAGGGACCTTGTCCAGTGGTACTTATGAGGCAGGAGACGTAATATATTTAAAATTATAAACTAAAAGCTTTCTGACACCAAAAGCATAAGTAACAAAACAAAAAAATAAGTAAATTGGACTTCATCAAAATTTAAAACTTTTGTGCAATCAGAGGACAACCGGCAGAATGGAAGAAAATATTTTAAATAATATCTTTGATAAGGGACCAATATCCAGAATATATAAAGAACTCCTACAACTCAGCAATAAATAAACAACCCAATTAAAAAATAGGCAAAGGACTTACATAGAAATTTTCCCAAAAAAGATATACAACTGGCCATCAAGCCCATGAAAGATGCTCAACATCACTGATTACTAAGGAAAAGCAAATCAAAACCATAATAAGATAGCACTTCATACCCATTAAGATGGCAATCATCAAAAAACCAGGGAATAATAAGTGTTGGTGAGGATGTAGCCAAATCGAAACTCTTGTGCATTACCGGTGGACTCTACAGTGGTATAGTCATGGTGGAAAAGAGTACAGCAGTTCCTAAATTTTAAAAAAATGGAACATAGGCTGGGCTCAGTGGCTCATGCCTGTAATCCCAGCACTTTAGGACAACGAGGTGGCCAGATCACGAGGTCAGGAGTTCAAGATCAGCCTGACCAACATGGTGAAACCCCATCTCAACTAAAAATACAAAAATTAGCTGGGTGTGGTGCTGTGTGCCTATAATCCCAGCTACTCAGGAGGCTGAGGCAGCAGAATCCCTTGAACCTGGGAGGTGGGGGGTCGCAGTGAGCTGAGATCACACGACTGCACTCCAGCCTGGGTGACAGAGCCAGACTCCATCTCAAATAAATAAATAAATAAATAAATAAATAAATAAATAAATAAAAATGAAACATAGAATTACCATATGAGTCAGCAAGTCCACTTCTGGGTTTAAACCCACAAGAATTGAAAGCAGGGACTTCAACAGATATTTGCAAATTCATGTGCATAGTAACATTATTCATGATAGCCAAAAGGTGGAAGCATTCATTGACAGAGGAATGGATAAACAAAATGTGGTACAGATATACAGTGGAATATTACTTAGCATTAAAAAGGGACATTTGGACGCATGCTACAGCATGGATGGATTTTGACATAATGCTAAGTGAAAGAAGCTGGATACAAAAAACTAATACTGCCTGATTCCACTTATATGAGGTATGTAGCATGTAATATTCATAGAAACCAAAAGTAGAATGAAGGTTCCCAGTTAATGGGAAAAGAGATTAAGGAAGGGCTATTGTTTAAAGAATGCAGAGTTTCAGTTTGGGAAACTGAAAAAGAAAAACTTCTAGAGATGATGGATGGTGGTGATGGTTGTACAATCAGGTGACTGTATTTAGTGACACTGAACTATGCACTTAAAAATGGTTAAAATGGCAAATTTTATGCTATGTATATTTTGCCAAAATAAAAATTACAAACTTTTTTAAAATTAAAAGCTTTAGAATAATTAATTAAAATAAAAGTAATTAAATCTATTTTAAAGTTAAAGCTAAAATGAATTCCCCTTCAATCCCAATAACTATGTGCCAAAAGTGCTACTTCTGCTCTAATCATTCTACCTACTGTGAATATCCATGTGCGACTTTTGGCTAGTTCATAAAATAAACTTGAATGGGCATTAATTTTTTCTAATTCTCTTTATCCACAAGCTATATTCTACATCCTACAACTTGCAGACCACACCTGATACAGATGAATCATTTTTCTGCTCCCTCTCGCAATTCCGTCTGGTATCTGTGATTTGTATACGCCCTCCTGCTGCTCTAGGTCCAATCTCTGTGCAGTTGGATGTCTTGATATTGGTAACTCTTGACCTGGGTAAGCAAGAAACACTGTGAAATTGATGTTTTCTCTTTGAAGTTGACCCTGAAATAGGAGAATCTTTGGGTGGTCCATTCACGTCCATTCATTCCTGTTAGCAATGTTAACAAATATTTTCTGGCTTAGGACATTAAAGAAGGAGAATTTTATTTTTTTAATTTTATTTATTCATTTTTCATTATTATTTTTTTGAGACGGAGTCTCTCTGTCCCCCAGGCTGGAGTGCAGTTGTGCAATCTTGGCTCACTGCAACCTCTGCCTCCCAGGTTCAAGCGATTCTCCTGCCTCAGCCTCCCAAGTAGCTGGGATTACAGATGCATGCCACCACGCCCGGCTAATGTTTTGTATTTTTAGTACAGATGGGGTTTCACCGTGTTAGCCACAATGGTCTCAATCTCCTGATCTCGTGATCCGCCCGCCTCGGCCTCCCAAAGTGCTGGGATTACAGATGTGAGTCACCGTGCCCGGCCTAAAGAAACAGAATTTTATTAATTTATCAGCTGAGTTTGCATTACAGCAGCTTACAAAGCATTTGCCACTGTTTGAGGTTGCAGTGAGGACAACGTGAAACATCTGATGAAAAACTTTCACAAAACCTGGTCTCTTTCCAACAGCTTAGCTATGTGAGAATAGCTTTTACAACATGACAACCCTAAAAATAAAACCATTTTAAAGTTAAAGCTGTCCTTCCAGTTGCCGTTTCAAATTTTATCCCAAGAACTGAGGTGCCATTCAGTAAAATGCAATTACAGGCTTCTCAGCAGTAAGGCTAAGTACTTGTTTTATGTTTTCTGGTGATGAATTTACTTCTTGTCTTTGAGTTTGCAATGACAACTATAAAAGTGATTGTCAATAGTATTAGTATAATTTAATTTCTAATAGAATGAGTTTTCCAAGTATGTGTTAGTCAGAGCTATGATATTCCTAATAATAGCAGAACTTATTTTGTGCTCTGTAATGATGATATTAGTGATCTGTTTTCTCAGCAATATTTTACAGTGCTTCAGACTATTAATACACTCATCTGTGTTTTTGGCTGGGTGCCGTGGCTCACGCCTGTAATCCCAGCATTTTCAGAGCCTGAGACCGGTGGATCACTCAAGCTCAGGTGTTTGAGACAAGCCTGAGCAACATTGTGAAACCCCCTCTTTACTAAAAATACAAAAATTAGCTGGGCATGGTGGCGGGTGCCTGTAATCCCAGCTACTTGGGAGGCTGAGGCAGGAGAATCATTTGAACCTGGGAGGCAGAGGTTGCAGTGAGCTGAGATCGCACCATTGCACTTCAGCCTGGGCAACAAGAGGGAAACTTCATCTCAAAGGAAAGATAAAGAGCAAATAGTAAGATCGGGCATGGTGGCTCATGCCTGTAATCCTAGCACTTTGGGAGGCTGAGGTGGGCTGATCACCTGAGGTCGGGATTTGGAGACCAGCCTGACATACATGGAGGAAACCTGTCTCTACTAAAAATACAAAATTAGCCAGGCTTGTTGGTGCATGCCTGTAATCCCAACTACCTGAGAGGATGAGGTAGGAGAATCGCTTGAACCCAGGAGGTGGAGGTTGCAGTGAGCCAAGATCATGCCATTGCACTCCAGCCTGGGCAACAAGAGTGAAACTACGTCCAAAATAAAATGAAATAAAATAAATAAAAAATAAATAAATAAAATAAAGAGTGGATAGTATTCCTTTATGTGTGTGTGTGTGTGTGTACATATATCACATTTTCTTTATCCATTCATCCAATGCTGGCCTCCTACGTTGCTTCCATATCTTAGCTATTATGAATAATGCTGCAGTGAATATGGTAGTGCAGTTATCTTTTCAGTTTGCTGATTTCAATTCCTTTAGCTATACAACCACAGGAGGGATTGCTGGAACATACAGTAATTCTATTTTTAGTTTCTGATGAATCTCCATATTATTTTCCATAATGGCTGTATTAATTTACATTGGGAAATGTAATTACTTTTGATGCTGTTGGGAATGGACTGGCTTATTCAATAAACCGTGTTAGGTACATTAACTAATAGTGTGTAGGAGTTAAATTTACTGAATTTTTTACATTAAGGTATAGTTAAAGCAGACTGAATAATTAAATGTAAAAATGATCTGGAGAAAACATTTTGTTTTGTTTTGTTTTGTTTTGTTTTTTTGAGATGGAGTCTCACTCTGTCATCCAGGCTGGAGTGTAGTGGGGCGATCTCGACTGACTGCAACCTCACTCTCCCAGGTTCAAGTGATACTCCTGCCTCAGCCTCCTGAGTAGCTAGGATTACAGGCATGTGCCACCACACTTGAATAATCATATGTGTTTTAAAATAGGAATAGATATTCTAAGCTAAACTGAAGGGAAATGCTAAGGAAAGAGTGAGATTTGACTTGATGATTATGTGTCTAAATGAATCAGCCAATTAATAAAATGAAAACAGGTCGGGGACAGTGGTACATGCCAGTCATCCCAGCACTTTGGGAGGCCAAGGTGGGCAGATCACTTGAGTCCAAGAGTTTGAGACCAGCCTGAGCAACATATCAAAACCCCATCTCTACAAAAAATACAAAAATTAGCCAGGTGCGGTGGCTCATGCCTGTAGTCCCTGCTACTTGGGAGGCTGAAGTAGGAGGATCACCTGAGCCTGGAGATGTAGAGGCTGCAGTGAGCTGTGATCTTGCTACTGCACATCCAGCTTGGGCGACAGAGTAAGACCCTGTCCCAAAGAACCTAAACTAAAATGAAATGAAAACAAACACAAGATAAAAATTGATGGACTTATTTTAACACATAGCATGATGAACACACATAGATAACAATACTAACCCAATGGGTTTTTGTCAATCAAACTCATGGTCACTAGTCTAAAGGAAACAGGAATAATGACCATAAATTCACAACCATTTACAACATTAGAAATACAAATTATCATCAGATATATCAGACTCACAATTATTTGACCTTTAAAGAATTCATCCTGCTCTCCATAATGAATAAGAAAATATTGGTAACTCTTTTTTCCCTTAACTTAGCCCTTTGTGCTCCTGAATCTCTGAATTTGTGTTTGCATCTTAACACTCTTTTTTTGTAATTCTTTTCTGCAGCTTTTTTCTCTTCACTTGAGACATCTCCTATATTCTCTTTACACTTTTCCACAAATGACTCAATTTTTTTCATAAGCTTCATTGATGAGTTCCATGTATGTGATGATAGTGTAATGATAAATTATCCATGTGGCGTCCCTCCAGTCTTGTTCATTATTCAAGTGACTCTCCTTGGTTTAGCAACAGGTTAAGAGGTATCTATGACATTTTGTTCAGGTTAAGCAGAAAGAAGAAAACAAAATCTACATTCTCTTTTTCATATTTTAAACACAGCCAACAAATAATTTGGAAGGACCCATGATTAGACAGAGAGGATTTTATGCCCCTTCAAGAGTAATTGAGATTCTTTAATTGTATGGGGGAATGAGCATATCTCAAGGGGAAGGGAGAAGATATAATATTTGGATGACAGAATCATTAAGTGGCTTTGCACCCTGGCTACAACACTGCACCCAGGAAATATTAGGGTGCAGTGGTGCATGCCTGTAATCCCAGCACTTTAGGGGGCTGAGGTGGGTGGATCACCTGAGGTCAGGAGTTCAAGACCAGCCTGACAAACATGGTGAAACCCCATCTCTACTAAATAAAAAAAATTAGCTGGGTGTGGTGGCACATGCCTCTAATCCCAGCTACTTGGGAGGCTGAGGCAGGAGAATCACTTGAACTTGGGAGGCGGAGGTTGCAGTGAGCTGAGATCATGCCATTGCACACCAGCCTGGGCAACAAGAGCGAAACTCTGTCCCCCCCCCCAAAAAAAAAGAAAGAAAGAAAAATCACTGCCCCATCAACTTTTTCACATAGGATGATTAAGGATTCCAGAGCCCATGCTACCTCTAGGGGCTCCTACCCCTGCCACACCACACATATATCTTGACAGGGCCTGTTACAGAGAAGAAAAGGCCCAGTAAATTAATATCACAATCATCACCACATACCCACCAAAAGACTCAAATTAAAATTTTGACAAAATTAAATGTCAAGAAGAATGCAAAGATTTGGGAATTATCAGACATTGTAAGACTGACAGTTGGTGTGTTAACATTGGGATGAAACCAATAATACCTGGTAAAACTGACGATATGTTTACCCTGTAACCTATGGTTTCACCTCTTGCTTTATACTGTACATAAATACACACTAATGGTAACCAAATAGAAATACAAACATGTTCACAACAGCATCATTTGTAACTGACAAAAATGAACACAACCCACATGTCCACCAACAATGAAGGGATACACACTGGTGTACGGTATTTTTACTTATTTTTTTTATATTTATTTTATGTATATAAATATAAATTTATATATATATTTTTGAGACAGCGTCTTGCTTAGTCACCCAGGTTGGAGTGCAGTGGTGCGATCTCGGCTCACTGTAACCTCTGCTTCCCGGGTTCAAGCAATTCTCCTGTCTCAGCCTCCCGAGTAGCTGGGATTACAGGCATACGCCGCCACTCCCAGTAAATTTTTGTATTTCTAGTAGAGAGGGGGTTTACCCTTGTTGGTAAGGGTGGTCTCAAACTCCTGTCCTGAGGTGATGCACCTGTCTCAGACTCCCAAAGTGCTGGGATTACAGGTGGGAGCCACTGGGCCTGGGCTTTTTTTTTTTTTTGAGACTGTCACTCTATTGCCCAGGTTGGAGTACAGGGCACAATCTTGGCTCACTGCAACCTCCACTACCTCCCAGGTTCAACTGATTCTCCTGCCTCAGCCTCTCGAATAATTGGGATTACAGGTGCACACCACCACACCTGGCTAATTTTTTTTTTAACAGAATCTCGTTCTGTCACCGAGGCTGGAGTGCAGTGGCTCAAACTTGGCTCACTGCAACCTCTGCCTCCCAGATTCAAGTGATTCTTCAGCCTCAGCCTCCCGAGTAGCTGAGACTATAGGCGTGTGCCACCACACCCAGCTAATTTTTTGTATTTTTAGTAGAGATGTGGTTTCGCCATGTTTGCCAGGATTGTCTCCATCTCCTGACCGTGTGATCCACCTGCCTTGGCCTCCCAAAGTGCTGAGATTACAGTCATTAGCCACAATGTGGCCTAATTTTTGTAGTTTTATTAGAGACGGAGTTTCACCATGTTGGCTAGGGTGGTCTGGAACTCCTTACCTCAAGTGATCTGCCTGCCTTGGCCTCCCAAAGTGCTGGGATTATAGGCATGAGCCATCATGCCTGGCTGGTGTACTGTTTTAATAGAATGCAGAAACAATGCTCACTGTGAATCTTAAATACTTAATATTGAGTAAAAGGGGCCAAATGCACGAGGATACAGACTTTTACTCCAATTATGTAAGAGAAAAACCAGGCAAAATCAGACTTTAATTTAGGCATATAAAAATGCATAATAAGGCCAGGCACTGAGGTCAGGAGTTTGAAACCAGCCTGACCAACATGCAAAACTCCATCTCTACTACAAATACAAAAATTAGCCAGGCATGGTGGCACATGGCCCATGCCTGTAATCCCAGCTACTTGGGAGGTTGAGGCATGAGAATCACTTGAATACAGGAGGCAGAGGTTGCAGTGAGTCAAGATCATGCCACTACTCTCCAGCCTGGGAGACAGAGTGAGGCTCCATCTCCAAAAAAAAAAAAGAAAGAAAATACATAATAAAATTATAAAGAGAACCAAGGAGAGGATGGCAGATACCCACAGGTAATGTGGATATCTGTTGTATCTGTTACTAATAAGGGGAAGGAAGACTTTAGGATCAGTTAGGGGCATACAGAGGACTTCTCAGTGGTGATAGTGCTCTATTTCTTCACCTGGATAGGTATCACATAGATGTTTCTTTAATAACTGATGTATCCATATCTTTGTTTGTATATTTTAAAATAAGAATGAAATAGAGGAAAGGAAGGTGAATGGAAAGATATTTCTCCATTCATCAAAATTTTAAAGTCATGTTTTTCTTCAGGTTCTTCTCCAAGCTCAGTCTGAAATGGTGAAAGCAGCCAAGTGCGGTGGCTCATGCCTGCAATCTCAGCATTTTGGGAGGCCAAGGTGGACGAATCACCTGAGGTCAGGAGTTCAGACCAGCCTGGCCAACATGGTAAAACCCTGTCTCTACTAAAAATACAAAAATTAGCTGGGTGTGGTGGCGGGCACCTATAATCCCAGCTACTCGGGAGGCTACAGCGAGCTGAGATCACACCACTTCATACAAAAGAGTGGAACTCTGTCTCAAAACAAAACAACAACAACAATGACAAAAGGAAACAGGAAAACATCCTCAATAATAGAGGACTTATTAAACTAGGGTGCAGCCACTCATACTTTGTCTTGATTTGTAGATTAAGAAAACAATGACCCTCCCTAGGTACTGATTTAGACTGACATTTCTGTGAAAATAGAGAAATACTTATATATGCATAGAACACATATATGTATTTAAAATTGTATATGACTATGACACATACATACATATTTGTGTGTATGGCAACTGCAACCTTGTACATGAAAATAACTTCTGTGTTCAGCCCTAAAAAAGTACAAGATCTTTCCATTTGCCACAACATGGATGAAACTGGAGGGCATTATACCAAGTGAAGTTGGCCAAACACAGAAAGAAAAATATTGCATGACCTTACTTATATGTGGAATGTTAAAATGATTTTCACATATAAAGGAATAGAAGGCTGGAAGTGGTGGCTCACACCTGTAATTTCAGCTCTTTGGGAGGCTGAGGCGGGAAGATTATGAGGTCAGTTGTTCAAGTTCAGCCTGGCTAACACAGTGAAACTCCGACTCTACTAAAAATACAAAAAATTAGCCAGGCGTGGTGGCACGTGCCTGTAATCCCAGCTACTCAGGAGGCTGAGGCAGGAGAATCTCTTGAATCAATAAGGCAGAGGTTGCAGTGAGCCGAGATCATGCCACTGCACTCCAGCCTGGGCAACAGAGCAAGACTCTGCCTCAAAAAAAAAAAAAAAAAAAGATAAAAAAAAAATTATGAAAGTATGCACAACAGAATTAAAATGCTGACTCAAAAGTGAGCACTGAATGACTGGGGTGCATGAGAGAAAAGATTACTTAACATTTTTATACCTATTGAATTGTATCCTATGTATGCATTATAAATTTAAATGTGCAATAATGCAGATAACTGAAATGTGGGTATGCATGGACTAGGACTTTGCATTTCCCATTTGCTCAAATTTCTCATGATTCTAGATACATATGAATAGAAACACAAAATGTAAGGAGACACAGGACTTCTGATAGCCCTTTCTCCTTTCCACATTTTGAGTCTCTGGCTGTAGTTTACCATATGAGTCCATATGGCTAATGAGCAAAATATTTTTCAGATGGATACCTGTGACCAAGCATTGCAAGTTAAAGATATTTCTGAATCTTGGATCTCTTATTTACAATGAAGCCCGGCCATGCATAATAAAGCAGACAGGAACGTAAAAGATTGCTGCATCGATAATCAATTTCTGGTGAGCAATAATTATAGGTAATATAAAATGAGACAATTATTGCTTTTCATCATATCTTGAAAGAAATTCTATAGTCAATGATTTTGAAAAAAACATCTAAGTTCCCTCTTTTCTTTTCTATAATGAAAAGACATTATCCAGTAGAAGTTCGAGAGTAAAATCTGAAGGCAGCTTATCTGACCTGGCCACATGGTCTTGCCACTTATTAAACATAACTTTCTACACACTAACCTCTCCAGACCTCAGATCTTCAACTCTCTAAAATGGAAACCTAGTAGTATTTACCTCTAGAACTGCAGCTGAACTGAGCATTTTAGGGAAGGAACAAACACACACACAATATATATAGTCAGATTATGAACCCAGTGTAGCCCAGAATGCAAAAATTTCTCAGTACTAGAGATTCTCAAGAGAAAAAATAAGATGTAGCCTAACTCAGTGGCCTTTCATGTGGCAAATGAAAAGTGAAAGTCCTTAATGAGAAAGGCATGGGCAGCCAGTGACACCATTCAATGTAGACTCTCAACATCTCTGACAGTCATTACCTGTTGTACCCCGACCTGCTTATATATTGGGGTGGTATCACCTTTTGGTCGAAACATGCATAAACCTTAAGCCTCAGTTAGAAATATTTATGGACAACCAGATAGTCTGTGTTTCCAGTCAAAACTTAGGTAGACCACATTTTATGTGACAGGAGAAGGCACAGTTGGTGTCCAGTTAACCCTGAGATCATCTCTGCCTGCAGCTTCCTATCGTCATAGCAAGCTCTTTCCCTGAAGTCCATCATCTGTATCTACCCTTTGTTATATAGGCAGCAAAAACAAGCATCTGAAAAGATGCTCAACACCATATGTCACTAGAGAATTCAAATTAAAACAATGATGAGATACCACTACACATCTATTAGACTGGCTCAAATCCAAATGCTGACACCACCAAATGCTGGTGAGGATGTGGAGCTACAGGAACTCTCATTGATTGTTGCCACAAATGCAAAGTGGTACAGCCACTGTGGAAGGCAGTTTTGCAAATTCCTGCAAAACTAAACATAGGCTTACCATACGATCTGGCAATTGCATTCTTTGGTATATACCCAAATGACTTGAAAACTTATATTCACTCAAATCCTGCACATTAATGTTTACAACAAATTGACAAAGATTGGAAGTAACCAAGATATCCTACAATAGAGAAATGGATAAACTAACTCTGAAACATTCATACAATGGAATATTCTTCAGGAATAAAAAGAAATGAACTACCAAGGCATGAAAAGACATGGAGGAATCTTAAACACGTATTTCTAAGTGAAAGAAGCCAATACAAAAAGGCCACATAGTGTAGAGTTCCAATTATATGGAATACTAGAAAAGGCAAAACTAGGCAGATGCTATTATAAAAAGTTCAGTGGTGGCCAGGGGCTTGAGTGGAGGGAAGGATGAATAGGTGGAACACAGAAGATTTTTAGGGCAGTGAAACTTTTCTGTGTGACCCTATAATGGTGAATATATGTCCTTAAGCATTTGTCAAAGACCATAAATGGTAGAACGCAAAGAGTGAATCTTAATATAAGCCATGAACTTAATAATATCAATATTGGCTCATCAGACATAACAAATGTACCACATTAACAAGATGATAATAGAGAAAGTGTGTGTACTATAGTATGAGGCGGATATTAGAGCTCAGTATGCCTTCTGCTCTATTTTTCTGTACACCTACAACTGTTCTAAAAATTAAGTCAATTATTTATTTATTTATTATTTATTTATTTTTTGAGATGGAGTCTCACTCTGTCACCCAGGCTGGAGTGCAATGGCGTGATCTCAGCTCATGGCAACCTCTGCCTCCTGGGTTCAAGCGATTCTCCTGCCTCAGCCTCCCAAGAAGTTGGGATTACATGCACCCACCACCATGCCTGGCTATTTTTTTGTACTTTTAGTTCAGACGGGGTTTCACTGTGTTAGCCAGGATGGTCTTGATCTGCTGACCTCGTGATCCACCCGCCTTGGCCTTCCAAAGTGCTTGGATTACAGGCATGGGCCACTGCACCTGGCCTTATTTATCTTTTTGAGACAGGGTTTAGCTCTGTCACTCAGGCTGGAGTGCAGTGGTGCAATCATGGCTTAATGCAGCCCCAACTTCCAGGGCTCAAGTAACGCTCCCACCTCAGCCTCCTGAGTAGCTGGGACCACAGGTGTCTGCCACCATGCCCAGCACATTTCTTAGACCTCTGAAAAGATGCTCAACACCATATGTCACTAGGGGATTCAAATTAAAACAATGATATCATTACACATCTATTAGACTGGCTTGAATGCAAACACCAACACCAAATGCTGGTGAAGATATGGAGCGACAGGAACTCATCTCTATTTCTGCTGAGAATGCAAAGTGGGACAGCCACTGTAGAAGGCAGTTTTGCAAGTTCCTGCCAGACTAAACATATGCTTACCATACAATCCGGTGAAAAAATGAAATTTTAAAAATATATTTTATATACTTAAAACATGTACATTTAAATAAATATATATTTTATATATATTTTAAAAGTATATATATTTTTATTTTTTGTGGAGACAGTCTCTGCAGACTATAGCCTGCAGAATCTATTAATTTTAAAAGCATTTTAAACTCTTGAACAAGAAATTATTTGAAGAGTGAAAAATAAAATGATAGAGTATTGATTGGTAAATTCCAAATGTTGTATATTACATAATCTGGATTAATTTTCAATTCCAAAAAGTGAAACTTTAAAAAATATTTTAAAAATTTCCTAATCCCAAGTCAATCTATGTTCAACACATTTAAGAGCCGATTTCAGAGGACAGATAAGTGGTCAACATGTTCTTAGGTTTTGACTTTGTTTTCTAACTATTTGTGTTTGTGAATGGTGAATTTTTAGATTTTGTTTCTTTCTTCTTAGGGTATTGTCTAATATTTTATTAAGGCAGAGAGACAATAAATTAGAATTATCTGTTTGTCTATTTTATCTGTTATAAATATTTCCTCCAAATTCACTTATCTAAAGTTTTTGGTTTATTTAGTCGGGTGGGGTGGCTCATGCCTGTAATCTCAGCACTTTTGGAGGCTGAGGTGGGGGATCACTTGAGGTCAGGAGTTCGAGACCAGCCTGGCCAACATTGCAAAACCCCATGTGCCTACTAAACATACAAAAATGAGTTGGGCGGCTGGGCGTGGTGGCTCACTCCTATAATCCTAGCATTTTGGGAGGCTGAGGTGGGCAGATCACCTCAGGTCAGGAGTAAAGAAACAGAGAGTAAAGAATTTCTGAGGCCAAAAATCTGAGAACAGCTGCTCAATAAATTCATTCAACAAATATTTGTCTCCTTACCATGTGCATGGTACAGTTCTAGGCTCTAGGGATAAATAGCATTGAACAAAATTGACAATATCTCCTGCTCTCATCAAGTTTACATTCTAGTGGACATAATATAAGAACAGAGATGGTTTGTTAAAAAGAAGTCCGAACATAGTGGCTCATGCCTGTAATCCCAACAATTTGGGAGGCCGAGGCAGGGAGATCACTTGAGGTCAGGAGTTCGAGATCAGCCTGGCCAACATGGTGAAACCCTGTCTCCACTAAAAATACAAAAATTAGCCAGGGCTGTGTGTGGTGGCTCACGCCTGTAATCCCAACACTTTGGGAGGCCGAAGTGGTTCTGATCACCTGAGGAAAGGAGTTCAAGACCAGCCTGGCCAACATGGTGAAACCCTGTCTCTACTAAAATACAAAAAAAAAAAGTTAGCTAGGCGTGATGGCAGATGCCTGTAATCCCAGCTACTTGGGAGGCTGAGGCAGGATAATCACTTGAACCCGGGAGGCGGAGGTTGCAGTGAGCTGAGATCACACCAATGCACTTCAGCCTGGGTGACAGAGTGAGACTCCATCTCAAAAATAAAAGTTTTAAGTGCTGTGGAAAAAAGGCAAGAGGTAAATAGTTTCAATTTCAGATAGGATGATCTTTGACAAGGCAAGAATCATGTTAAGACATGAAGAAAATTAAGACAATGATCCTTACAGGTATATGGAGGAAGAGCTTGCTTTCTTTTCTTTTCTGCTTTTTTTTTTTGACAGAGTTTCACTTTTGTTGCCCAGGCTGCAGTGCAATGGCACCATCTCAGCTCATTGCAACCTCCACCTCCTGGGTTCAAGCGATTCTCCTGCCTCAGATACTCTCCTGAGTGAAAGGTGACCAAGAGAGCCATTGAAAATAGTGAGAGTGGCCAGGTGCGGTGGCTCATGCCTGTAATCCCAGGAATTTGGGAGGCCGAGATGGGCGAATCATGAGGTCAGGCATTCGAGACCAGCCTGGCTGAGAGGATGAAACCCCATCTCTACTAAAACTACAAAAATTAGCCAGGCGTAGTGGTGCGCCCCTGTAATCTCAGCTACTCTGGAGGCTGAGGCAGGAGAATCACTTGAATCTGGGAGGTGGATGTTGCAGTGAGCCGAGATCATGCCACTGCCCTCTAGCCTGGGTGACAGAGCAATACTTTGTCTCAAAAAGAAAAAGAAAAAGAAAAAGAAAAGAAAAGAAAAGAAAAAGAAAATGGTGAGAGCACCATGTTTGAAAAGTGATCCAGGCACTGGGGTAAGGGGTGAGTGTCAGCCAAGTCATCAGCTATCAGAAGAGGAAGCCATCAGATAATATATCAAGTTGATATATTGATAAGGAGCAGGATCTACCTATTATATAACACAGAGATAATTACTCAGATATATAGATTAGAAATAGTTTAGAAAATTTAAACATTTGGTTATTCAGGAAGTAGACATGGGAGCACTGAAGAAACAGGGTGAGGGGGGTAGACTGCATGGAAAGCTCTTTCTTAGTTTGTGATTTTTCAGTTATGCCCATAGGTTTCTTACACAACATGTAAAATTCAAGTAAAGAAGAAACAAGGTTGTGTTCCACTGCACTCCAGCCTGGGCGAAAGAGCGAGACTCTGTCTCAAAAAAAAAAAAAAAAAAAAAAAAAAAAAAGAAACAATGTTGTGTTCTGAGGTCCCAAAGGTTTAGTGATTAATTAGAAAGACTCACAAAACCGAGTGAAGCTGTTATACTCACAGTTTATTACAACAAAAAAATACAGATTAAAATCAGCAGCAGAAAAAGGTGCCTAGGGCAAAGTCCAGGAGAGACAAAGCACAAGCTTCCAGTTGTCCTCTCCCAGTGGCATCATGTGGACAGTGCTTAATTCACCCAGTGATACGTGGCAGAAAGTACAGAATATACTCCCCAACAAAAAGCTTACCTGAGCCTTGGTGTTGAGGATTTTACTGGAAGTTGGTCACATGGACAAGAGCAGCCATTTGGATGACATTAGTTTCTCTGTCTCCACCCTTCCCAAGGTCAAGCTGACACTGCATGGTCCAAAGTCCCCACAATAAATCATGTTGTTAACTCCCAGATAGGCAGGAGATTCCAAAGACTTAGAAGTTATTTCCTGGGAGCTAGGATAGAATCAAACCTTTCTTTGGAGTTTGCGAGGTTTGGACAATTCAGGCCTACTAAGTTTTCTTGACTGCACACAAATACGTAGGAAATGAGTAGTCACACATATTGCTGGTGAAATTACAGTGTTATATAACCCTTTGGAAAGAAATCGAGTGTGTAGCACATAAACATTATATATGGTTTGTTTTTGTTTTTGTCTGAGACAGGGTCTCACTCTGTCACCCACGCTGGGGGTGCAGTGGCATGATCACAACTCACTGCAGCCTCGACCTCTCAGGCTCCAGCTATCCTCCCACCTCAGTCTCCTGAGTAGCTAGGACCACAGGCACCTGCAAGTACATCCAGCTATTTTTTGTGTTTTTTGTACAGATAGGGGTTTCACCACGTTGCCCAGACTGATTTCAAACTCCTGCGTTCAAACAATCCCCTACCTTAGCTTCCCAAAGTGCTAGGATTACAGGAGTGAGCCACCGCACCCAACCTATATTTGTATATACATTAAATTGTATATGTTAGGCTGGGCACGGTGGCTCATGCCTGTAATTCCAGCATTTTGGGAGGCCAAGGTGGGTGGATCACTTGAGGTCAGGCACGGTGGCTCATGCCTGTAATTCCAGCAGTTAGGGAGGCCAAGGTGGGCGGATCAGTTGAGGTCAGGAGTTTGAGAGCAGCCTGGCCAACATGGTGAAAACCCATCTCCACTAAAAAAACAAAGTTAGCTGGACATGGTGGCAGATGCCTGTATTCCCAGCTACTCAGGAGGCTGAGGCAGGAGGATCACTTGAACCAAGCAGTGGAAGTTGCAGTGAGCCGAGATCACGCCACCGCACTCCAGCCTGGATGAGAGAGCAAAACTCCATCTCAAAAAACAAAACAAAAAAATTGTATATGTTTTTGTATGTATGTGTATATATTAAGTTGTATATACACATATTAAATATATATACATATATCACACTTTATACACATACACTTGTTTGCTCATACAATTCGTTTCAGCAGAAGTAAAAATTAATAGAGATATAAGTAAAAGAATATTTACAGAAGCACTATTTTTGGTGGCAAAAGTACTTTAATATCTTAAATGCTCATATAATGAAAGATACTTTAACTCTTACAAAGAATGAGTTAGCTTTTTATCTACTATAATGGTATCCTAATATCTTTATATCTAAAGTGATATATGTGGCCAATTGTTATATTAAAAAAGGAGAATGCTTTACAATTAAAGAAAAAAGAAAGAAACGTTATATAGTAGCCCTCCCTTATCTGCAGGAGACGTGCAGTGGATGTCTGAAACTTGGGTAGCATTGACCCAATTGCTGTCAATCAGAACGCATTTCTGTTTATGATTTCCACGCACAAATTTAATGCCTTTTTCATCTTAACTAAGCACTTATCACACACGTGGCTGTACTTTTTAGAGCTTGGGGTGCAACAAACAACACTAACAGAAATTTCTTTTTCCTTCTTACATTTTCACCGCTAGAGGATTTGTTCTTACCATCGATCTTAGCAACCTGAGCACAAGACTTCTCTCTTTTTCTTTCTTTCTTCCTTTCTTTCTCTTTCTTTCTTTCTTTCTTTCTTTCTTTCTTTCTTTTTCTTTTTTTTTTTATTATACTTTAAGTCTTAGGGTACATGTGTACATTGTGCAGGTTAGTTACATATGTATACATGTGCCATGCTGGTGCACTGCACCCACTAACTCGTCATCTAGCATTAGGTATATCTCCCATGCTATCCCTCCCCCCTCCCCCACCCCACAACAGTCCCCAGAGTGTGATATTCCCCTTCCTGTGTCCATGTGATCTCATTGTTCAATTCCCACCTATGAGTGAGAATATGCGGTGTTTGGTTTTTTGTTCTTGTGATAGTTTACTGAGAATGATGGTTTCCAGTTTCATCCATGTCCCTACAAAGGACATGAACTCATCATTTTTTATGGCTGCATAGTATTCCATGTTGTATATGTGCCACATTTTCTTAATCCAGTCTATCATTGTTGGACATTTGGGTTGGTTCCAAGTCTTTGCTATTGTGAATAATGCTGCAATAAACATACGTGGGCATGTGTCTTTATAGCAGCATGATTTATAGTCATTTGGGTATATACCCAGTAATGGGATGGCTGGGTCAAATGGTATTTCTAGTTCTAGATCCCTGAGGAATCGCCACACTGACTTCCACAATGGTTGAACTAGTTTACAGTCCCACCAACAGTGTAAAAGTGTTCCTATTTCTCCACATCCTCTCCAGCACCTGTTGTTTCCTGACTTTTTAATGATTGCCATTCTAACAAAAATCAATTCAAGACGGATTAAAGATTTAAACGTTAGACCTAAAACCATAAAAACCCTAGAAGAAAACCTAGGCATTACCATTCAGGACATAGGCGTGGGCAAGGACTTCATGTCCAAAACACCAAAAGCAATGGCAACAAAAGCCAAAATTGACAAATGGGATCTAATTAAACTAAAGAGCTTCTGCACAGCAAAAGAAACTACCATCAGAGTGAACAGGCAACCTACAACATGGGAGAAAATTTTCACAACCTACTTATCTGACAAAGGGCTAATATCCAGAATCTACAATGAACTCAAACAAAATTTACAAGAAAAAAACAAACAACCCCATCAAAAAGTGGGCAAAGGACATGAACAGACACTTCTCAAAAGAAGACATTTATGCAGCCAAAAAACACATGAAAAAATGCTCATCATCACTGGCCATCAGAGAAATGCAAATCAAAACCACTATGAGATATCATCTCACACCAGATAGAATGGCAATCATTAAAAAGTCAGGAAACAACAGGTGCTGGAGAGGATGTGGAGAAATAGGAACACTCTTTCTTTCTTTCTTTCTTTCTTTCTTTCTTTCTTTCTTTCTTTCTTTCTTTCTTTCTTTTTCTTTCTTTCTTTCTCTTTCTTTCTTTCTTCTTTCTTTCTTCTTTTTCTTTTTTCTTTCTTTTTTTCTCTTTATTTTATGTATTTACTTATTTATTGAGATGGAATCTCAGTCTGTCACCCAGGTTGGAGTGCAGTAATGCGATATTGGCTCACTGCAACCTTCTCCTCCCGGGTTCAAGAGATTCTTGTACCTCCACCTCCCAAGTAGCTGGGATTAAGGCGCTCACCACCACGTCCAAATAATTTTTGTATTTTTTGTAGCAATGGGGTTTCACCATGTTGTCCAGGTTAGTCTTGAACTCCTAACCTCAAAAGATCCACCTGCTTCAGTCTCCCGAAGTGCTGGGATTACAGGCATGAGCCACCATGCCTGGCCTATATATTCTGTTGTTTGCTGGCCAATACTTATATGAATCTCTTGGAGAACATCATGGAAAGATGCTCATCATCTTGTTAACTGGTTATTTCAAGGGTGGAACTGGAAGGGGAATACTGCCTTTCCTGTGTATTAATTTGTAATGTTTCATTTTCATTATGAACATGTATTATTTTAATATGTTTCAATATTAATAAAGACAGGTAAATATATGTAATTTTAATTCAAGTTGAAATCCTCAAGGCAATCACATATTATTAAATAGATGGAGGAAAGAAAACATTTAAAATCCCTGAAGGAAAAGGAGGGAAGTCTGGGAAAGGAGGCTCATGCCTATGTCAGCACTTTGGGAGGCCAAGGCAGGTGGATCACTTGGGGTCAGAAGTTTGAGGCCAGTTTAGCCAACATGGTGAAACCCTGTCTCTACTGAAAATACAAAAATTAGCCAGGAGTGATGGCATGCACCTGTAATCCCAGCTACTTGGAAGGTTGAAGTGGGAGAATCGCTTGAACCCGGGAGGCAGAGGTTGCAATGAACCGAGATTGTGCCACTGCAGTTCAGCCTGGGTGACACAGTGAGACTCTGTGTCAATCAATCAATAAAAGGAGGGGGAAAAACACAAGTAAAAAATAAGTGATTCAAAAGTAGCAATGTACTATAATGCCTAACTTTGTGGGACTGGCGGAGTGTGATGGCTCCCGCCTGTAATCCCAGCACTTTGAGAGGCCAAGGTGGGTCGATCACCTGGTCAGGAGTTCGAGACCAGCCTGACCAACATTGTGAAACCCTGTCTCTACTAAAAATAAAAAAATTAGCAAGGTGTGGTGGCGGACACCTGTAGTCCCAGCTACTAGGGAGGCTGAAGCAGGAGAATCACTTGAACCTGGGAATCAGAGGTTGCAGTGAGCTGAGATTGCCCCACTGCACTGCAGCCTGGGTGACAGAGCGAGACTCCCTCCAAATAAATAAATAAATAAATAACACTTTGTGGGACCAATTCCAATCGAGTCCAGGGGAGCACACACTGGTGACCAACATCCCCCCTCAGGTCCCTTCAGGGTCGAGAGAGTGCATTTGGAACAGACTGGGAAACTCCAACAGACAAAGTAAGGTGTCAGGAATAGACACAACCTGACACATTCTCCATGTTCCCACCATCCACCCCTCTCCCCACCAGGCTTCCATCGGGTTCCAATTCTGCACTCTCCCCAAGAACCTCAGATTGAAACTTTGCAAGGAAGACACTGATACTCAAAGTCACAGGCTTAGGAATCTGAGCTACAAAGAAAAATGAGCCCCTGCTCCTCCAACTGCCCGGTACTCCCCTCAGCATGCTGCCCTGCATCAGCCCCCTCCTCCATAATTTGAATTGTCCTCACAGAAGCTGGAGAGACGTCCCGCCTGTCAGGAAAGAGAGGACCAGCATGTGGCAAATGCCTGGGGTATGTAGGAGCAGATGGTGAGATTAGCACAGGGATGTAAGAAACAAGTGGCTCTCAGACCAAAGAAGACTGCGGGAGACGGCACATTAAGCCTTCATAGCAGCGTGCGCTGGACAAGTTACCGAAATAATTATCTGAGAAAGGCTCTGATCTGACCTGAAACACCCTTGGATCCCATGGCAACGCCTCAGGGTCTGGCAGTAACAGGCTTCTGTGCCCAGAATCTCTAGGTCTGGAGGTCCCACCTCCACCAGCCTCTCAAAGCCCAGAGGTACCTCCCATTGGCGCCTGATGGGTCAGGGAGGCTGTTCTTCCAGCTGTGACAGATCCAGGCTAGGAGCGCTCCTGGGTCTTCTTAGTTGTTTCTTCCCACACACCTGCCACTCAAAGCCACAACCCACTTGCACGCCACCTTGAGGACACCTCAAAATGACAGTCTAGATCTGAACCGCGCTGAGGGAATGGTCAGCTTTACTCCCATTAGATGGCTTGGCCCAAAGGACCTAGCGACCACCCAGACAAAAATTTCTTCCTAAAAGTTGCATGTGTCTGTGGTCTCTAGGAGACAAAACTAAACCCTAAAGAAAAAGCCAACCCACCCCCACCTCCACCACAAAACAAAAGCAAAAACAAAACCCACCACCAACCCACCTTTCATGTGAGGAGTCCTTGAGAAGGGCCTCTCCAGCCAGGACCAGGCAAGGGAATCCGTGCACTTGGCCAGACCCAGAACACACAGTGTCAGGGACCTGACAGTCACACTCTGACCCCATAGAATTTCCACCACTGACACACAGATCAGGATGTGTCAGCCTGAGAGATGACACCACAAATCTGGCTTTCAAAGATTGATTCCACACACATCCCATCACTGACACCAGATTCCCTCATCACTGACCCTACATACTCACAAGAATTGATTCCATGGACCTCATCACTATCCCAAAGACCACCCATCAGTAATCTACAGACCCTCATCTCTCAACCCAGGGACCCCACAGATTCCCCATCCCTGATTCCAGGATCTATAGAACCTCATCTCTTACCCCCACAGACCTATTAATAAAAGGATACATTCATAGGAGACTGTGTTGACCATTTTACACACCTATTGCGTGTGTGTGTGTGTGTGTGTGTGTGTGTGTGCTGATTAATGGACTTAGGTAAACTTTAGCGTTTTGGTAGGCAATGCAATTTTTCAATGCCTTTTCTTTCTTTTTCTTGTACATCTTTAAAGGCCTCACTCCAGTAAGTGTGCATTGCAGTTTATCAACACCTATCCCTTACTGAGTCCTTGTCATGCATATTTGTTATTAATCATAATTCACAATTCTTATAATTCAGAGACACCAGAGATTCACATAAGAAGAATGGCTTTGGGTTTTTATTTATTTATTTGTTTTATTTTCTGTAGATTATCAAATTCATTCATTTGTATCAAGTCACTAAGTGTATACTTTGTTTTCTAAAAAAAATTCCAATTAATTTTTTTTTAAGACAGGGTATCGCTCTGTCACCCAGGCTGGAGTGCAGTGGTATAATCATGGCCACTGTAGCCTCAACCTCCTGGGCTCAAGTGATCCTCCCTCCTCAGCCTACGTAGTAATCTGAGACCACAGGAATGCACAAATATGCCCACCTAATTAAAATTTTTTTTGTAGAAATGTGTGTCTCACTATGTTGCAGAGACTGGTCTTGAACTCCTGCTCTCAACTGATCCTCCCACCTTGGCCTCCCAAAGTGTTGAGATTACAGGTGTGAGCTACTGTACTCAACTGATAAAATCTTCAAAAGAGGAAAATACTTTGGAACCTAATGTAAAATTTCCACTGAGATGATGCGTCAGAAATTAAGGTAGAATAAGATGGCCCTAGGGCATCAAAACAACGGAAACTAAATCTTGGGCTGGGCATGGTGGCTCACGCCTGTAATCCCAGCAATTTTGGAAACCAAGGTGGGGGACTCACTTGAGGTCAGAAGTTTGAGACCAGTCTAGCCACCATGGTGAAACACTGTCTCTACTAAAAATACAAAAATTAACCTGGAGGTTGCACTGAGCCAAGATTGTGCCAATGCACTCCAGTCTGGGCAACAGAGGGAGATTCTGTCTCAAAAAAAAAAAAAAAGAAGAAGAAGAAGAAGACAAAACAAAATCTTAATTTCTTCATCAAATGTAAAAACTATGGACTGGACTCTGGAGGAATAATACATAAAAAGACACATAGGCACTATTTTTTTTTTGAAGTTTTATTGAGAAATATTGATAACATACCACAGAAGCCACTGATTTAAAGTGTAAAATTCAAAGGTTTTCAGTATATTTGCACTGTTATGCAAACATCACCACAATAAATTTTAGATCATTTTCATTACCCTGAAGTAAACCCCATATCCCTCCATTTCCCCACAACTCCCCTAACCCTGGGCCACCACAAATCTACTTTCTGTTTCTATGTATTGGTCTATTTTGGACATTTTATTTAAATGGAATTACATAACATGTGGTCCTTTGTGACTGGCTTCTTTCACTTAGCATAATATTTTCAAGGTTTATTCAATCTTGCATGTGCAAAGGGGGCACTTTACATAAGGATAAACCTGGGGTGGGGGGTACTTACTGATTGATTTGGAAACTTCCCTCCAAAATTGTAAAGGGTTTCAAATAGAGGAAAAACCTATTCAGGCTAAAATCCTGTTTTCCACAGTTTGTAATGTGGGGTTTTATTGCAAAGAATGGCAAGATTTTTGGGCTTATTTTCTGCAAATTCTCCCTGTGTTTGGGGAACAGTCACAGAATGTGGAGGAATGGGCTTCTAGGCTCTGTGGCTGGAGATTCACGTCCAGGAGAACTCAGGTCCCAGGGTAGGCAGAGAAAAACAGTGTAAGAGTGCCAACAGAATGCTCTGAAATGGAAAGTTTAAAATGTTCCCTCCAAAAGGAGTCCCAGATAACCACACAAAAGAGGACTTTGCTGGGCAGGTCCACCGCAATTGCTCAATAACAAGACACAGACAGACTGGGAAAGAAGGAAGTTTATTTCTGCAGCCATTTACAGGGAGAAGCGCCAGGTAACTCACCAGATCAACTCAAAGTTACAAGTTTTTTTTTCTAGTGCTTATATACATCTTAAGCTCCATGTGGGATTGCACCTACAAGCAGGAGTGTTTCATTCAATCAACATCTAATCTTTAACTTGGGTCTAGAGTCTGGAAAGATTTCTCTAGCATCTGGGAAAGTTTCTGAATCTTAAGACAGGCCGAAGTGAATGTGTACCAATGCTATCATTATTCGATCAGACTTTAGGGTCTGAGAAAACCCAGGCGGGGTTTCAATAGGTTTGTTTTCACATTCCATCCCTGATACTCAGGCACCAGTTTCTCCATTTCTTTAACGTTAACTTATGCATTCATCAAAATTATAGAAAATGGTTAGTAGAAACTCTTCTGGTTGCTATTGGAAACCTGGCCTGCCACACTGCCATAGGAACTGAAGCCCACTACAGAACATTGAAAATGCCTGCAAACACTGACTTTACTGACCAGTCAATTAAATTGCAGAAAAGCAAGCTCACACTGCCTCCCTGATCTGTCCTCCAGAATTGCTAGTTAGAAACGTGCACATTGTTCTAGGTTCAGATTTGCAAAGATGGAGCCTGGCAGTGAAAGCATTTGTTTGAGTTCATGCATTAAGGTTTGCTTTGTCTATTTCTTTTATATTTATTTATTTGTTTTTTTTTTTTTTTTTTTTTTTTGAGATGGAGTTTCAATCCTCTTGCCCAAGCTGGAGTGCAATGTGGCGGTCTTGGCTCACTACAACTTCTGCCTCCTGGGTTGAAACGGTTCTCCTGCCTCAGCCTCCCAAGTAGCTAGGATTACAGGCATGCGCCACCATGCCCGGCTAATTTTTGCATTTTTAGTAGAGATGGGGTTTCACCATATAGGCCAGGATGGTCTTGAACTCCTGAGCTCAGGCAATCCACCCGCCTCGGCGTCCAAAGTGCTATGATTACAGGCATGAGCACCCTCAGCCAGCCTATTTTATTTTAAGATGGAGTCTCGCTGTGTCGCCGAGGCTGGAGCGCAGTGGCACGAGCTCGGCTCACTGCAACCTCTGCCTCCGGGATTCAAGCGATTCTTGTGCCTCCGCCTCACAAATAGCTGGGATTACAGGCGCCCGCCACCATGCCTGACTAATTGTTTATTTTTAGTAGAGACGGGGTTTCACCATGTTGGCCAGACTGGTCTCAAACTTCTGACCTCAAGTGATCCGCCCACCTCGGCTACCAAAAGTGCTGGAATTACAGGCGTGAGCCACCACGCCCGGCCCCAATTCCTTTATTTTATTTATTATTTCAAGAAGGAGTTTCGCTCTTGCCATCCAGGCTGGAGTGCAGTGGTGAGATCTCGGCTGACTGCAACCTTCACCTCCTGGGTTCAAGCGATTCTCCTGCATCAGCCTCCGGAGTAGCTGGTATTACAGGCACATGCCACCACGGCCAGCTACATTTCCTTTATTTTATTTTTTATAATTTACTAGCCTGTTTGTTGATAACAAGACTGGCGGTGCACAAGGTTGGGTCTCAGTGCTCACCGGGCGGCGGGCATGGACCAGGTGGGAGAGTCTCCAGCGCCTGGTACAAATCTCCAAGAAAGTGCAGGACACGGCACTAAGGGTGATAGTAAAGTTTTGGTTTGGCGGAGCGGGTAGGCGTTCCAGCGCAGAAATGCGCAAGAAAAGTTTTGCTGTGCTTGTAGGGAGGTCATCCCCAAGCGCTTCTTATTGGCTTGCAGTGAGACGAGATCGCGCCACTGCACTCCAGCTCGGGCTACAGAGTGAGACTCTGTATCCAAAAAAAAAAAAAAAATAGTGAATGAATATCCATTCATGCATGAAATGGCTGCATTAAAGGAAAACTAGCCAAGAAAAGACAAGGCAAAAAAAGTCAAGGATCAGTATGAAAAATAAATATATTTTAAAAGATTTGTTTTTAAGGCAGCAACACAGGTTTAATTTTTAAAGTGAAAGAAGTAGCTCCAAGATAGAGGAAACAGGATGGCTTCTGAAGAAGGGAATGTTATTCTTTGAAATGGAAAGAAACGATGACAAGAGGGTAGCACAGACTGAAGAGGTGGAGGTAAAAGGGGGTTCTTGGCCAGACACAGTGGCTCACACCTGTAATACCAGCACTTTTGGAGGCCAAGGCAGGTGGATCACCTGAGGTCAGGAGTTCGAGGCCAGCCTAGCCAACATGGTGAAATGCTGTCTCTACTAAAAATACATAAATTACTGGGCATGGTGGCAGGCGCCTATAATGCCAGTTCCTTTAGAGGCTGAGGCAGGAGAATCGCTTCAACCCGGGGGCGGAGGTTGCAGTGAGCCGAGATCGCATCACTGTTCTCCAGCCTGGGTGACTGAGCAAGACTCTCTCTCAAATTAAAAAAAATTAAAAAAATGTGTGTGTGTGACGGGGGTATCTTGACTTTTCTCCATGTGTCTTAGGCCACAACTCTTACATGGGACCTTGCAGAAGAGATTCCTCAACCAATACCTTTACAGTGCTGCCTCCCTGATGGGCTGGGTTCTAAACAGCAGTGCCTTCCTCATCTGCTCAGTCCTTACTCACCTGGGCACCATCCTCCTGGTACGTCCCTTGAAACCATCCAGAGCTCTTTCCATTGCTCCAGTAAGGAAATCACATCAGGCTTTGGGATAGAGAGACCTGTCTATAAGAAAAGAAGTAAGATGGCCAGGCATGGTGGCTCACTCCTGTAATCCCAGCACGTTGGGAGGCCAAAACAGGTGGATTACTTGAGGTCAGGAGTTCAAGACCAGCCTGACCAACATGGTGAAACCCCGTCTCTATTAAAAACACAAAAATTGGTCAGGCATGGTGGCAGGTGCCTGTAATCCCAGCTACTCAGGAGGCTGAGACATGAGAATCGCTTGAACCCGAGATGAAAGTTGGAGTGAACCGAGATCATGCCATTGCACTCCAGCCTGGGCAATAGAGTGAGACTTCATCTCAAAAAAAAAAAAAAGAAAGAAAGAAAGAAAGAAAGAAAGAAAAGAAGTAAGACATACTCGTGCTGTTCCTGAATTCAAAGTTAGTCCCTTAGTACTCATGAAGGACTAGAGGAAGGTGTAAAGGTCTGAAGCATGGAGAAGATGAAGGGAACCCAAAGAGCTGCCCATATATTAATCTACAAAACACAAAACAATTCCCTAAGCAGCAGGTGAAAAGTCACCCAGACAAGTGAAAGCTACACTCAAAATTCATGAGTTATTTGGGGATAGACATACTTACCTAGTGAGACCAGGCTGCTGTAGTTCTCCATCATTACATCTCTGTATAAGTCCTTCTGAGCAGTGTCCAGGCACTCCCATTCCTCCTGAGAGAAGTCTATAGACAGATCCTGGAACATGCCCAACCCCTGAAATGACAAACTCAGGCAGCACTGTTGAAATTAAAGGAAAGGTTTTTAAGATGAAGCAAGAGATGGAAGGGTGCTGAAGGATGGAGCGAATATAGTGAGCAGACCGGCTAGGCTCAGAATGGGGAAGAGTAAAAAAATTAGTGTAACTTCAACAAAGGACCTCCATGTTCATGAATATTCCTGTTGTGGCCGGCAAACCTCCTTCATAGAATGGGACATTCCCAGTATTCCATGGTTAGAGCTGGGAATGAATAAAGTACATTGATATATTATTTCCCAAATAAATGAAATAGAGTTGAAAAGCACACAGCAAGCTGCAGGCCTGGCAAAGCTTCAAGAATATTACAGTAAACATCTGATATGCAAGTTACTATTTACAACAAAAGCTTAATAAATAGGCACTTCCCCCTCACCACTTTCTTTCTTGTTTTTTTTCTCTTGTTTCATTTTTTTTGTTTTTGTTTTCACTTTGAAACAGGGTCTCGTTCTGTTACCCAGGCTGGAGTGCAGTGGCACAATCACAGCTCACTGTAGCCTCAACCTCCCAGGCTCAGGTGATCCTCCCACCTCAGCCTCTGTATTAGCTTTGACTATAGGCATGCGCCACCATGCCCAGCTAATTTTTTTTTTTTGTATTTTTAGTAGAAACGAGGTTTTGCCTTTTGGCCAGGCTAATCTCAAACTCCTGAGCTCAAGCAATCCACCTGCTTTGACCTCCCAAAGTGCTGGGATTACAGGCATGAGCCACCACATCCAGCCTTGTCTCTTTTTTTAAAGGAAGACAGGATCTTTCAAAAATATCTACAAAAAGTTGAAAAACCTCTATTGGCCAGGCACAGTGGCTCACACTTGTAAACCCAGCACTTTGGGAGGCCAAGGCGGATGGATCGCCTGAGATCAGGAGTTCGAGACCAGCCTGACCAACATGGAGAGACCATTTTAGTCTCTACTAAAAATATAAAATTAGCTGGGTGTGGTGGCACATGTCTGTAATCCCAGCTACTTGGGAGGCTGAGGCAGGAGAATCGCTTGAACCTGGGAGGTGGAGGTTGCGGTGAGCCGAGATCGCACCACTGCACTCCAGCCTGGGCAATAAGAGTGAAACCCTGTCTCAAAAGAAAAACAACAACAACAACAACAAAACCTCTATTGCACTTTGATAATTAGTACTTCCATAAAATAGTATAGATAGTACTTTGATAATTAAATGTACATTGGCTGGGTGTGGTAACCCACACCTGTAATCACAGCACTTTGGGAGGCCAAGGCAGGTGAATTGCTTGAGCTCAGAAGTTCAAGATCAACCTGGGCAACATGGCAAAACCCTATCTCTACAAAAATACATATCATATACAAATTAGCCAGATGTAGTGGAACATGCCTCTAGTCCCAGCTACTTGGGAGGCTGAGGTGGGAGGATTGCTTGAACCTAGGAGGTCAAGGCTGCAGTGAGCTCTGATCCTGCCACTGCACTCCAGCCTAGGCACCAGAGCAAGATCCTGTCTCAAAAAAAAAAAAAAAAAAAAAAAAAAAAAGGCCAGGCGTGGTGGCTCATGCCTGTAATCCCAGAACTTTGGGAGGCTGAGTAGGGCAGATCATGAGGTCAAGGGATCAAAACCATCCTGGCCAACATGGTGAAACTCTGACTCTACTAAAAATACAAAAATTAGCTGGGCATGGTGGCGTGCACCTGTAGTCCCAGCTACTTGGGAGGCTGAGGCAGGAGAATTGCTTGAACCCAGATGGTGGAGGTTGCAGTGAGCCAAGGTTGTGCCACTGCACTCCAGCCTGGTAACAGATCGGGACTGAGTCTCAAAAAAAAAAAAAAAAGAGTGGGTATCATGGTAGGAATAAACTGCACACAGGTCAGACAAAAGTTACAAGGGCATCTGCCAGTATAAACAAGTTTCCTGTGAGACACCTGGTCATGGGTCAGATACTTGAGCATTAGGCTGTGGTCCAGGAAAAAGAAATTTCTGGTGAAAGGCTACTCTAAAGACCCACAGGCCCCTCCCCTAGAGCCCCATTAGAGTGAGGTAGAGTTTATAGCCATTCTCCTGAGAGACCTCAAGACCCAATTAGAAGAAAACTATAACATTTGTTATATAGAAGGCATTTTCCAAAGAGTAGTTCAAAGATAAAAGATATAGTCTTCCTTTGGATATAAAACAAAATCTCAAGATACACCAAAACTGTTTTGCTTTTACTGAATAATTTTTGTGCATATGTGTTTAGCTGCAAGAGGTTAACAAGCTGTGATTTTCTTTCCTTTCCTTTCCCTTTTTTTTCTTGAGACAGTCTTGCTCTGTCACCCAGGCTGAAGTGCAGTGGCCTGATCTTGGCTCACTGCAACCTCAGCCTCCCATAGCTGGGATTACAGGTGCCTGCCACCACACCCAGCTAATTTTTGTATTTTTAGTAGAGACGGGGTTTCACTGTGTTGCTGAGGCTGGTCTCAAAATTGTGGCCTCAAGTGAGCCACCCACGCTGGCTCCCAAAGTACCAGGATTACAGGCGTGAGCCATCATGCCTGGCCAACTCCGATTTTCTAACTTGCCTCATGTATTAGGTTCATACTGGGAAAAAAACAGATCAGAGCCATTGGAGCACATGTGCAGATGTGCAGTAGCTCTGCTAGCAATACTGCTGCTTGCTTCAGCTCTTAAGACAGATGAGTTCAGCACGTGTCTGCCTTTGCTCTAGCTGTCTCTGATTCCCCCCAACAGATGCACAATCATGTCACTCCTTTAGATTCACTTTGGATATCCCATCATTAGATTAAAACCAGCAGGCCAAAAAGATAACTTGAGGAAATGCTTTCACATCCACAGTGTTCTCATAGGGCCAGTGTCATTTAGACATGTCAGGACCGTGGTTGCAGGGGACAGAATGAAGTGTCATCCTTAACTGGCCATACAATGTCATCAGCATGAACAGGAGGACTTTATAGGATATTATCTGATGTTTTCTGAATATTACCTTACAAATGCTGCTTTATTTATAACTTAAGAATAGGGACCCTGTCTTTTAAAGCTTTATACATCCTCAAGTAAAGGTTTTTCATATTAAATCCATTAATAATATCTAAAGGCCAACCTGGAAATTCCATTTCTAGGTATTTATCCAAAGTAAAGATTTTTTTTCTTTTTTTGAGATGGAGTTTTGCTCTTGTTGCCCAGACTGGAGTGCAGTGGTGTGATCTCGGCTCACTGCAACCTCTGCCTCCTGGGTTCAAGCAATTCTTCTGCCTCACCCTCCTGAATAGCTGGGATTACAGGCATGCACCACCACGCCCAGCTAATTTTGTATTTTTAGGAGAGATGGAGTTTCTCCATGTTAGTCAGGCTGGTCTCAAACTCCTGATCTCAGGTGATCCACCCACCTTGGCCTCCCAAAGTGCTGGGATTACAGGTGTGAACCACCACGTCCTGCCAAGAATTTTTTTTTTTTTTGAGACAAGTCTCAATCTGTTACCCAGGCTATAGTGCAGTGAGGTGATCACAGCTCACTGCAACCTCTGCCTCCTGGGTTCAAGTGATTTTTTATGACTCAGCCATCAAAGTAGCTTGGAATACAGGCACACACCACCATACCCAGCTAATTTTCTTTTGTATTTTTGGTAGAGAGCAGGTTTCACCATGTTGGCCAGGCTGGTCTCAAACTCCTGGCCTCAAGCAAGGCCACTTTGGGAGGCCAAGGTGGGCAGATCACGTGAGGTCAGGAGTTCAAGACCAGCCTGGCCAACATGGTGAAACCTTGTCTCTAATTAAAATACAAAAGGTAACCAGGCGTGGTGGCAGGTGCCTGTAATACCAGCTACTCAGGAGGCAGAGGCAGGAGAATCACTTCAGCCTGGGAGGCGGAGGTTGCACTGAGCCGAGACTGTGCCACTGCACTCCAGCCTGGGCAACAGAGCGAGACTGTCTATCAAAATATAAATAAATATAAAAATACTAAAATGCCGGGCACAGTGGCTCATGCCTGTAATCCCAGCACTTTGGGAGGCCGAGGCAGGCGGATGACTTGAGATCAGGAGTTCCAGACCAGCCTGGCCAACATGGCAAAACCCTGTCTCTACTACAAATATAAAAATTAGTCGGGTGTGGTGGCTCACCCTCTAATCCCAGCTACTTGGGAGGCTGAGGCAGGAGAATCGCTTGAACCTGGGAGGCAGAAGTTGCAGTGAGCAGAGTTCGTGCCATTGCACTCCAGCCTGGGCAACAAGAGGGAAACTCCATCTCAAAAAAAAAAAAAAAAGAATACAAAAAATTAGTGGGGTGTAGTGGCGCTTGCCTGTAATCTAGGCTACTCAGGAGGCTGAGGCAGGAGAATCACCTGAACCTGGAAGGTGAAGATTACAGTGAGCTGAGACTGCACCACTGCACTCCAGCCTGGGTCACAAGAGCCAAGAGCGAGAATCCATCTAAAAAAAAAAAGAATTTCTATTTGGGGTACAAAATAAAAGAAATGGAGTGAAAGGGATGTAAGGAAATTGAAAGTCAACAGGCTAATAATGCCAATAAATAATGATGGAGCAAAGAAATCAGTATTGGCCAAATAAAACCAACGTGTTTTTTAATATTTTTTCAAAATTTAGAAAAAGTTTTCCAGTACACTAAGACACTTCTACTATTAACACTATAATATTGGTTGAGCACAGTGGTTTATGCCTATAATCCCAGGACTTTGGGATGCCAAGGCAGGAGGATCACTTGAGCCCAGAAGTTCAAGTCAAGCCTGGGAAATATAGGGAGACACCGTCTCTGCAAAAATAACAAAAAATAAAATAAAATAAAATAAAATAATAAGCCAGGCATGGTGGTATATATCTGTGAGCTGTGACCACCCCACTGCACTCTAGGCTGGGTAACAGAGCAAGACCCTGTCTCAACAAAAAAACTAGAATATAGAATAAATGACATTCGGGTAAGTGGAATATTAGGTGTTCAATAAACATAGGTTATTCCCTCCCTATCTCCATAGAATCATCAATTTTTTTAAAAGCGAAGTTTTGATTAGAATCTAAAAATATCAATACTTCTCTTTCCAATAAAGGAGGGAGGATTTAAATATAACAATTTCTTGGTTATTTCTATTTATTTTCATTGTTGCTTAATATTACTCAGTAATGAAAATGCAATTGCTCTCTTTCTTTTTTTTGTTTTTTTTTTGTTTTTTTTTTGTTTTTTTTGTTTTTGTTTTTGTTTTTTATTATACTTTAAGTTTTAGGGTACATGTGCACATTGTGCAGGTTAGTTACAACATAGTTTTAATTAGTTGCACAAAATGCCACCTTATAGTCTGATGTACTTCAAATTTCCCTATCTATGAAAGCTAAATTTGAATATTATCATCTCAAGGATATTATAATCTCTGTCTTTTAATCTATCTAGGTTTCTACCTTTTTTGTAAGCCTTAGTGAATCTCACTATAGTCCTCCTTCCCTTTAAAAATGCAGTGACAGGCCGGGTGCAGTGACTCTTCCCTGTAATTCCAGCACTTTGGGAGGCTCATGTGGGAAGATTGTTGAATCTCAGGAGTTCAAGACCAGACTGGGCAACATGGCAAAACCCCATCTGTGCAAACATTACAAATATTAGCCCGGCATGGTGCCATATGCCTATAATCCAGCTACTTGGGAGGCTGAGGAGGGAGGATCCCTTCAGCCCCAGAGGTCAAGACTGCCGTATGCCCTGATCCTGCCACTGCACTTTTGGAGGCTGAAGCAGGTGGATCACCTGAGATCAGGAGTTCGTGACCAGCCTGGCCAATATAGTGAAACCCTGTCTCTACTAAAAATACAAAACTTGGTCGGGTGTGGTGGCGGGCACCTGTAATCCCAGCTACTCAGCAGGCTGAGACAGAAGAATCACTTGAACCCGGGAGGCGGAGGCTGCAGTGAGCCGAGATCACACCACTGCAGTTCAACCTTGGCAAGGCAGAGTGAGACTCTGTCAAAAAAAAAAGAAAGGAAGAAAGAAAGAAAGAAAGAAAGAAAGAAAGAAAGAAAGAAAGAAAGAAAGAGAGAGAGAGAGAAAGAAAGAAAGAAAGAAAGAGAAAATCAGTGATAGGTGAGGCAGCTCATGCCTGTAATCATAGCACTTTGGAGGCAGAGGGGGAGGATTGCTTGAAGTCAGGAGTTCAAGACCAGCCCAGACAACACAGTGAGTCTTCTTCTCTACTGAAAATTATTTTTAATTATGCAAGAGTGCTAGTGTGTGCCTCTGGTTTCAGCTTATTTGGAAGGCTGAGTAGAAGGATCACTTGAGCACAGGAGATGAAGGCTGCAATGAGCTGAGATTGTACCACTGTACTCCAGTCTGGGAGACAGAGTGAGACCCTACCTCATAAATAAAAATAAATACATAAATAAAAATTCAGCGATGGAGTTGATGGATTTGAGGTTGAGGACCCCCAATGTGAACCCATTTGGAAAAACTCAACCTGTGTTCTTCCTCTGCTTCACACCAAAACCACAACAATCTACCCAGAAGACTTCTGTGGCCTCAAAATATGAGGAGATTTCTCCCTATCAGCAAGCAAGGAATCAGTTCTGCAGCAGACACCAGCTGGGTGGCCACCAATTCGATTCTGACACTATCTACCATGTGATAGTGTCACCCCACAGATTGAGGGCTCAGCCCCCAAAACTGCCCGCCTTTCAGACACCAGTCACAAGTCCCACCCTCTGGAACTTCCAACTGACGGGTTTAATTTGGGGTTCCTACGACCCCCTCTTTGGGTTTGATTAATTTGCTAGAATAAAATGGCTCACAGACCTCAGGGAAACACATTTACTGTTTGATTATAAGGATATTCCAAAGGATATAGATGAAGAGATGCCTAGCGTGAGGTATGGGGGAAGGCGTACAGAGCTTCCATTCCCTCCCTGGGCACGACCCTCCAGGAACCTCCATGTGTTCAGCTCTCTGGAAGCTCTCCGAATCCACTCCTTTTGGGTTTGCAAGGAGGCTTCATTACATAGGCATGATTAAACCATTGGCCACTTGCCATCAACTTAGTCCTCAGTCCCCTCCACTCCCCAGGGGTGGGAGGGTAGGGGCTGAAAGTCCCAACCCTCTAATCCTGCCTTGGTCTTTCTGATGAGCAGCCCCCATCCTGAAGCTATCGGTCAATCACTAACATATAAAAAGCCAAAGCCTGGGTGCGGTGGCACATGCCTGTAATCCCAACACTTTGGGAGCCTGAGGCAGGCAGATCACTTGAGGTCAGGAGTTCGAGACCAGACTGGCCAATATGGTGAAACCCCTTCTCTACTAAAAAAGAAAACAATGACAAAAATTAGCCAGGCATGGTGGCGCATGCCTGTGGTCTACTCAGGAGGCTGAGGCAGAAGAATTGTTTGAATCCGGGAGGCAGAGGTTGCAGTGAGTGGAGATCGCGCCACTGAACTCCAGCCTGGGTGACAGAGCAAGACTCCATTTAAAAAAAAAAAAAAAAAAAAAAAAAAAAAAAAAAAAAAAAAAAAAAAGCAAGCACTTAGGAGATTCCAAGGAGTTTAGGAGTTGTATGCCAGAAAATAGGGACAAAGACCAAATCTGTATTTGACAAAATCACAGAACCGTATGAGTATTTAATTCAATACAGACATGGAAACTGGCCTAAGCATTTACTCACAGATGACTGGGCAAATCCCTGGTCCTATGGGTACAAACTATTGATCAAACCCCCAATCTCATTCCTACCCCTAAAATACAGCAAAGTGAAAGATCTTATTACATATTTGGACTGAGATTGACACCATCCGATAAACTGCATGGCTTTCAATCCCAGGGCTATGGCGTGTGATGCCACATAGAATATGCACGAATCTTCTCTCCAGCAATTGAGTTGTTAGGATAAAGGCTCTTGTCTTTGCCTTCTTTCTCTCACAGCCAAGAATATTAAGGAACGTGGACACAAAGGATGAGATTGGAACGGAAGTTTAATAAGCAAAAGAAGAAAGCTCTCCCCAGCGGAGAGGGGACCCAAAAGAGGTTTGCCAACTAGGAGGCTGAATCTGGGGGTTTTGTGAACTGGGCAGGGGAGGAATGTGCTCACTGGTCTGTGGGCTGTCTTGGAGAAAGCACTACTTCGTTTGGCCCTGGGACCTTAGCCTGGGACCAATCGGAGGCTGAAGTGAAATTTTGGCCTAGGACCAATCAGGGGCTGAAGTGAAAGTTTGGCCTAGGACCAATCACGGGCTGAAGTGAAAATTTGGTCCAGGACCAATCAGGGGCTAAAGTGAAAGTTTGGCCCAGGACCAATCAGGGGCTGAAGTGATGATTCATAGAGGCTCGGCTCACAGTCCAAAGCATGTCCAGAAAAGGAAAGTGGCCGCCAGAGCCTGCTAGTCCAAGCTGCACCGTTTTGTAAGCCCCCACCATTTCACAGACCCTGGTCAGAGGGAAACATTCCACTGGGGTTTGGGCTGAGAGAAACATCCTACCCAACCGCCTGACTTCCTTATCACATCCTGCTGGGGAAAGGCCCAAGAAACATCCTTATCAACATTCTCCCAGGCAACAAGCCATACTGCCCAGACCCCTCCTGCTCCAGCCTGTAAGCGGCAGTGGGCTCTGGCATTTAGTTGGTCCCCTCCATAGAGCCGCCAACTCTCTCTCTTTCTTTAACCTTCACCTTCCCTTCAAAATTTAACAGAGCCCACCGTATACATGCCCACAAAAAAAGTGACTATTTCCTGGAAGCCCGCTGGTCACACAAAGGACAAAGGCATTTCTATGTTGGGCCTCGGTCCCTTATCAATGCAGCTGAGGAATGTCTTTAGGACAACCCCCTGTGCTAGTTTTCCTTCTCTGTGCCTGCAGCCTGATTTTTCAGGCTGTTCTCTATTTAAAGGAGTTTTACCAAGGACCCGCCCTAACTCCCTAAAGGGTTTTTTCTCTCAGGGGGACACACAAAGTTCCAATCGCACACATGCCTCCCTATATCCACTTACCCTCTGCCTCACAGCCGATCACACTCTCCTCTCTCACACAGACCACGGGGCCACACAAGTTGCACCTGCACAGCTACAGACCTGCAACTCACGCACACACAGTATTGCACACACACGCAAAGTCACACACCCACCCTGGGACACGCATCCCCAACCACACAGTCAACGGTTGTCCACATCCGCACACACAACGCGGCTCGTCCAGGACACACACATCCACTCCGAGCGCGCACAGTCACAAGCGCCCACCTGATCACCCAGAGTCAGCACCACACAGCCACAGTCACAGACCACGAAGACCCACGGCAACCATCGCAATCACACACGCAAACTCCTCTCCTCAGCCCTCCACACACAAAAGGACAGAAGCCGGATTCCTCATCCTCAGCTTTCTCTAGTTCCGCTCGGGGCCAGCCTGGCCAAGTTGCTCCAGACTCCAAGGCGCGGCAGCAGCTAATTGCGCACAGCGAAAGATTCTGCCACCTGGCTAAGAGGAAGCCAAAATCTCGCGAGACGTGGTATCGGCCTGCAGGATCCTCCAGGAAATATAGTCCAGAGTCCGACTGCTCCCCTACTAAAAATACAAAAATTAGCCAGGCCTGGTGGTGGGCGCCTGTAATCTCAGTTTCTTGGAGGGCTGGGGCAGGAGAATCGCTTGAACCTGGCAGGTGGAGGTTGCAGTGCGCCGAGATCGCGCCGTTGCACTCCAGCCTGGGTGACAGAGCAAGACTCTGTCTCAAAAAAAAAAAAAAAATAAGCAGACATGTCTGCTGCCCACATGAGGTTTACATTCTAGTCTGGAGAAAAAAAAAAAAGATTTTAAATTAAAGGGGGGAAATGAAGTAATTTTATATTGTGATAAATACTATGAAATAAATCAATAGGTGGTATAAGCAGTAACTTGAGGGATACTTCGCGTAGCATTGATAGGATGGGTGTCTGAGAGATAACCCTCGAGCTTTGGTGGTGAGAAGCCAGCAGTGTGGAAGGGTAGTCCAAGCAGAGGCACAGCTACACTAAAGACCCTGAAAAATCAGAGAGCACTTGGAGCGTTCCGGAAACAGAAAGCAGCCTGGTGTGACTGAAGCTTAGTAAGTGAGTGGGAAATTAGTTTAGAGTTAGGATGCAGAGGTCGGCATTTTCCATATCATATGAGGAAATGATAGTGCTAAGATTACAGGCGTGAGCTACTGCACCCAGCCCCAAACCAAGTTTTTATAGCAGCAAGAATAGATGTTCTGGTACGGTCAGTGTCTAAAGATTTTACAAGTATCTCTTCTTCTAGTTTGCAGTCATTATTGAAATAACAAACATGTCCTATTGTCAGGCCTTACTCTCAGTAACTGATTTCATTGATCTGAATAGGAAACTTACTTGATTAATCAGCTACTCTTTGGTATTACCTGACATCTCATTAAAGCATCTTTGAATTGAATTATTGCTCAATAGGAGTGATTGTGAAATAATGGCAATGTGATACATCACTATTGAAGTTACGGTCTCTAATGTGAGTCCTATGACAGTTTCAGCAACTATAAAGCACTATGGGGTTTTACAACGATTAATCTTTTTTTTTCTTTCTTTTTTTTTTGTTTTGAGACAGAGTCTCGCTCTGTCAGCCAGGCTGGAGTGCAGTGGCACGATCTCAGCTCACTGCAACCTCCATCTCCTGGGCTCAAGTGATTCTCCTGCCTCAGCCTCCCGAGTAGCTGGGATTACAGGCGTGTGCCACCACGCCTGGCTGACTTTGTATTTTTAGTAGAGACAGGGTTTCACCATGTTGGCCAGGCTGGTCTCAAACTCTCGAACTCAGATGATCCGCCTGCCTCGGCCTTCCAAAGTGCTGGGATTACAGGCGTGAGTCACTGCGCCTGGCCTATTTCTGCAATTTTATAGGGCAATTATTTCACCATAATTTGCTTATCCTTTTTTTTTTTTTTTAGACGAGTGTCGTTGTATAGTCCAGGCTGGAGCATGGTGCTGCAATCTCGGCTCACTGCATCCTCCGCCTCTCAGGTTGAAGCAAGTCTCCTGCCTCAGCCTCCAGTACCTGGAATTACAGGTGCACACACCGTGCCAGGCTAGTTTTTGTGTTTTTAGTAGAGACAAGGTTTCACCATATTACCCAGGCTGGTCTCCAACTCCTGGGATCACGTGATCCACCCGCCTCGTTCTCCCAAATTGTTGCGATTACAGGTGTGAGCCACCTCACCCGGCTCCTTGTCCTTCTTAAATAAGAAGTAACAGTGTTACAGTTCAAAATTCGATTTTAAACTTTTTAAACATTGTTTCTCAATTTTATCAGGATGTTTTGTTTTTTGATGATCCACAAATCTTGATGGTTTCATAGCCCTGTTTGTAAAAACAAACAAAAACCAACCAAACAAAAACTATTATGCATAAGAAACAAGCTGTAAAGTGTAAGCTAGGCTGGTGCGGTGGCTCACGCCTGTACTCTTAGCACTTTGGGAGGCCAAGGTGGGTGGATTGCCTGAACCCAGGATTTCGAGACCAGCCTTGGCCAACAGGGTGAAACCCCGTGTCTCTACTAAAATACAAAAAATTAGCTGGGTGGCGGCATGTACCTGTAGTCCCTGCTACACAGGAGGCTGAGGCAGGAGACTTGCTAGAACCCAGGAGGTGGAGGTTGCAGTGAGCCGAGACCATGTCACTGCATTCCAGCCTGGGCAACAGAGTGAGACTCCATCTCAAAAAACAAAAACAAACAAACAAAAAAAACCAAAACAGAACAAAAACAAAACCGGTAAGCCAGATACTCATTCATTCAGATGTAGTCAACACTTTTCGTTTTCAACACTTAGCACAATTAATGCTAGGTTGAATTACTTTCATAATATAAACTATTTTACATAATTCCCAAAGCACTGAGGATCAATCATACATACTATCCACAAGGCAGCCAATAGACACACACAAACCACCTCTCATAGAACTTTGGGATAGAGCATTCAATCGAGAAAAAGTCTTCCGATTATAGCCAACAATTTGCCCTCATTTTGTAGCATTCATCTTGCAAAGATTTTTTTTTTTTTTGAGATGGAGGCTCACTCTGTCACCCAGGATGAAGTGCGGTGGCACGATCGGCTCTCTGCAACCTCTGCCTCCTAGGTTCAAGCGATTCTCCTGCTTCAGCCTCCCATGTAGCTGGGATTACAGGCAGGTGCCACCACTTCTGGGTAATTTTTTTGTATTTTTAGTTGACACAGGGTTTTACTATGTTGGCCAGGCTGGTCTTGAACTCCTGAATTTCAGTGATCCACCTTCCTTGGCCTCCCAAAGTGCTGGGATTACAGGTGTGAGCCATTGTGCATGGCCTGATCTTGCACGGTCTCAAACTCTTGGCCTCAAGGGATCCTCCTGCCTCAGCCTCCCAAAGTGTTGAGATTACAGACCTGAGCCACCTCACCCAGCCCAAGATTTTGGTGCTTTGTAAATAATACTTTTCAATAAAAGAAACCAAGGATCTTTAAATAAATGGTTTATTCCATGTCTGGGTCAGGGAAAATACCAGATGAATCGAAACACTTTACGGTGCCAGAAAGTTGGGAATTAGTCCCAAACCCCAAAACCCTGATAAAGGCATGCTATAAATAGAACACAGGAGGCAACCTAAAGAAACGCCCAAGGCCAATGTTCTTCTTTTTTTTTTTTTCTTTTGACACAATTTCACTCTTGTCACCCAGGCTGGAATGCAGTGGTGTGATCTTGGCTCACTGCAACATCCACCTCCCGGGTTCAAGCGATTCTTCTGCCTCAGCCTCTTGAGTAGGTGGAATTACAGGTGCCTGCCACCACGCCCAGCTAATTTTTTGTACTTTTAGTAGAGATGGGGTTTCAGCAAGTTGGCCAGGCTGGTTGGCCAGGCTGGTCTCAAACTCCTGACCTCAGGTGATCTCCATGCCTCGGCCTCCCAAAGTGCTAAGATTACAGGCATCAGCCACTGCTCTGGCCTATGTTCGTATTATTTTCAGTATCATAACCACATACATGCTCAATTGCACATATACTATGTTCTCTACAAATGTGCAGTTTGGACCTGACTCATCTTGGTACTTTACAACAACAAGAGCATTGCATTGTCACACATGTAGACAATGAATTAACTCAGAATCACAAATACTTGTACTGGGGACCTGTAGGGAGAAGTCAAGTCCTAGGAAGAGTGCCAGGTCATCATCTCTGAAAGGAAATATTAGGAGTATTTGGGGTGTGAATAGTACTGTATTGAATTCCAATTCATTTCAAAATGTATTTCACAGATTATCACAAACCAGGAAATAAGTTGTGCGTAATTTTCTTTGTTTTGTTTTGTTTGTTTGTTTGTTTTTTAGACAGAGTTTTACTCTTGTTGCCCAGGCTGTAGTGCAATGCCATGATCTTGGCTCACCTCAACCTCCGCCTCCCCGAAACCTCTGCTTCCCAGGTTCAAGCGATTCTCTTGCCTCAGCCTCCCAAGTAGCTGGGATTACAGGCATGTGCCACCAAGCCTGGATAATTTTGTATTTTTAGTAGAGATGGAGTTTCTCCATGTTTTTTTTTTTTTTGAGATAGATTCTCACTCTATTGCCCAGGCTGGAGTGCAGTGGTGAGATCTCAGCTCACTGCAAACTTTGCCTCCTGGGTTCAAGCAATTCTCTTGCCTCAGCCTCCCAGGTAGCTAGGATCACAGGCACCTGCCATGGTGCCTGGCTAATTTTTGCATTTTTTTAGTAGAGTTGGGGATTCACCATCTTGGCCAGGCTGGTGTTGAATTCTTGACCTTGTGATCCACCTGACTCAGCCTCCCAAAGTGCTGGGATTACAGGCATGAGCCACTTATCCCGAACAGTTTGGGTTTTTTGAGACAGAGTCTTACTCTGTCATCCAGGCTGGAGTGCAGTGGTATGATCTTGGCTCACTGCAACCTCTGCCTCCCGGATTCAGGTGATTCTTCTGCCTCAGCCTCCTGAGTAACTGTGATTACAGGGGCATGCCACCAATCCCGGCTAATTTTTTTGTACTTTTAGTAGAGATGGGGTTTCACCGTGTTGGCCAGGATGGCCTCGATCTCCTGACCTCGTGATCCACCTACCTTGGCCTCCCAAAATGCTGGGATTACAGGCATGAGCAAGCATGCCCAGCAAACTGTGACCATTTTCAAAGCCATGATTTACAGGAATAGCAGTTCTTCTCTTTGTGTAAATAAACAGAGGCCACCAAAATAAGAACAAAGAGAGGCTTATGCATACAGAACTTGCTAAAGAGTAAGGGTTCTGCTTAAGTTCCATTTGTTTAAGTTGTCTATAGATTCTGGATATTATTTGGCCTTTGCTGGATACATCGCTTGTGAGTATCTTCGCCAATTCTGTAGTTTGTTTGCTCTGTTGATAGTTTGTCTTGTTGTGTTTACACTTTTATTTTACTTTATTTAATTTTTTTTTGAGGCGGAGTCTTGCTCTGTCACCCAGGCTGCAGTGCAGTGGTGCGTTCTCAGCTCACTGCAACCTCTGCCTCCTGGGTTCAAGTGATTCTCCTCCCTCAGCCTCCTGAATAGCTGGGATTACAGGTGTGCGCCACAACCACCTAATTTTTGTATTTTTATTAGAGAAAGGGTTTCACCATGTTGGTCAGGCTGGTCTCAAACTCCTGACATTGTGATCTGCCCAACCTGGCCTCCAGCTTTTGGTTTAATTAAGTACCACTTGTCTATTTTTGTTTTTGCTGCAATTGCTTTTTTGGAATCTTAGCCAAAAATTCCTTGCCAAGGCCGATGTTGAGAAGAGTATTTCCTAGGTTGTCTTCCAGGATTTTTATAGTTTGAGGTCTTATATTTAAATCTTTAATCCATTTGGAGTTAATGTTTGTATATGGTGAAAGGTAGGGGGCCCAGACTCAGTCTTCTGCATGTGGGTAGCCAGTTATTCCAGAATCATTTATTGAATGGGGAGTCCTTTCCCCATTCCTCGCTTTTGTTGACTTTGTGGAAGATCACATGGTTGTAGGTGTGTGACTTTATTTCTGGGTTCTCTAACCTATACCATTGGTCTATGTGTCTCTTTTTGTACCACTACTATGCTATTTTGGTTACTGTAGCCTAGTAGTATAGTGTGAAGTTGCATATATGATGCCCATCAGCAGTGCACTGGATAATGAAAATGTGGTAATTATACACCATGGAATACTACATAGCCGTAGAAAAAGAAACCATGTCCTTTGCAGCAACATGGATGCAGCTGGAGGCCATTATCCTAAATGAATTAATGCAGCATTAGGTAACCAAATACTCCATGGTCTCACTTATAACTTGGAGCTAAACATTGAGTACACATGGTCACAGAGATGGGATCAAAGACACTGGGGCCTGCTTGAGTGGGGAGGGTGGCATGAGGCTATGGGTCAAAAAACTATTGGGTACTGTGGTCACTACCTGGGTGATGATCTCATTTGTACACCAAACCCCAGTGACATGCAATTTACCCATGTAACAAGCCTGCACATGTATCCCTTAAACCTAAAAATAGAAAAAATTAAAAATAAATAAATAAATGAGGTATAAGTCTAATTGTTGAATGTTGTGAACAGTAACCAACAGAGCCATTGAAAATAGTGAGAGAGGCCAGGTGCAGTGGCTCATGCCTGTAATCCCAACACTTTGGGAGGCTGAGGTGGGTGGATAATGAGATCAGGAGTTTGAGACCAGCCTGGCCAAGAGGGTGAAACGCCGCTTCTACTAAAATACAAAAATTAGCCAGGCATGGTGGCTTATGCCTGTAATCCCAGCTACTCATGAGGCTGAGGCAGGAGAATCACTTGAACCTGGGAGGCAGAGGTTGCAGTGAGCTGAGATTGTGCCACTGCATTCTAGCCTGGGCAACAGAGCAAGACTCTGTCTCAAAAAAAAAAGAAAAAGAAAAGAAAAGAAAAAGAAAATAATGAGAGCACCATATAAGGAAAGTGGTTCAGGCACTGGGGTAAGAGGTGAGTGTCAGCCAAGTCATCAGCTATCAGAACAGGAAGCCATCAGGTAATATATCAAGTTGATATATTAAGAAGGAGGGGTCGGGCGTGGTGGCTCAAACCTGTAATCCCAGGACTTTGGGAGGCCGAGGCAAGCAGATCACAAGGTCAGGAGATCAAGACCATCCTGGCTAACACAGTGAAACCCCGTCTCTATTAAAAATACAAAAAAATGAGCCAGGCGTGGTGGTGGGCACCTGTAGTCCCAGCTGCTGGGGAGGCTGAGACAGCAGAAGGGAGTGAACCCAGGAGGTGGAGCTTGCAGTAAGCCGAGATCACGCCACTGCACTCCAGCCTGGGTGACATAGCAAGACTCTGTCTCAGAAAAAAAAAAAAAACAGAAGGAGGAGGATCTACCTATTATATAACAGAGATAAGCACTCAGATATATAGATTATAAATAGTTTATAATCTAAATTTAGAAAATTGAAACATTTGATTATTCAGAAAGTAGACTTGGGAGCATTGGAGAAATGGTGGGGGAGTAGACTGCATGGAAATCTCTTTCTTAGAGTGGGATTTTCAATTATGCACATAGGTTTCTTACATAACATGGAGAATTCAATTAAAGAAGCAACAACGTTGTGTTTTGGGGTCCCAAAAGTTTAGTGATTGATTAGAAGAACTCACAAAACTGAGTCAAGCTATTATACTCATAGTTATAGTTTATTACAACAAAAGGATACAGATTAAAATCAGCAGCAGAAAAAGGTGCATAGGGCAGAGTCCAGGAGAGACAAAGCACAAGCTTCCAGTTGTCCTCTCCCAGTGGCATCATGTGGACAGTGCTTAATTCACCCAGTGATATGTGGCAGAAAGTACAGAAAATACTCCCAGATGAGAAGCTTACCTGAACCTTGGGGTTGAGGGTTTTACTGGAGGTTGGTCACATGGACAAGAGTACCCATTTGGATGACCTTAGTTTCTCTGTCTCCCCCTTCCCAAGGTCAAGCTGACACTGCATGGTCCAAGGTCCCCACAATAAATCACCTTGTTAACTCCCAGATAGGCAGGAGAGTCCAAGGACTTAAAGGCTATTTCCCAGGAGCTGGGCTAGAGTCAAACCTTTCTTTGGAGTGTGCAGGATTTGGACAATTCAAGCCTACTAAGTTCCTTGACTGCACACAAGTGATAGTGACTATGTAGGAAATGAGTAGTTGCATATATTGCTGGTGAAAGTATAGTGTTGTAAAACCCTTTGGAAAGAAATCAAGTGTGTAGTGCATAAACTTTATATTTGGTTTGATTCGTTTTTGTCTAAGACAGGGGCTCACTCTGTCACCTACGCTGGTGTGCAGTGGCATGATCACAACTCACTGCAGCCTTGACCTGCGGGCTCCAGCTATCCTCCCACCTCAGTCTCCTGAGTAGCTGGGAGCACAGGCGTGTGCCACCACACCCAACTCATTTTTGTGTTTTTTGGACAGAGAGGGTTTCACCATGATGCCCAGGCTGATTTCAAACTCTTGGGTTCAAACAGTTCCCTACCTCAGCTCCACAATGTGCTAGGATTACAGGAGTGAGCCACTGCACCCAACCTATATTTGTATATACATTAAATTGTATATGTTAGGCCTGGCACGGTGGCTCACATCTGTAATTCCAGCATGTTGGGAGGGCAAGGTCAGTGGACCACTTGGGGTCAGGAATTTGACAGCAGCCTGGCCAACATGGTGAAAACCCATCTCCACTAAAAGGACAAAGTTAGCTGGACTTGGTGGCAGATGCCTGTATTCTCAGCTACTCAGGAGGCTGAGGCAGGAGAATCACTTGAATCCAAGATGTGGAGGTTGCAGTGAGCCAAGATCACACCACTGCACTCCAGCCTGGGCAACGGTGCAAAACTCCATCTCAAAAAACAACAAAAAAATTGGTTATGTTATTGTATGTATGTGTATATATTAAGTTGTATATACACATATTAAATATATATACATATATTACATTTTATACACAAACATTTGTTTCCTCATGCAATTCATTTCAGCAGAAGTAAAATTTAAAGATATAAGTAAAAGAATATTTACAGAAGCACTATTTCTGGTGGCAAAAGTACTTTAGTATTTTAAATGCTCATATAATGGAAGATACTTTAACTCTTACAAATAATGAGTTAGTTTTTATCTACTATAAAGATATCCTAATATCTTTATACCTAAAGTGATATCGATGGCAAATTGTTATATAAACAGGAGAATACTTTATAATTAAAGAAAAAAGAAAGAAACATTATATAGTAGCCCTCCCTTATCTGCAGGAGACCTGTTCTAAGACCCGCAGTGGATGCCTGAACCTTGCGTAGCATTGACCCAATTGCTGTCAATCAGAACACATTTCTGTTTATGATTTCCATGCACAAATTTAATGCCTTTTTCAACTTAACTAAGAACTTATCACACACGTGCTGTACTTTTCAGAGCTTGGGGTGAAACCAACAAGACTAACAGAAATTTCTTTTTCCTTCTTACACTTTTACCACTAGAGGATTTGTTCTTACCATCGATCTTAGCAACCTGAGCACACGACTTCTTTTTGTGTCTTGCTTGCTTGCTTCCTTTCTCTGTCTCTTTCTCTCTCTCTTTCTTCCTTTTTTCTTTGTTTCTTTCCTCTTTCTTTTTTTCTTTCTTTCTCTTTATTTATTTATTTATTGAGATGGAATCTCACTCTGTCGCCGAAGTGGGAGTGAAGTAGTGAGATATCGGCTCCCGGTAACCTTCATCTCCCAGGTTTAAGTGATTCTCGTGCCTCTGCCTCCCAAGTAGCTGGGAATACAGTCGCCCACCACCATGCCCAAATAATTTTTGTGTTTTTTTTAGCGATGGGGTTTCACCATGTTGGACAGCCTAGTCCTGAACTCCTGACCTCAAATGATCCACCCAGTTCAGTCTCCCAAAGTGCTGGGATTACATGCATGAGCCACAGCACCTGGCCCATATATGCCATTGTATTATTGCAAATAATTATATGAATCTTGGAGAACATCATGGAAAGATGTTCATCATCCTGTTAACTGGTTATTTTCAAGAGTGGAACTGGAGGGGGAATACTGCCTTTCCTGTGTATTTATTTGTAATGTTTCATTTTCATTATGAACATGTATTATTTTAATATGTTTCAATATTAATAATCACAGGCAAAAATATGTAATTTTCATTCAAGCTGAAATCGTCAAGGCAATCATACATAACAGATGGAGCAAATAAAACATTTAAAATCCCTGAATGAAAAGGAGGGGAGGCCGGGCACGGTGGCTTCCACCTATAATCCCAGCACTTTGGGAGGCCGAGGCAGGTGGATCACTTGGGGTCAGAAGTTTGAGACCACCTTGGCTAACATGGTGAAACCCTGTCTCTACTGTAAATACAAAAATTAGCCGAGTGTGATGGCATGCACCTGTAATCCCAGCTACTCAGAAGTCTGAGGCAGGAGAATTGCCTGAATCTGTGAGGTGGAGGTTGCAGTGAGCCAAGATTGCGCCACTGCACTCCAGGCTGGGTGACACAGCAAGACTCTGTCTCAATAAACAAACAAACAAATGGGGGGGAAAAACACAATATAAAAACCAAGTGATTCTAAAAGTAGCAATATATCATAATGCTTAAATATGTGTAATTGGTGGGGCGTGGTGGCTCCGATGTATCATAATGCCTAAATTTGTGGGATTTGTCGGGCGTGATGGTTCCCACCTGTAATCCCAGCACTTTGAGGGGCCAAGACCGGTGGATCACCTGAAGTCAGGAGTTTGAGACCAGCCTGACCAACATTGTGAAACCCTGTCTCTACTAAAAATAGAAAAAAATTAGCCAGGTGTAGTGGCGGACACATGAATTCCCAGCTGCTAGGGAGGCTGAGGCAGGAGAATCACTTGAACCTGGGAGGCGGAGGTTGCAGTGAGCCGAGATCACCCCATTGCACTCCAGCCTGGGTGACAGTGTGAGACTCCCTCAAAAAAAAAAAGTTTGTGGGACCAATTCCAATCGAGTTCAGGGGAGCACACACTGGCAACCAACATGCCTCCTCAGGCCCCCTCAGGATCAAGAGAGTGCGTCTGGAACAGACTGGGAAACTCCAGTAGGCAAAGTAAGGTGCCAGAAATAAAGACACCGCCTGACACGTTCTTCATGTTCCCTCCACCCACTCCTCTCACCACCAGGCTTCCATCCGGCTCCAACTCTGCCCTCTCCCCAAGAGCCTCAGATTGAAACGTTGCAAGGAAGACAAAGATTCTCAAAGTCACAGGCTTGGGAATCTGAGCTACAAAGAAAAATGAGCCCCTGCTCCCCCAACTCCCCTGTACTCCCCTGGGCACTGCTGCCCTGCACCTCCCCTCCTCCATAATTTGAACTGTCCTCCCAGGAAGCTGGAGAGGCAGCTCCCCTGTCAGGAAAGAAAGGACCAGCATGCAGCAAATGCCTGGGCTACGTAGGAGCAGACGGCAAGATTAGCGCAGGGATTTAAGAAACAAGTGGCTCTCAGACCAAATAAGACTCTGCCCGAGACGGCACACTAAGCATTCATAGAGGCGTGCGCTGGACAGGAGCTCGTCAGTTACGGAAAGAATTGTCTGAGAAAGGCTCTGATCTGACCCGAAAGGCCCTTGGTTCCCACGGCAACGCCTCAGCGTCTGACAGTAATAGGCTTCTGTGCCCAGACTTTCTGGGTCTGGAAGTCCCGCCTCCGCCAGCCTCTCACAGCCCAGAGGCACCTCCCATTGGCGCCTGATGGGTTAGGGAGGCTGTTCTTCCAGCTGTGATAGATTCAGCCTGAGGACAGCTTGTGTGTCTTTCTTAGTTGTTTCTTCCCGCCCACCTGCCACTCAAAGCCACAATCCACTTGCAGTCCCCCTTGTGGACACCTTAAAGCGACCGTCTAGATCTGAACTGCTCTAAGGGAATGGTCAGCTTCGTTCCCATTAAATGGCTTGGTCCAAAGGACCTAGCGATCGCCAAGACAAAAATTTCTTCCTAAGAGCTGCATGTGTCTGTGGTCTCTAAGAGGCAAAACCAAACCCTAAAGAAAAAGCCAACCCACCCACCCCCACCACAAAACAAAGCAAAAGCAAAAACCGCCGACAACCCACTTTTCACGTGAGGAGTCCGTGAGAAGGGCCTCTCCAGCCAGGACCAGGTAAGGGAATCTGTGCACTTGGCCGGACCCAGAACACCCAGTGTCAGGGATCTGACTGTCACACTCTGACCCCATAGAATTTCCACCACTGACACACAGATCAGGATGTGTCAGCCTGAGAGATGACACCACAAATCTGGCCTTCACAGATTGATTCCACACTTTCTCATTGATTCCACACACATCCCATCACTGACACCAGATTCCCTCATCACTGACCCTACATATCCACAAGAATTGATTCTGTGGACCTCATCAGTATCCAAAAGACCACCCATCACCAATCTACAGACCCTCATCTATCACTTCAGGGACCTCACAGATTCCCCATCCCTGATTCCAGGATCTATAGAACCTCATCTCTTACCCTCACAGACCTATTAATAAAATGATACATTCATGGGAGACTGTGTTGACCATTTTACACATCCATTGTGTGTGTGTGTGTGTGTGTGTGTGTGTGCGTGTGCTGATTAATGGACTTAGGTGAACTTCAGTATTTTGTTAGCCAACGCAGTTTTTCAATGCCTTTTCTTCTTCTTGTACAACTTTAAAGACATTACTCCAGTAAGTGTTGTTTGCAGTTTATCAATGCCTATCCCTTATTGAGTCCTTGTCATGCATATTTGTTATTAATCATAATTCACAATTCTTACAACTCAGAGACACCAGAGACTCACATAAGAAGAATGGCTGTGGGTTTATATTATTGTTATTTTTTTGGTTTCTGTAGATTATAAAAGTCATTCATTTGTATCAAGTCACTAAGTGTATATTTTGTTTTCTTAAAAAAATGTAATTAAAAATATTTTTGCTGGAATGGAGTGGTGTAATCATGGCCACTGCAGCCTCGACCTCCTGGGCTCAAGTGATCCTCCCACTTCAGCCTACCTACTGGTTGGGACCATAGTCATGCAACAATACGCCCACCTAATTAAACATTTTTTTTTTTTTTTTAGAGATGGGCATCTCACTATGTTGCAGAGACTGGTCTTGAATTCCTGGGCTCAACTGATCCTCCCACCTTGGCCTCCCAAAGTGTTGTGATTATAGGTGTGAGCCACTGTGCCCAGCTGATAAAATCTTAAACAGAGTAAAATACTTTGGGAGCTAATGTAAAATGTCCACTGCGATGATGCATCAGAAATTAAAGTAGAATAAAATGGTCCTAGGGCATCTGAAACAATGGAAACTAAATCTTGAGCCAGGTGCAGTGGCTCATGCCTGCAATCCCAGCACTTTGGGAGGCCAAGATGGTGGACTCATTTGAGGTCAGAAGTTCGAGACCAGCCTAGCCAACACAGTGAAACACCGTCTCTACTAGAAATACAAAAATTAGCTGGGAGGTTGCAGTGAGCGGAAATCACGCCACTGCGCTCCAGCCTGAGCAAGAGAGGGAGACTCTGTCTCAAAAAATAAAATAAAATAAATAAAAATAAAGAAGAAGAAGAAACAATATCTTGATTTCTTCATCAAGTGTAAAAATGTGGACTCTGGAGGCACACAGGTACTCTTTTTCTTGAAGTTTTATTGAAAAATATTAACATATCACAGAAGCCACCCATTTAAAGTGTAAAATTCAATGATTTCAGTATATTTACACAGTTGTGCAAACATCACCACAATAAATTTTAGCTCATTTTCATTACCCCAAAGTAAACCCCATATCCCTCCATTTCCCCCAACTCCCCTAACCCTGGGCCACCACAAATCTACATTCTGTCTCTACGCATTCATGTATTTTGGACATTTTATTTAAATGGAATTACATGTGATATTTCATGACGGGCTTCTTCCACTTAGCATAAGATTTTCAAGGCAGAGCGGGCACTTTATGTAAGGATAAACCTGGTGGGTAGTGCTTACTGATTGATTTTGAAACTTCGCTCCAAAATTGTGTGTGTGTGTATATATATATATTTTGAGACAGAGTCTCACTGTGTTGCCAGGCTGGAGTGCAGTGGTGCGATCTCGGCTCACTGCAACCTCCACCTCCCAGGTTCAAAGGATTATCCTGCCTCAGCCTCCTGAGTAGTTGGGATTACAGTCATGGCCCACCACACTTGGCTGCTTCTGTATTTTTAGTAGAAATGGGGTTCTTCCATGTTTAAAATACAAAAAACCTTGTTAAGACAGGGGTTTGGCATGTTGTCCAGGTTGGTCTCGAACTCCAGAGCTCAAGTGATCCACCTATCTTGGCCTCCCAAAGTTCTGGGATTACAGGTGTGAGCCGCTGCACTTGGCCTATTTTTTTTTTTTTTTTCTGAAGAGATGAGGTCTTGCTCTGTTGCCCAGACTGGTCTCAAACTCCTGGCTCAAGCAGTCCTCCCGCCTTGGCCTTCCAAAATGCTGGGATTACATGTATGAACCCCCACACTGGCCCATTCTAAGTATTCAGAATTTTTTTAAATGCGTTTTCCACTTACAGCATTTCTCAGGTTGGACTAGCCATCTTTCAAGTGTTCAGCAGACTTATTGGACAGCACAGCTCTGGAGGGTGATTTTATGTACATTCCCACTGCTCTCTCTGCCTCCTTGATTCCCATCTACCCCACACCCCTGCAGTCTGTGACTATCGTGTCTCTCTCTCCTCTCTTTCTGTCTCTTGTATTCCTTTAATATGGAGAATTATTTCCAATTCCTTAACATCGTGCCCTGATTTTTTTCTGTCTTACATTCAAGGGTCACAGTTTTCCTCTCACCGTCATTTCCGTCTTTTCCCATAAGATGTGACGTGCCTTTTTGTCTTGGTTGAGTATTTATTTGCAATACATGAATGACTGTTTTCTTTGATACATTAGTGATTTACATACTTTTTTTTTTTCTGAGATGGAGTCTCATTCTGTCACCCAGGCTGGAGTGCGGTGGCACGATCTTGGCTCACTACAACCTCTGCCTTCGAGGTTCAAGTGATTTTCCCACCTCAGCCTCCTGAGAAGCTGGGATTACAGATGTGCACCACCACGCCCGGCTAATTTTTGTCTTAGTAGAGACAGAGTTTTGCCATTTTGGCTAGGCTGAGGTCGAACTCCTGACCTCAGGAGATCCACCAGCTTCAGCCTCCGAAAGTGCTGGGATTATAGGTGTAAGTCACCTCACTTGTCCAGTCTGCACTATTCCTTAGTGTCAGTCAATTTGAGCCAAATAATGTCTTTCTCATTCAGATGTGACCTTCAGGGTCTAATTTTTGTATTTTTAGTATACACAAGGTTTCTCTTTCTTTCTTTCTTTCTTTCTTTCTTTCTTTCTTTCTTTCTCTCTCTCTCTCTCTCTCTCTCTCTCTTTCTTTCTTTCTTTCTTCCTTTTTTGTTGGGACAGAGTTTCACTCTTGTCGCCCAGGCTGGAGTGCAGTGGTGTGATCTCAGCTCACTGCAACCTCTGCATCCTGGGTTCAAGCAATTCTCCTGCTTCAGCTTCCTGGGTAGCTGGGATTACAGGCGCCTGCCACCACACCCAGCTAATTTTTTGTATTTTTAGTAGAAACAGGGTTTCGCCATGTTGGGCAGACTGGTCTCGAACTCCTGGCCTTAGGTGATCCACCCACCTCAGCCTCCCAAAGTGTGGGGTTACAGGCATGAGCCAGCGCCTGGCCTCCCCTGGCTAATTCTTTGTATTTTTGAAGAGACGGGGTTTCACCATCTTGGCCTGGATGGTCTTGATCTCCTGATCTCATGATCTGCTGGCCTCAGCCTCCCAAAGAGCTGGGATTACAAGTGTGAGCCACTGCACCCAGCCTCAATGTAGCTTTTAATCAAAGTATTTATGTAGTAAAAATTAATCAAAGGGCACAAGCATTTCAATACTTAGGTTATTTAAGATGAAATCTGTGACCAGAAGAGTGCCACACACACATGAAATGTTTCGTGCATGAAGGAACCCCAAGTTAAATAAACAAATTTGAAGGAATTAAGTAACAAATAATTTTCTGTTGTTTGTTTTGGTATGTTATTTTGGGAATGTGATTAATCACATATGTCAAGGGCATTGGGAAGAATTTCCAGATACTCTGATATGCATGACATCTTAAGTATACGAAATAAAGCAAGGCTATCTTAGGAAATTAGGTATCACTGCCAAGGACCTTTACATGAGAAGATAAATTAAAATTACTATTAAATTTGTAACACTCAGATGGGTGGCAGGGAAGTTGTGTCATTTTTTCTCAGCATTTTTTCTTTTCCTTGATTCAATAAAACAAACTTAAATGTCAGCTATCTGCAGAACACTCATTAGACTATGTTTAATGATATGTGAAACACAGCCTGCACACTCACAGATCCTTGCCACATCCCATTCCCATCCTCTGAAAACCTGTGTTACTCTGTGGCTAGATTTCTCAAGGAGATGAAAGAGAGAGACGAATGAGAACCATCTTTTTCCAGGTCTCTCTACACAGCTCCTGCAGGTAGACAATGACCTCTCTGGTGAGGCTTTTATCCTTGGCTGGGGGCTGGAGGCCTTAATCCTAGAAAAGAGGCCTCTCAGGGTGGGAAGGTGATTTAAATCCTTATGAGAGAGACGCAGCTCCCCACCTCGCCAGACCTTCACAAACCCAAATTGGAGCCACCGGAAAAATGACTGACAACCGGCCACACGCCCCAGGCAGAGACGCCGAGAGAGGCTGACCAGAAGAAAGGCCGATGTACAAGATACCGCCCTCTGGAGCACAGGGCACATGTGTCCCAACAGACACACACACGCACACACAGACGGACACAGAGCAAAAGAGCGAGAGAGGAGAGAGAGAGAAATAAGAGAGAGACCTACGCACACACACAAACGCACAAAGACATAGGGCAGTGGCACGGTAACACCTACCCCCAGGCAACCCCTGAATTTTCCGGGTTCTACTCTCCGCAACCACGACCCACCGGTGAGAGAGCAGCCCATGGGCACACAAGCAAATCTCTCCTTTTTTGAAGAGACTCACTGGCACACCGTCCGTGCAGGCCTGAGGCAGGGATCCCGCGCTGCTTCTTCGGCCTTCCGCCCGCGGTTTCTTCCTCTTGGAAGACCCTCCGTGAATCCCGGCCTCCAGAGACCATCCTGTTGATGCCCTGGCCAGGACTGGTCTTAGCCCCGATTCTGATTAATCCCTCTAATCCCAGGTTCTCGTGAGGCGGAGGCAAGAGAATCACTTGAACCCAGGCGGCAGAGTTTGCAGTGAGCTGAGATCCCGCCACTGCAGTCCAGACTGGGTGACAGAATGAGACTCCGACTATTAAAAAAAAATAATAATAAAATAAATGACGGCAGAGCGGCGGCTGCGGGGACTGGGGCGGTGGCTGGTGAAGTGAAGATTGGGAGAGGGGCCTCATTGACCCTCCGCAAATCCTGGCCTGAGTTTGGGATCTCGCACTGCCTCCCCAGCAATCTGCCTGAGCTTTCTTGCTCCTGAGGTTTCTTCCTGGTGGTCGACCCTCCGAGAATCCCGATCTCCGGAGACCATCCTGTTAACACCCTGGCCAGGACTGGTCTCAGCCCCGACTCTGACACACTATCACACAGGGCTCCTACTTCGCCAAGTCTCAGGGACCCACTTCTGGGCAACAGAGGCGGTCACTGTTACCAAAGCAGAGACTCTGGCCTCGTGCATGCGCACTGGCGAGGCCAACTCCCCCCTTGCTCCGGAGAGTCAGGCTGCGGACCCTTTAAAAAATGGCGGCGACACGACGGGCTGCGGGGACTGGCGCAGCGGCGCAGTCCAAGGTGGCGGGTGGGAAGAGTACTAGGAGGGGGTCTGCAGGAGACCCAGGGTTGGACCCATAGGAGTCCTGTCGTCAGGACCTTCTTGATTGGTTTTCTGGTCTTCTGCTTCAGTTCCCGGTGGAGAAGGAGCTTCAGGGTGCCGGCTGGGCATTCTGGACTCCTCTTCGGATCTGATTATGGATCTGATAGGGTGATCAGGAATGGGGTTACAATGTAGTGAGGTGGGAAGGGTCTCGCTGGGGCACAGAAAGATCCCAAGAGCCACAAGGCGTACTGTCGGCTGAAAATGCACTGACCCATGAGCCTACTGCCTCCCTCCTTCCTGGGTGGAGCAGTGGCCTGCCTTTATCTCCAAGGCCCAGGGCTCTGGCATCCCGAAACTGCTTTCTGCGACATATGCAAAGAGAGAGGCGAGTCTGAGATGGAGCCAATGTGACTACACGTGGTACTGACGTCTTTCAAGAGCAGATGGAGTGAGCGTGTGTCTCTGAGGCCGTATGGGGCGATGCCGAGACTGACAGTGACGTCCAGGCGTGCGTCCGTGGGCTTCTGGGACCTCCCACACAAAGCTGAGGAAAAGCCAAGCACACCTGAAAACCTGCCAGACAGGGCCTGTGCCCGAGTCCAAGCCACATTCAGGGATGCCTGCCAGAGGGGCTGAGAGGTTTCGACAAACCACCACAGCGACACCCTGCCACCGGGTAGGTACCACTGACGCCACCTCTCCTAAAACCAGCAAAACCCAGTCCCTTTGGCTCCCTCACATCTGTGGCAACCAAAAGATTCACTGCTTGAAGGCACTTTCCCCAGGAGCAGAGCAACCGGATGGCCCTCAAGAATGAGAGAGGAAGCACAGGTGGGATGCAACACCGCCTTTCCTAGAAAGCAAAGGTCAGCCACGGTGGGGTCGCCTCCCACTCTTCCTGGACCGACAACGCAGCCATCACCTCGGACATGGAGACCAAGGGAGCTTCCCTGTCCAAGACAGGTATGGAAGCCCAGAGCTCCAGGATCATCACACCTGCCCAATCATCCAGAAATAGGTTTGGAGAGGGAAGCAATCATGAAATGGACCCCAAAGAAATTTCTCCCTGATGGACTGGGAAGTGTTCTTTGTTGAAGACGTTGAGCCACACTAAGAAGCCTCTAGGATTCCAAGAAACTGGGCAGACAGAGCAATAGGAAGGACAGAGCAGAGGCCAGCACCCAGGCAGGATATGGCACAATGCCACCATCACGGGCATCTGGGAAAAAGTGCCAAACGGGTGACTTGGCCAGGAAGGCCAGCGTTTGGGTGACAGAAATGCTTGCCGCATCCCGTTGCTGGCTTCCTTCTCTGTCCCTGTGTCTAGCTGTGGCTAGATTTCTCAATGAGGGCAAAGTGTGAGAGGAGTGAAAACCGTCTTCTTGAAGGTCTGTGAGCACCCTCCTGCGGGTGGACAATGAGCACCTGTGAGGCCTTTGTCCTTGGCTGGGTTGTGGTCGTCTTGATCCTCGCAAAGAGGCAGATGAGGATGAGAAGGGTATTAAAACCCTTGCGAGTCAGGCTGGAGGCTCAGAGCCCTGACAACGAAGCAGGGCCACGGAGAACTCCTGCTTTGCCAAGCCTCAGGGACTGGATTCTAAGACAACCATGGAAATCAATGTGATGGGAAAATCAGCTAGAGCCTCGCGGATAGGCATTTGCTGGGCCGACTCGTGCTTCGCTCCTGGAAGTCAGGCTGTGGCCCCTTTAAACAATGGCGACTGCGCGGTGGCAGGGGGAATCCTGCTGCAGCCACAGCAATGGCGGGATGCAGGTTCCAGTAGGGGGCGGCAGGGGAGAAGGGGCTGCGGGGGTCCCAGGGCCAAACTCCGAGGAGTCCTGTCTTAAAGACTTCCTTGAGCTGACTTCCACCGGTGGAGGGAGAGCTTCAGGGTACCTGCTGGTATCTCAAGACCCCTCTTCAGATCCGATTTTGGACCCCTCTGGGTGAAGAAGGATAGGCTCACCACATCTGCTGAGAAAGGAAGGGCCTCGTTGCAGGACAGAATGATCACATGGGCCTCAAGCCATGGTGTCAGCAGAAAAATCACTGACCCAAGAGCCCTCTTCCTCCCTCCTCCTTTGAAAGAGCAGTCACCTGCCCCACTTGTAAAAGCTCTGGGGCCCTTGCAAGCTGATACCTCTTTCCAGGACACATGCAAACAGGGACAAGGGCGATTCCAAAGTGGAGCAAATGCCAACACGCATGGCACTGGCATATCCCAGAGCAGATGGTGTGAATGTTTGTTACCAAAGGCATATGGGGCAATGGCGAAACACAAGATGGTGTTCAGGCATGTGCCAGATGGAAGGGGGGCACAAGTGACCTTTCCATCAATGTCAAGGAAAATCAAAGAACACCAGGATCCAGGAGGGGGCTAAAAGATTCAGGGAGTCAGTCCACCCGGGAGCAGAGGAGAGAATATTTCTCAAGAATGAGACAGGAAGTGCAGAGGAAATGTGACACCACCTGTCTTAGAAGACTAGGCCCATCACAGTGGCCTACTGCTCATTCTAGGCAATCCACCCACCGATGAGATGAAACATGGAGACCAAGGTAGCTTGCCTGTCTGAGACAACTATGGAACTCAAGCTCTCCAGGGTCATCCAACCAGCCCAATCAAGCAGAAACAGGTTGGGAGAGAGAAACAATCATGACAGGGATGTCCACCAACTGTCTCCCTGATGGACTGGGAAGTGATCTTTGTTGGAGACATTCAGCCAGACCAAGAGGCATCTAGGCCACTCAGAAACAGGGGAGACAGAGCAAGAGGGAGGACAGAGCAGAGGCCAGAGCCCAGGGAGGATACAGCACCATGCCACTGCCACAGGCATAAGGGGAGGGGTGTCAAACGGGTGACTTGTCCGGAGAGGCCAGCATCCCAGGGACAAGGATTGCTGCCATCTCCCATTCCCGGCTTCCTCTTCAAGATTGTATCCTGGTGTGGCTTCATTTCTCAGAGAAGAGCCGTGAAAAGATACGACCATCTTCCCTGACGTGGGTCCGCTCCTCTCCTGCAGGACAGTGAGCTCCTGTAAGGATTTTGTCCTTGGCTTCAGTGTGGTCATCTTGATCCTAGAAAAGAGGCCGCTCAGGATGGAGATGAGATTTCAGTTGTTCCGGGACTGACGCATCTCCTCACGCCGTCGAGGCCTTCACACACCCAAAGCGGATCCGCGGCGGTGAAAACGATCGACAGCCGGCCACATGAGCCAGGCAGCGATGCAGAAAGAGGCTCACCAAAATCAGGCCGACATGCGAGAAATCGCTTTTTGGCGCACAGGGCACATTCGTCCAAAGACACAAGCACAGGTGCACACACACACACAAACTGACAGAGAGAGGGAAAGAAACACACAGAGAGTGAGAGACAGAGAGAGAAGAGCGAATGGGAGACACACACACACACACACACACACACACACACAGAGTCATACAGCAGTGGCACAGAAGCACACACCCCCACGCAACTCCTGAGGCTGTGCGGTTCTGCTCTCGACGACAACGACCCTCGGGTGAGAAAGCAGCCCAGCGACACGCAGGCCGACCTGTCCTCGAGATCACGGGGGGCACGACTTTTGGGGAGACTCACCCGAACACCGTCCGGGCAGGCCTGAGGCTGGGATGCCGCGCTGCTTCCCCGGGACTCTGCCTGTGGTTTCGTCATACTGGTCCGCCCTTTGAGACTCCTGGCATCCGGAGACGTTCCTGTCGACCCCTGGAGAGGTCAGGCCTGGGCCTCGGAGCCCCGACGCCCAAGCACTGCCACGGAGGGCTCCTGCTTTGCCAAGCCTCGGGGACTGGTTTCTAAGATAACCATGGGAATCACTGATGGCAGAATCCTCTGGCGCCTCGCGCATGCGCATTGGTGGGGCCGACTCGCGCTCCACTCCTGGCAATCAGGCTGCGTCCCCTTGAAACAATGGCTGCTGCGCCGCTGCAGGCGCGCTCCTGCTGTAACCTCGGCCGCGGCTGGATCCGGGATCCAGTAGCGGCAGCGTAGGAGAGGGGTCCGCCGGTGACCTAGGGCCAAACCCTCAGGAGTCCTGTCTTCAGGACCTCCTTGAGCCGACTTCCACCAGTGAAGAGAGAGCTCAAGGGCGCCTGCTGGGGTCTCAGGACGCCTCTTCGGATCCGACCTTGGACCCCTCCAGGTGAAAAAGGATGGGCTCACCACATCCGCTGACCAGGCAGGGCCTCGCTGCAGCACAGAATGTTCCCATGGGCCTCAAGACGTAGTGTCAGCTGAAAATTCACTGACCCATGAGCCCTCTGCCTCCCTCCTCCTTTGGAAGAGCAGTGGCCTGCCCCGCTTCTAAAAGCCCTGGGGCTCCTGCAAGCTGATACTGCTTTCCAGGACACATGCAAACAGGGACGGGGCGATTCCGAGGTGGAACCAAGGCGACCACGCGTGGCACTGGTGTATCCCAGAGCAGATGGTGTGGATGTGTGTCACCGAGGGCATATGGGGTGATGGCGAAACAAGCAATGGTGTCCAGGCATGTGCCCAACTGAAGGGGGGTACAAGTGACCTTTCCATCAATGCCAAGCAAAATCAAAGAACACCTGGAATCCAGGAGGGGGCCAAAAGATTCAGGGAGTCAGTCCACCCAGGAGCAGAGGAGAGGACATCCCTCAAGAATGAGACAGGAGATGCAGAGGAAATGCGACACCGCGCCCGTCATAGAAGAAAAGGCCAGTCATGGTCGCTTACCATTGCTTCTAGGCAATCCACTACCCATGAGGTGAAACATGGAGACCAAGGTAGCTTCCCTGTCTGAGACACATATGAAAGCTAAGAGCTCCAGGGTCATCAAACCTGCCCAATCAAGCAGAAACAGGTTTGGAGAGAGACACAATCATGACAAGGATGTCCACCAACTGTCTCCCTGATGGACTGGGAAGTGATCTTTTTTGAAGACATTCAGCCAGACCTAGAAGCATCTAGGCCCCTCAGAAACAAGGGAGACAGAGTAAGAGGGAGGACAGAGCAGGGGCCAGAGCCCAGGCAGGATACAGCACTGTGCCACCGCCACGGGCATAAGGGGAGGGGTGCCAAAAGGGTAACTTGTTCAGAGAGGCCACCATGACAGGGCTTGTTGCCATCTCCCATTCCTGGCTTCCTCTTCAAGACTGTATCGTGGTGTGGCTTCACTTCTCAGAGAAGAGCCGTGAAAACATACAGCCATCTTCTTGGACGTGGGCCTGCTCCTCTCCTGCAGGACAGTGAGCTCCTGTGGGGCTTTTATCCTTGGCTGGAGTGTGGTCATCTTGATCCTAGAAAAGAGGCCACTCAGGATAGGGATGAGATTTCAATTGCTCGGGGATCGACGCATCTCCTCACGTTGTCGAGGCCTTCACAAACCCAAAGTGGAACCGACAGGAAAACGATGGACAACTGGCCACAGGACCCAGGGAGAGACGCCGAAAAAGGCTCACCAAAGACCGACTGACATGCAAGAAATTGCTTTCTGGTGCACGGGGCACATTCGTCCAAACACACACACGCACAAGGGCACACACACACACACATACAAACCGACAGAGAGAGGGAAAGAAATAGAGAGTGATAGCGAGAGAGAAGAGAATGGGACACACACACACACACACACACACACACACGCACACAGTCATACAGCGGTGTCATGGAAGCACCCCCACCTCAGCCGGCAGGCAACCCTTGAGGCTGCAGGGTTCTGCTCTCCACGCGAACGACACTCGGGTGAGAGAGCAGCCCACGGACACACAGGCAGACCTGTCCTCCAGATCACGGGGGCACGACTTTTGGGGAGACTCACCCGAACACCCTCCGGGCAGGCCTGAAGATGGGATGCCGCGCTGCTTCCCCGGACTCTGCCTGTGGTTTCGTCATCCTAGTCGGCCCATTTCAGGTCCTGGCGTCCGGAGACGTTCCTGTGTACCCCGTGGAGAAGTCAGGCCGGAGCCTCGGAGCCCCGACACCGAAGCCCTGCTACGGAGGGCTCCTGCTTTGCGAAGCCTCAGGGAGTGGTTTCTACGACAACCCTGGGAATCGCTGTGATGGGGAGAAGCGGCTCTCTCCTTGCGCATGCGCATTGACTTGGCCAAGTCTTGCGTAGCTCCTGGAAGTCAGGCTGAGGTCCCTTTAAACAATGGCAGCTGCGCGGAGGCAGTGGGGCGGTTCTTGCTGCAGCAGCGGTGGCGGCTGGATACGGGGCCCAGTATGGGGCGGCGTGGGAGAGGGGACCGCGGACGTCCAGTACCAAACCGTGTCACCTGGAGTGACTGGCTCTCCAAGGGCCAGCTGGCCATCGTATCCTGGAGATGGTCAACAAAGCTTTGACCCTGACCAGAAAGGAAAATGCTGGCAGTGCCCTGGACTGAGGACAGCCAGGACGTATCACGCTTACCTGGGAAGGGCCCATACACAAACGGTCCTGGAGAAGCACAGGGCCTGTCACCAAGATGAACAACATCTGGGGATTGTGACCCTGGGGACTGGCTATGTGGGTGTACTGTGTGAGCTGCCCCAAAATGCCACCCAGAAAGTGGAAATGGCCCTGGAAAGCTGTAGCAGGGAAACCCCTCCCTGGTGAGTTATTCTCCACCTGCCTCCCTCTGTTCCTGGCAGCCCTGCCCCATCTCGATTTTCAACTCCAGTTGTGCCTGCCTGGAGGGTGGCATGGCCAGCGTTAGTATCTCCTTCTGCAGCTCAGTGATGGGCTCCAGCAGCCCTCACCATGCCTCAGAACCTGAGACCCTTAGGGAAGGACAGGACATGCTGCAAACACAAACCCGGTGAGAGAGGGTCCTCCGGCCACAGAGGTCACAGGTAGGGGTCTATAGACTCCAGTTCTGAGTTCCTGACCAGGTTTCAACCATGAGCATGCTCTTTAACCTTATTATTTCTTGTCATTCCCATCTGTGACGTGGGGAAGGCACCCACCTCAGAGGTTTTGTGAGCAATAAATGAATACGATTAAAGTGCCTTTCCTGGTGCTACACATAAAGCCAGGCATGAGTCCTCATGCAGCTGCCCCCCAACATCCAGGTCCCACAGGCTAGCCCAGACCCCAACATTGGGCCAGTTCTCAACAGATGCCTGGATGCCAGGCCCCCCTGGAGATACTGGGACCCTGGCCTGGGCCTGGACAGAAGGTGTTGCTGTGCCATTTGGAGATGACCACATAGGTGAGGACTGGGGCCTATGTGGCCCTGTGAAGGGGTGTGCCCTAAGGTGGGGCTTGGGTGCCTCACTGGGAGGGCACAGGATGGAAGGGCAGGCAGGTGAGACCCAAGGCCACTCTATACCACGTTTTGAACAAACCCATCACTCTCCACCTGCAGACTCAGCTCTGCATATTTAAGACACTATTGGGCCCTTAGTTAAAAAATGATATTTTGCTTGCACACTCAGCGTTCTCATCCAACATCAATGGGGAATCAAAAATCTTTTATTTGGAAACAACAAGTAAGGGAAGTAATGCTGAAAATTTGTCATGGCTCCATAACCCATATCTCCTCTGAGGATTAATTATTTTCTTAAAATGCAACGTGTACTGTTAGTTTAAATCATCCCAACTGTGATAACACTCTTTAAATCTTCAGTAAACCTTCACACTTAAACCACCTGCAGATGAGAGTAAATCCGTTAGGTGAGAGGAGAGTGAGCACTCAGTGGAGGTGAAATAAAATCAGGTAATAAGAACTTAGATTGTGGTCTCTCGACACCTCCCGCCCTCCCCATCAGAATGTGGCAGCTGAACAAGGAGACATGGCAGGCCTGGCCACAGTGCCCAGTGGGGTTGCCCACCCTAGCTCTTAGGAAACTGGATACTTGGGGCCAGTGGCCACCCAGGGCCTGTTGTCCACCTGGGTCCTAGGGGTAAACCTAAGACCTGTGTCCACCTGTGTCTTAGGAGTAAACCTAAGACCTGTATTTCCCCTGGGGCCTGATGTCCACCTGAAGACTGGAGTTCACCTGTGGCCTACTGTCCAACTGGGGCCTGAGGTCACTAGGGTCGTAGGTATCCCTCTGAGGCCTGGTGCCCACTTGTCCCTGATTTCTCACTGGATTCTGGGTATCCACCTGGAGCCATATATCCATCATAAGCCTGGTTACCTTCCTGGGGCCTGAGCATCAACTGGGGGCCTAATGTACACCTGGAGTTCAGTGTCCACCTGGGGCCAGAGTTCTATGAGGAGCCTGGTCTTTACCTGGGGCCTGTCTCTCTCTCTCTCTCTCTCTCTCTCTCTCTCTCTCTCTCTCTGTGTAATCTCAGTTTCTATGAATAGTTTTGAAAAACAACTTTCTGGGTTTTTTTTGTTATTGCTCTTATACAGTTAAACTTCACATAAACGGACACATTGATTTGTTTCTGTCTTCTCATTTTTTCATATCACCTTGCTTCAGTTGCTTTATTATTTCTATTCATCACCACTTAAAGGGCCAATCACAGGATACCAAAAATGACTTTATAAGAAACAGTGATAAAGAAACATTAATCAAAAAATATGAAAATCTGTAACATAAGTATAATTAAAAGTATAATTTTGTAATTTTAATTTAGACAAATGGGATAGGGAAATAGGTAGAAAATTAATTTTAACTAGTTCTTTGGTAAGCCAGTACAATAATATTGAAAATCAAAAGTAAAAAAGCTGAAAAGGATATAAAAAACATGGTCAATAACTTTATCTAAAAGTATACAAATGTACATTCAACAAAGAAATATAAATTTTGTCATGTTTTCAAATGTAGGTCATGAACTAGACAACAAAGGAGTAATCAATGTATTCTAAATCATCAATATCATATTATATTCCTCAAAGCCAGCAACAATTAAAATTTTCAGATATTTGGAAATCACTAAGCCCATTATTAAGTAATCTTGAAGTTAGAGAGAAAACAATAGGTGAATTATGAAAACAATGTAGTATAATGATAAATACCTTTAGATATGTAAGTTTTTGAGAATGCATTTAAAACAGAAATTGGAGGTATATTTCTAAATTTAAGTACATTTTTTGGAAAAAACTAAAAATCTAATAAATCATCCTTCTGAAAACCTAGAAAAAGCATACAAGTAAACAAAAAGCACAACAAATTTAAGAAACAAACTAAGAAACAACAGAAGACAAAATATTAAAATGAGAAAATAATTTTTGATATTAGTAGCAACACTAATTAAGAACATAAGGTATGCAGATGAAACAGAATTTTGAAAAAGCTATTAATAGAGATGTAACATAGATAAAAAACGTGGTCTTCAAATAGCAGGAAAAAATGTTTATCCTGGTTCCTTTCACAAATTCCTCCAAACTCTCAAAGATACACAGAAAGCAACAAATATGAACAAACAGAAAATAGAAAAGCACAACAAACTAGACCTGTTCATTTCACACTCTCCTATTGGGTTGGTGTAAAAGTTATTGCGGTTTTTGCCATTAAAAATAATGTCAAAAACAGCAATAATTTTCCACTAACCCAATAACAATATTTTGTTTATAATTTGCCTTTTTCTGCATATGGGACTAATCCAAGTATTTAGTTTCTGTTTGGGCATTATGATTGGGATGGGTTTGTGGGTGGTGGATATATAGAGTGTTGGCACAATTTGCTATGTAGGGTTTGCTCTTAGATATCCAGATAGAGTTACCAGGCAGTAGTCCATCACCTCTCTGAGTCTGAAGGTCTGAGAACAGGGTGGGTCGGAGAATATAGCAAGAACTCTGTGAGGAATTAGAGATATGGGGGTTACACCCTTGACCTACATGTAGCCAGCAAGCCCTATTCAATGTGCTGAGTTTAGAGAAAGGCTCAGACAAGGGCCTAGAGGATGGGCAGGAGAATCCGCAAGCTTCCCAGGGTTCTGCCTGGGCCAGGGCCTTGCCCAGCACAGCCTTGAAAGGACAGAACTGGGGTCCTGCAGTCCACCTCTGTGGGCACCTGGAACTACGACCATCCCACCTGCCCTAGTGTAGACAGGGGCTACAGGAGACGAAGCCTCCGTTTTCTCCTGTATATAATGTGAGGTGCTTAGAGCATGAAACCACAGGGTTCCACATGCTTGGATAGTGTTTGTTGACCTTGGTTTTTTATGAATGACCCCGTGTGTGCTGAGACACTTGGAAAAAGCTATTCACTCTGGGGGTCCTTCGGAGCAGACAGAGGCTTGGTAGTTTGGGTGGATGAGGATTTGGGATAGGACAGAATGTGCCCAGGCACTGGACCCTGTGTCAAAAGTCCCGGAACACGATCGAACTTCATTTGGAAGTTGGGGGAAATTGCTGCCCTGGCTGTGGTGAGGACACCTCGAGAGTGAACTTTACACCCCAGGAACTGGAGGCAAAGAGGGGACAAGAGAGACTGCTGAGGTCCTTCTCACTGCCCTTGGAGCCTGCAGATCCTGCTCGTCTGCCTCCTGGGAACCTGGAGAGCCACTGACTTGAGGAATCCTAAATGCAGTTCCCTGTTTTGTTCTGTGATGCTCCTGCCTGAGGCTGCAGTGCTGATGCTGGCTACAGGGTGGGTGGGAGGACAGTGTTCTGTGTTCCTGGTGCCCACTGTGCTGTTCTCATGCATCTGGGTCCAGGGGAGAGTCATGCTGAGGTCATGCAGTTCCTGTTCTTATGAATGATCTCCACATTATGAGATGGCCAGAAGCAGGAAGGGGCATTTGACATCCTCCCATTTATTCACTCAGCAACTCTGCCCTTAGCATTAGTCCTGTGTGCCAGGTGCCCTGGTGGGCCCAGCATATGGTACTGAAAATGTCCACGTGGTCCCTGACCCTCAGGGGCCCACAGTCTGAGGACAGGTAGACATCAAGCCCCAAGTTGATACCTAGGTGTCGGGTGGACATCACGTCCCAGATGGACACCTCGGCCAGAGGTGGACTTCAGGTCCCAAATGGATATTCGGCCATAGGTAGATATCTGGCCACAGGTGGATAGCCAGTCCCAGGTGGACATCAGGCTCCAGGATGACATCAGTCCCCAAGAGGATATCTAGGCCCCAGGTGGATACCCACTGCGTACTTGTAAATTATCAAGAATTTTTTTTTAAAGCAAGTGAGAGCTATCATAAAACATGATAACTTTTAGTAGATTTTGAATATTCCTAAACTCCATGAGAAATCATAATAAATATTTTAAAAATCAGTGTGTATATGGAATGAGTATTTTTAAATGTATCTTTCATGTTAAAGTATTTAGAATAAAATGTTACAAAAGTTATCTGTGTTATTCGTAGAAAGTGTAGACAATGAAAAAAATCAGAGACTAAAAATACCTATATTTTTGGCTATGAGATAATCGCTGCTATGGCACATTCCTTCTAACCTTATTGCCATAGATTTTTTATACCTAATATTGATTTTATGCCACACATTTTATTACATATGCAATGGAGTATTACTTATTCATTACTAAGTCACAAAGAGTTTGATTGTGTGTATATTTAAAAAGGCAAAGGAGACAAATTTACAAAATTCAGGTTTTTCCACTTAGCATTTTATCAATAAACATGAGTGGTTGAGTGCATATGCATGAGAGATTTGGTTCTGCATTTATTTCGGATGGTCTCATGTCCTATGTGCTTATCACTAAATATGATGCTATTGTAAACCATATGCATTTATTTTTACATATGTCCTTGAACAAAAACATTTACCTTTGATGTTAAAGCAAATAAACAACAACAATCTGTTCTAATGCCAGAGGAACAGCAAACTGAGGGTGATTGTAAAATTATATATATGAATACATCACTTTAGAGGCCACTTAATTTTTTTCCAAGGGGATCTTTGACTATATGTCATTTGTATTTTATTTAATGATTTTATAATTTAACCCCTAAATTATAAATCTAGAATTTAGAAGGTATATTTCCTTACTGAATTACATTTTTGGAAATATTATTTTATATGTGTACAAATATTACAAGTCATTGTAGACACTGGAAAAGTATATTATTATTTAAAGGCAATAAAGATTCTACAATAAACTGGTATACCAAATAAAATTGTTGGTGCATTTTTTCCAGTAGATTTTGTACATATTACATATTTAACCTTTTTTATTCAGCACATATTTTTTGAGTATTTACTAAGTGTCTGCATTACGAACTGAGTTTAAAGAGTGAAATAACAGACATGGCCTCAGACATTAAAAATTAAAGTTAGGTCCCCTATTTATATATTTAAAAATGGTAATTATGAAAACTTGTTGAGATTTTTACCTAGATAACATTACAATAATACACTTGATGTTGTTAATATTTGCAAGTGAGCAAAAAAGAAAATAAAAAGATGGTTTAATTCATTCAATGTACACTTTAAAATTGCAGAAAATAGTCGTTTCTTTGCTTTGCAACTGAATGTCTATGTGTTTTTCTCTGCAACTTGGCTTTTGTGGAGTGAGAGAAACAATTATTCATCCAGCCCAATAAAGGCAGAAGAGTAACAATAAATCTAATATTTTAAATGCTGATCAAAAGATAGTAAACATATTATTTCAGAATACTGAGGTCAATAGGTTGACCTACAAAAAAAGCCAAAGTGACAGTATAACTGAATAATGAAAGGCCCAAAAGAGACAAAATACCTTTTGTTTTGTTACCTCGGTATGACACAACTTACCCTAACTATAAAGACCCTAAATTACCAAGATGGGTGGCTTATAATATGCAGAATAAACAAAGTCATTTCACTTTTAGCATTTTTATTTCTCTAAGAATAAAATGTGTATGAGGAATTTATAAAGAAATTGACACTATATGTTAATACTACAATGAGCACTTTTCGAGAAAAGACTTTTTTACTCTCTTACCAACATCATGTTAGCAGTATTTATTTTCTCCAGAAATAATGCGGCAATAAAAATATCAGTATGTGGGTAAAATTAGTGTAGTTTCTTAAAGAAATGAGTTAGGCCACAGGCTAATTATGTGTATTTCACTGGTTTTTGAATGCCTACAATCATATTCTTTATAAGACACAGAGAAGATTTTCCAAAAAAACAAATATGTGAACCTGAAAAGTAATTACCACTTGATAGTGACAATATGGATAGGGTGAAGGGCGTCATCAGGAAGCAATGAAAAAGACACATTTGCAGTTAAATTTGAAAACCATGATGTTTAACACATATGGTAATAAAGAATACTTTCTCCTGTTTCAAAATTATTATAGAATTCAAGATAGAAGCTAAAATACCTAGGGATAATGATATGGTTAATCACAAATTAAAAATTAAAGGGTATTTTGAGTATTATAAGTTAAGAATGAGAACTTATTACCCAATGAAAAGGGGATAATTCATTATGCTCCATATCCATTGAATTAAAAGGCCCCATAACCTGGGTAATTTAAAAGTTTAATTTTATTTAAAAGTCTTGTTTTGTTCATCAAACTGAAGGGTTTGCCCCCAGAAATATTCTAGGATTGCATATTCCCAACTCTGTATGAAGTATACAAATAATGTTATAAGGGTCACCATCTAAACGTTATTATGTAAATAATTTAGTACCATTTCATTTGCCTTTGTAGATTTAAACATGTAAATGGCTTTCTCATATTAGGAAACATCATTTTTCAAAACCCAGATAAACATAATATATTACAGGAGAATAATTATTTATTTATTAAAAAAAGAAATGCTGGATGCTAAGTCCAAAAGACATAAATTATTTTATACTAATAGCTACTAACATTTTATTCATTAACATATAAAGGTCAAAGATTTTAAAATAATCTTTAAATGATTAGCAACACGTTGATCTCTTTTTCTTTTTTTCATAAACCTTTTTGAGTCTTAAAAATACTAAATTATACAAGCAATATTAAATATTAAATTCAATAAACTTGAATTAAAATATTCAAATTTACTAGAATATGGACATTGGAAAAATGAAAATAAACAGAAGCATAAAGCAGCATATGTAAAATTAAGAAAGCTACTGAGAGTGTTTAAAGTACATATTCATCTGTAGTCTAACTTCTGCCATAAATAATGAGTCTTCTCAGTAAAACACAAATTGTTCATGAAGGGAAAAAACATGTTGTATTAGGGAAAAATGAACATAATTTTTTTAGTACTAACTTGTGCCTCGAATTTTATTTGTTTTTGTATTATGAACTTATGCACTTGATAATTTCTTTTTTCATAAAAAATTGTATTTACAACTCTATTCAAAAGCAGTTTTTTTTTTTTGAGACAGAGTTTCGCTCTTATCACCTAGGATGGAGTGCAATGGTTGCTACCTTTGCCTCCCTGATTCAGGCGATTCTCTTGCCTCAGCCTCCCGAGTAGCTAGGACTACAAGCATGCATCAACATGCCTGGCTAATTTTGTGTTTTTAGTAGAAATGGGGTTTCGCCATGTTGGCCAGGCTAGTCTTGAACTCCTGATCTCAGGTAATCCGCCCACCTTGGCCTCCCAAAGTGCTGGGATTACAGGCAAGAGCCACCATGCCCGGCCTCAAAAGCAGTTTTTAAAAGCAAACACAATATAACACCAAAGTTGACAAATCTATGCTGACCGAGTTTTGCCAGGTTTAAAAAATTATTTACAGAATATGGCATCAAAAATAAGGCAATAACCCAAAATATACCATTAAAGATGTATCCACTCCTACAACTAGAAAGAACTAATCTAACTGGTAGCGAATGATACTTCATTCAGTTTCAGCATGTCTGAAATCTTTTTTTTTTTTTTTTTTTTTTTTTGAGACGGAGTCTGGCTCTGTCACCCAGGCTGGAGTGCAGTGGCGCGATCTCAGCTCACTGCAAGTTCTGCCTCCTGGGTTCAGCCATTCTCCTGCCTCAGCCTCCCAAGTAGCTGGATTACAGGCGCCCGCCACCAAGACCGGCTACTTTTTTTGTGGTTTTTGTAGAGACGGGGTTTCACCGTGTTAGCTAGGATGGTCTTCAACTGCTGACCTCGTGATCTGCCCACCTCGGCCTCCCAAAGTGCTGGAATTACAGGTGTGAGCCACCAAGCTCAGCCTCAGCATGTCTGAAATCTTTAAGGACAAAAGTGATAAAACATGACCTTCATTCTTCATTAGACTCTTAGAACACTTGAAGGAAAATAATTTCCAAAGCACCAATTGGTAAAGAGGTGTAACCTTTCAAAAAGATATTCAGTGTTCAAAATCCAAGAATGCAATATTAGGCTGGGCGCGGTGGCTTACGCCTGTAATCCCAGCACTTTGGGAGGCCAAGGTGGGTGGATCACCTGAGATCAGGAGTTTGAGACCAGCTTGGACAACATGGTGAAACCCTGACTCTACTAAAAATACAAAAATTAGCGAGGCATGGTGGTGTGCACCTGTGGTCCTAGCTGCCTGGGGAGCTGAGGCAGGAGAATTGCTTGAACCTGGTAGTTGGAGGTTGCAGTGAACCGAGATCATGCCACTGCACTCCAGCCTGGGTGACAGAATGAGATTCCATCTCAGAAAAAAAAAAAATGCAGTATCGATATACACAGCTAATATACTGAATGAAAGAAATAGAATAATTTGAAGAGGTATCTTGATGAAAAAGGAGTCATGAAGAAAGTTGTATTCATGTCTCTGAATGAAGAAAATTGCAATGTGAGAAATAGTACTATGACTACTACACTAAAAGCTTATTGCTAACCTGTATTGAGTTATTAACCTGTGTTAGGCAGAGTACCATATAATTTAAACGTGTTATCTCATTTATTGTAGGTACAACATAATTTTGAACTCTGGGATTATAAATGAATTAACTGGAATAAACTTCTATTTAAGTGGTCATCTGTAAATTGGTATCTAGGAACAGGGTGATACAGTGCCCAAGTTTTCTAAGTATTCTTACTAAGTGTTGTTTTTCTTGGATATTGCTCTTTTTTGGTCATTTTGATTTTTTTTTATTTTAGAAAACTAATAAATTCACTCTTCCTGGTTTCATAGAAGAAAAAGTAGTTAAATTCTGTACCTTTACTTTTATTTCATTTTTTCTCTTTTAAAATTATTTTTAATTGGCATGTAATAATTGTACAGGTTTATGGGTTACAGAGTGATATTTTGATATATTTATGCAATGTGTAATGATCAAGTCAGAGTCATTAGCATATCCATTACCTAAATCATTTATTATTTCTTTGCAGGAGAATACTAAAAATCTTTTCTTCTAGTTATTTGAAAACACACAATAAATTCCCTTTAACTACAGTCACCCTGCAGTGCTGTAGAGAACTATAACTTATTCCTTCTCTCCAGCTGTAATTTTGTATGTGTTAACCAAATTTTTCTGATACTCCCCTTTCTCTTTCCCGTATATGGTAACCAATACTCTACTATCTAAGCTTCCATACGTAAATGAGAACATGTAGTTATGTGGTGTTTCTTTCTCTTTTTTTTTTTTTTTTTTTTCTGAGACGGAGTCTCGCTCTTTCGCCCAGGCCGGACTGCAGTGGCGCTATCTTGGCTCACTGTAAGCTCCACCTCTCGGGTTCACGCCATTCTCCTGTCTGAGCCTCTGGAGTAGCTGGGACTACAGGTGCCCGCCACCTCGCCCGGCTAATTTTTTTTTGTATTTTTAGTAGAGACGGGGTTTCACCGTGTTAGCCAGGATGGTGTCGATCTCCTGGCCTCGTGATCCGCCTGTCTCGGCCTCCCAAAGTGCTGGGATTACAGGCGTGAGCCACCGTGCCTGGCCTGTGGTGTTTATTTTTCTATGCCAGGCTTATTTCACCTAAGATAATGCCCTCCAGTTGCATTCATGTTGCCACAAATGACAGGATTTTGTTCTTTATTATAACTTAATAGTATTCCATTATATATGTATGTCACATTTTCTTTATCCATTCATCTGTTGATGGACACTTATGTTGATTCCATATCTTGGCTATTGTGAATAGTGCTGTAATAAACATGGGGGTGCAGGTAAGGCTTTGATATATTGATTTTCTTTCCTTTGGATATATATTGAAAACCATATGATTAAATCAATAAACACAATGAAAGCATTTGGCAAAATTAAACGTTCTTACATGACAAAAGCCTCTAAACAATTTAGTGTGGAAAACATATGCCTCAACACAAAAGGGCGTAAAGACAACCCTACAGCTAAGATCATACTGAACGTGGAAAAGGTGAAAAATGTTACCATGAAAACTGGAGCAAGAAAAGGAGGCCCACTTTCACCAATCATATTTCACATAGTGAAAGTCTTAGCCAGGGCAATTAGGTTAGAGAAAGAAATAAAGGGCATCTGAATTGGAAAGGAGACAGTCAAATTATCCTTGTTTGCAGACAATGTGATCTCATACACGGAAGAAACTAAGGTCTCTACCTAAAACTTCTTAGAGTGATAAATGAATTTAATAAAGCTGCAGGATATAAAATCAACATACAAAAAACAGTAGCATTTCTATATGTTGATAGTAAACTAGCAGAAAAAAAATTAAGGAAGCTATTTCTTTTACAATAGCTACAAAAATGTACTTAGAAATAAACTTAACCGAGGAAGTAAATGATTTCTATAACAAAAATTACAAACATCAATGAAAGAAATTAAAGAAAACACAAAAAAGGAAAGACATCCAGGTTTATGGACTGAAATAATTAATATTCTAAAATGACTCACTATCCTACGTGATTTACAAATTCAGTATAATCACTAGCTTGTATTTTTAAAAGCACCTTAGCTGCATATTCTTAAGTCATTCAAATGGCAATGCCTGGATTTAAGTGTAAGAGGTATTTTTATATCTATTTTATATTGGTCACAATATAGTGTGCTCGACCTCAACTTTGCTCGAAGATTGGAGCAGGTGCTGACAGCGAGGAGAACCCAGACAGTGGGGGCAGGCACTTCCGAGCCTGTGTGGTCACGGGGGCCTTCCCAGGCCCCAAGAGTGCAGAGGTGCCTGGGTCTGCAGCTGTGGCTTGAAAGGCTCCAGCTGTGCCTGGGAGGGTGGGGCTCCTGCCTTCTCCTGGCTCCCAAGAGCACAGGAGTGCCTGGGTCGCAGACCCTCCTTGGGCAGCTGCAGTTGCGCCTGGGGAGTTCCTGCCCTGGCAACTTGGAAGGGGCTGGGCTCCCACTTGTCCCCAGCTGCCACTGGCTCCATAGAGTGTGCAGCCTTGGCCGTGACTCCTCTCTGCGTTTTCCCTGCAGTAGTGCATGGGCGAGGTGCAGGTGGCATGGGGGCCCTGGCTAATGCCGCACAAATGAACCTGATGCTCCTGGGGCCAATCCTGCAAGACCCGGCTGCCAGCGCTGATGGGCTCCCAGATGTGGTAGGAAGCGAAATTGAGGCCGCCATGGAGGGTCTGCACCTGGCAGTGGGTCCTGCCCAGCCATTAGGGGGCGGCGGCGCAGTCAGATGCCTTGGGGACACAGGGAACGGGGTCCTACCACCGCCACTGCTGCTCCTGCTGCTGCTCCTGACAACACTGCCCATGCGGCCCAAGCGCTACTGGCATGATGGCAACTGCCACTCCAGATGGCCAGCCGCTCCCATCAATAGTGTCCATATCTGAGAAGAAAAGTCAGGAAATAAATTATTGGTCAATAAAAATAATAGCAATAATATTCCATGTTAAATTGACTGATCAACAGTGTTTGCTTTTGTTTAGGATTTTGTTTTTTGCTTCATATTTATTAAACACATTTTATTTTATTGAGAACAAAATGTTAGATTTTTGGAAATTCAGTTAGAACTTGTAAGGGTACTCTAGCAATGAAATTCTTAACCAAACAGTTTAGACTCTAGTTTATATTTTATTGGTCAGAAATATTGTGTAATGTTTAAAATCTTAGTATATGTCTACATATGTTTAGTTGCAATTTAACTTTACCTACAGTCAGGTTTAATAGCTATCCTTTTGTGAAAGGATGATATCTTACCCTTAGTAGATCCACAGTGCCTATCAACAATGTTTACTTGCAACATGTTGACAACTAACAGAAGCAAGGTATTAATTTGCTAATAACTTATTATCCTGGGGGACAGTACTATTCATTCCCAGGCACTTAAATTCATACCAAGACACATTTATATATAGCTGGAAAGAAATTAAAGAAAGCACAAAAAAGACATCCAGGACTGTACTATTTTAATTAATTAATTATTAAATTAATGTTTCAATTATCTTTAGTGCTTTCTCATATCAGATTTGTCTGGAATAGTAACATACCAGGACTTCTGCTTTGGAATTTCTTTTTTTGTGAATTTCTTTTTTTTGTGACAACTTAGCATTTTTTTATATCTTTCTATGTTGATACAGTTTTATTATTTCCTTCAAGAATTGAGAGTGTACTTACATATTAAGTATATTAAATTTCCCATTATATCAAATCTTTATTTATTACAAAATTCAAATAAGCTAATAGATCCTAATGTTGCTATTGTTTGCATTTTCCTCTAGCCTAAAATTATTTTTATTTCAATTTTTGGAAAATTATAACTCTTGTTTAATATCATCTCCCAACTCAAAACCAGATAAATAAAGCAATAAAGAAAACAGAGGCTAGGGACAGTGGCTCATGCCTGTAATCCCAGCACTTTGGGAGGCCAGGAATAGTTGATCACTTGAGCCCAGGAGTTCAAGACCAGCCTGAGTAATATAACAAAACCCTATCTCTATTAAAAATACAAAAATTAGCCACGTGTGCTGGTGCGTGCCTGTAGTCCCAGCTACTTGGGAGGCTGAGGCACAGGAATCACTTCAACTTGGGAGGCAAAGGTTACAGTGAGTGGAGCTGGTGCCACTGTACTCCAGCTTGGGTGACAGAGCCAGACCTTGTCTCTGAAAAAAAAAAAGAAAAGAGAAAAAAAAGTTTCCTAATTAGTAAAGATAGTTTATAAACAAGGTCAATAATAAACAAGATGTTTATAATAAAGATTAACAATAAACAAGACGTTTATAAACAACCACAATTACATAAGTTGGAAAACAATCATTTAGGTAAAGTTCTGGTGGTGTCATATGTGCCTGTAGGTGTGATAACATTTATCTATTAATCTTAATGTCATGCAAGGAGAGTATCTTGATTTCTGCAATCCAAATTATTTCTTATTAGTAAATAAAAAATAAGTTTATCAGCTAGCAAATATTGCTTAGAAACTCGAAACACAAAAACATTGATATTATATGTATATATTTGTCAACACTTAAAATATTCTACATTTGTCATTTGCTCAAGTCTGAATGCTTCGGTTAGAAAAAAAACTTCTAAATTTTATTTATAGAAGATCATGATCTGAATTTCATATTCCCAAAGTTAATAAACAAATATAGTTGATAATTTTTCACAGCTGAAAGATAGGCATTATGATATATAAAATAGAAAAAAGTGAAGATTTATGTGGTTTAGCTGAGTCAATGAGTCAAAAATGTGGAATGCTGAAAAAAATGAAATATTTTATCCCATTCATAGAAGCACTTCTTCAAATTATAATTTTCCAGAGATGATCATAGTACACTCAAAATTAATTTTTAAATTTTGGTAACTGCTTTAATAAGGATGATTGAGAAACTGCAGTGTATTAAGAATATAATAGTAGGGAACTAGGAACATCAGCCCTGACTCAGATTTCACCCGTAACTACTGAAAATGATAAAGAGAGGTTGGGATGACGTGATTCATATATTTGAATGTCTATCATGCTGAAAATTTCATTTTATTTTAATTTCTTAATTGAAGGATAAAATTTTATGTATTTATTTTGTACATGATATTCTGAGGTATATTTACATGGTGAGGTGACTGAATCTAGCTAATTAGCATATGTATTACCTTATATTGTTATGAATTTTGTGGTAATTAACATCCAAAATATATAAGAAATTCAAACAACTCAATAGCAAGAAGGCAAATGAACTGATTAAAATATAAGCAAAAGATCTGAGCAGACATTTCTCAAAAGAAGACATACAAATGGCCAAGTAGGCTTATGCAAAAAATGTTCAACATCACTAATTATTATGGAAATGCAAACTAAAGCTCCACTCTGCTGTCATCTCACACCTATTATAATGGTTATTATCAAAAATACAAGAATTAAACGTGTTGATCAGGGTATGGAGATAAGGGAACCCTTGTACACTATTGGTGGGAATATATTAATTTCGTGTAAAAGTAATTGCAGTTTTGCCATTACATTCAATGGCAAAAACTTCAATTACTTTTGCACTAACCTAATAAATTAGTACAGTCTCTATGTATTAAATATTAAGTATTAGGCCGCTAAGTACTATGGTTCTCCAGAAATTTTTTAATTGAACTACTATATGATCCAGTGATCCCACTGCTGGGTATCTACCTATCCAAAGGATATAAAATCAGTATATGGAACAGATATCTGCACTCCCATGTTTATTGCAGTATTATTCACAGTAGTCATGATATGGAATCAACTTGTGTCCATCGACGGGGGGATGGGTAGAGAAAATGTGGCATATACATACAATGAAATACATTCAGCCACAGAAAAGAAGGAAATCCTGTTGTTTGTGAAAACATGGATGAACCTGGAGAATATTATGAGCTAGGCCAGGAAGACAATTATCACATAGTCTCATTCATATGTGGAATCTAAAAAAGTTAACAAGCAGAGAGTAAAATGTTTTTTTTGCCAGCAGCTAATGTGGTTGGGAATGGACTTTGGTAGATGTTGGTCAAAGGATACACAACTACAGTCAGAGAGAAGGAGTAAAATTTCAAGAGATCTATTGTGCAACGTGCTGACTATTGTTAGCAACTTAATGTATTTTTGAGAAATTCTGAGAGTGGATTAGTGTTCTAAACCAAAATAATAATTATGTGAGATGATGCTGGAAACTAATGGAAACATTTCTTTTTGTATGAAGACAGGACTGTGAACAAAGGTGATTGTAGCATTGTTGGTTGAAATGCGGATGAAGGCCATTGGTTTCTTTCAATGTTCTTCAAGAGCTTTGGAATGCCAGGAACCAACGTGGCATGGAGAAAAAAATGTTACATATAGTGTCAGAAAACTCAGTTGATAAACTTCATAAATGCATGAATTTGGGAAGATAATTTACATCTCTCAGGATCAGTTACTTCATACCAAGGTTTATACGTGGGTTATTAGGAAGTCTGATTTAAATAATGTAAGTGAAATGTCTGAAACATAAGTTATTCTCAGTAATATTATAGTTATTTAATACAACATTTTAATGGGCATATGATATTAATGAAACATTAAACTATATTTTAATATTTTAAGAAAATACTTTTACAAAGGAGTTTCATTCTTGTTGACCAGGCTGGAGTGCAGTGGCACGATCTCGGCTCACTGCAACCTCTGCCTCCTGGGTTCAAGCTATTCTCCTGCCTCAGCCTCCCAGGAAGCTGGGATTACAGGCATGCGCCACCACGCATGGCTAATTTTGTATTTTTAGTAGAGACGGCATTTTGCCATGTTGGCAAGGCTGGTTTTGAACTAGTGACCTCACGTGATCCACCCACCTTGGCATCTCAAGGTGTTGGGATTACAGGCGTGAGCCACTGCAGCCAGCAGAAAATAATTTTATTACATTTAAAATACTAATAAAACTTATTTAATCTACATTTTCTTATATTACAAAAATATGGTTGCAATATGAATTCAGATGGTTTACATGTTAAAATTACTAACCTCTGTGGCTGAAAAAGTTACCTATAAATGTTCATTGCCTTTAATTGATATTCATTCATATATGAAAATATATCACACTAATCAAATTGCAGATGTAGTAATAAAAAAGCAAAACTGTGCTATGAGTTTTGAACACTAATTTAATTTGACAGAACTTAAGTGACCAGAAAGAAAATAGAATTATTTGCAACTGCAGAAATTGCTGCTGGGTTAAAATTGACATTGAAAAAGCCTACCTTTTGACACCTCCCTCCCCAACATTGGCAACTGTTGGAATCAGTTGTCATGTTCCCAAGGCAAATTATTGTCCATAATATCACAAAAAGTAATGAGAGCAAAAGAATTTCTGAAAGAACATGAGGCTTTCCTAAGCACTAAACTAACAAAGCTTGAACTTAGCCAAGAAATGGGAAGTTGCAGACACTGCACATTAGCAAAATGTCTTGGCAGAAGATGGACATGCAGAAGTGCAATCACTATCTTATTTATTTTCCACTCTAGGGGACACTAATATGAAAGTGACTAATATTGGATAATCATTCCCAGAACCAATTAAACATAGCATGCCATTTCTTGTGGAGAATATTTCATGCTCAGGGAAATTAAACCATTTTATTATGATTAAGTTTCCTTAGTCAAACATGCTTTAAACTTACATTCTCACACTGTTAACTAGGTGGGTATGAATTTACTTTCCTATGGTGTACAGGTGATTTCTGGAGGAAAATAGCTGAAGTGCTCATGTGGAATGGAACTAGAGTGTGATTCTTTTTGTATTCTACTTTGTATTAACTGAAATATTTAGTGTATTGGTCCCACTTCCCAAGTGAATAAAATGGAGTTCAGAAAGCTTACGTGATTTGCAAATTGAGGCAGAGCTGATAAGACACAGTGTTGTCTTGGCAGTGCAAGTTTCTGACTTCAAATCCGTTTAGAACACACAGTTTTATCTATACAGCATAATTATGACCAGATCTAAAAAATCAAATTCTAAAACAATAGAGACTACTATATTTTGATGATGCTTTACTATATCATCAAGAACAATGAGTAAGGATACATTTAAATGACTTTAGTGTGTTTCATCAGTTTAATTTTTATGACTGCATTGTGAATTATAGGCATTTTAAGCTTATTTTAATTGTATTTTCCAAATGCGAATTGGACAAATATTTAAAATTGTTGTATTCTCAACACAAAAATTGTATGTAAGGCAATGCATATGTTCATTAGCTAGATTTAATCATTCCACAATATATATACTTTAAAACATCATATTGTACACAATATGTACAATAGTATCTACAAATTAAAAATGAAAATAATAATAAATTATGTCTTAGGCAAATATTCACAGATATTGGAAATAATATTTATGCATCTCATTGACTCAATTTATACTAAAAGGCAAATAGCCGTCTTCCTTAATAATAGTTGTAGTATTTTCATAGCCATCTCTGTTTATCTCTGCAGTTTACTGTGGAGCAAATTTTCATACTTCTCTTCAACACTCAGAGGAATACTTCAAAGAAAAATTAAGATATGAAGGTTGGTTGAAGGTTTTATTGGGTAAACTGGGTTCTTTGTGGATAGACGTCATAGCACACAACCGTGTAGCAACTTATACTCAAGTACCATTCAGATATCTCCTCCTCACAAAACGCCTTCTGCTCCCTCGATCCCTTTCTTTAGGCATCTCCTGGTCTCTCATGGGAAGAATATGTAATAATAGTCAAGAGGGCTTGGGAGGAAAACAGACTAGTGTTGGCTAATCCATTACGTACTCTGGGGAAATTGTTTGAGCCATATTCACACCCTGTTAATAAAACCTATCCCATATGGTTAAAATGCGCATCCAATAACATGTCTTTAATGTGTTTAACACAACATCCAGCTAACTGTACCAATTGTGATAATGGTAACAAAGAAGTGGTCTGAAGCAAACAGAGAGGGAAAGCCCTTATTCCACTTCCATAATCTCCATCATTCTTGCCCCAAAGAGTATGTAACATACAATATAATTAAAAATGAGTATAGGACATTTAAGATTTCCAGGCTTATCTTCTGAACAACTTGCCATTAAATTCTTCTGCTGCAGATATTATAGACACTTTATAAAGTAAGCACTCAAAATCCTCGTCTCCCTGGTCATCCTCATGTTTGTTTGCCACTGGCATCCTAGAGAATGAACTGGCCTTCTCAATAACTTTTTTTTTTTTTTTGAGATGGAGTCTTGCTCTTTCGCCCAGGCCAGACTGCAGTGGCACAATCTCGGCTCACTCTGCCTCCCGGGTTCACGCCATTCTCCTGCCTCAGCCTCCCGAGTAGCTGGGACTACAGGCGCCCAGCATGGCGCCTGGCTAATTTTTTCGTATTTTTAGTGGAGACGGGGTTTCACCGTGTTAGCCAGGATGGTCTCGATCTCCTGACCTCGTGATCCGCCCGCCTCGGCCTCCCAAAGTGCTGGGATTACAGGCATGCGCCCCCGCGCCCGGCCCTCAGTAACATTTTGACTTGATCTGTCAAGGTGCTTTCGTCAGTGCTTCTGGGCCGCAGCCGCCACCTACAGCCTCCACAGTGCCCGGCGTCCCGGATCTGGCCCCACTCCAGTTCCTGAGCACCAAGGCCACAGCAGCTGAGGCCCCTGATGGAGGAGCCAAGGCCCTGGGGGTGGTTGCCCGAGTCCCGCGCCTGTCTCCTGAAAGGCCAAGGGTGGCCTGCACCTCGCTGACAGCTGTTCCCTGCACTGTTCAGCCCCTCCTGGGAAGCCAGTGACAGCCCCTGCAGCATGCACTCAGCTGCTCCTGCCCCGCAGGTGGGGCTCACTTGCCTCCAGCCCCACTCCAGCTCCTGAGACTAGAAGGAACCGGACGAGGAGGTGTGCAACCTGACCAAGGTGGTCCTAGCGGGCAGCTTCGCTCCAGCGCTCTTCCGGGGAGGCTGGCTCACTTCTGGGACAGTGGCCAATCCAGGCCTGCGACCACCTGCCGAGCCAGTGACCGACGCCGCCCGACCCTCCCTCGCCCGCCAGGGCCCAACGCCCGCTGGACGAATCCCTGCTGCACAGCGGGCTCTGGTACCTGCGGTGCCTCATTTAACGGGGTGCCAGGGCCAGGCGACTCTGGCTGCACTTTCAGCCCCAAGACTTCTGCGGCTTGGACCCCGCTGTGCGAGCTGCTCAGTGAGATCTGCTGCTGGAGGGGTGGGCTGCATCTAGGAGGGGTTGATGGTGTCTCATCTCTGCAATCCTATGGAATCAGGCTGTCTCAGAGAGGGGAGATGGGCTGTGGATACCTGGCTGGATGGCCTGGACGCAGCCCTCAGCAGCTTGGAGAAGCTGGAGGGCTAGATATCCACAGATGGGCTGGAAGCCCGTGTTCTGTGACACACCTTGTCACAGAAGTCAAGGTGTGTCCTCAAATCTCCCAGCCCCAGAAGCTGACCCTGAAGGGCTGAGGCCAGCACTGGGAGCTGTTCAAGGAACCCATGCAATCCTGCCATGAGAGCCAGGCCACGCCCCAGTGGACACCAGCCCCACACCCTCGGCAGCTCAACCTCAAGGGCTGTGAGGGCATTTCTGGTGTTAGCGCCTCTGGCTGCGAGTTCTGCATCCAACTCACCAAAGGCAAGCGACCCCCACCTGCGGAGCAGGAGCAGCTGGGTGCATGCTGCAGGGGCTGCCACTGGCTTCCCAGGAGGGGCTGCACCATGCAGGGAACAGCCGCCAGCGAGGTGTAGCCTTCCAGCAGACAGGCACCGGGTTCGGCAACCACCCCCAGGGCAGTGGCGCCCTTGTCAGGGGCCTCAGCCTCTGTGGTCTTGGTACTCCCTCCACACCCCCCACCCTGCCCTTCCACAAAAGTTCAAGGCCAAGCAGCTCATCCCACGGATCCTGGAAGCCCCTAGAATGTGGCTTGGCTCTTGCCGACCAGGCCCAGCTGTGCCTCCATCAGGCCTGGCAATGCTTGCCTGACTTTGGCATCTACTACCTCATGGTCAGGCTCAAGAGCAGAAAAGATCCTGGGACTCGTCAACAATCAACAGTTCACATCGACTTGACCATTGGTGATGTGGTGACCTGGGTTTCAGCGATATGTGGTACTGGGATGTCAACTGGGATACCAGCAGGCGGTTATCCACATGGCCTTCAGCTCCATGTCTCCCATCTGTCCAGTTATGCACAACCACATCAGGGGCTACATTTTCCTGTTGATCCAGAGTGGGCCCCTGGGGAGGAGCTGGATGAGGGGATCTCTTTCTGCAGCTCAGGGGTGGAGGCCTTCTAAGGGCTGTCTGACTGCCCTTGTCCTGCTCATCCTCTGCGGCTAGGCTCCCAAGCCCACACCCACTGGGTCTGGCTGCCCCACACCTGCTCCAGGCAGTCACTGAGCTGGGCACGTTCACCTGGTGCCACTGGCTTTGTGCAGGCCAGGGACCTGGCTGAGCCAGATTCTGCCATTATCCAGGCTAGGGACAGGGATCCTGAGCTCATAGGGTGCCCACTTCCCTTGTCCAAGAGGCTGAGGCCAACACCCCGGACCTCTCTGTAGTCCCTGAGCACACAAAGAAGACCAGCTCTAACTATGGGATGATGAGTCCTGGTTTCAAACTGAAGTTTATGTCTTCTTACTTTTAAAAACTAGAAATCACTGTAATTCCCCAGGAAGATAAGGTGTCATGAATGTATTTTTTAAGTGTCGTAGACTTATTGAAGTGAGTTTTGCAGTTCTAGTAATCCACAGGACACATTTTAAAAAACTGAATAATCTACCTTTGTTTCAGTGTCGGGTACTGATCTTGGTATGGCATTGGAAAGTAAACATGATATAAAAAATCGCTGGTCTTATATAATTTATATTCTAGCAGGTGAGAGAAACAAACTGTGTATTAGTAAAATATACAGTGCATCAGGTGGTTCTAAGGAGGAAAACAAAGCAGGGCAGAAAAATGAAGTGCTTAGAAAAACTTAGTAATACGATTAAGGTAGGCACCACTTTGAGGAAACATTAGAGCAAAATGATGAATACGGTAAATGTTCATTGGAAAAAAGTGGAATTTTTGTAAAATGGGAGAAGATGTAGGTGAAGAATTTGACAGTTGTGGATATATTAATTTTGGGATTTCCATTAAATAGTTAATTGGAGATGTTAAGTAAGCATTTAAATATATAAATCTGAAACTCAGAGGAGAGTTCTGGCCTGGATATAAAATGTTGAAAATCATTGTTATATTGTTCTTTTGGGCATGTTCAGCTGCATGGGTGCTGGCAAGGATTAGACACACAGACAGTTGCATTTAACCGAGGTTGTAATTTTGGCAGTAGAGTTGAATAAAGCAAGGGAAAGACAAATGAGTTGAAGTTGCATAAGCTCTAGAAATTTCAAGTTGACAATTAAGTTCAATTTGTTTGAGGAAGATAGATGGGAAGCGAAGGGATTATAGATAGTCAAAAGTTGATAGAAACAGTAGATCATTGTTTCTGTTGAAGCTCACACTTTATTTCTAGATATATTGTTTTATGGCCAAATGGAGATACTAGCATAAAAAATAGAATGGTTTGTATTAAATAACATTAAATGGAAAAGTGTATTTTGAGTTGTCACTTTATATAAAAAAGTTGAAGAGACATAAGAGTTACAGTGATTTACATATCTATAGGGTATTTTTAAAGAGAGATTTGGGGAATGATGAAGGTTAAATGATTAACACACAAACTAAGATTAAATGAGCTGGTCATGGAGACTCATGCCTGTAATCCCAACACTTTGGGAGGCTGAGGTGGGTGGATCGCTTGACCCCAGGAGTTTGAGACTAACCTGGGTAACATAGTGAGACCCTGTCTCTACAAAAAATACAAAAATTAGCCAAGTGTTGTTGCATGCACTTGTAGTCCCAGCTACTGAGGAGGCTGAGTTGGGAGAAACACTTGAGTCTGGGAGGTTGAGGCTGCAATGAGCTATGATTGCACTACTGCACTCCAGCCTGGGTGACAGACTGAGATCCTGTGAAAGAAAAGAAAAGAAGATGACAGAAGGGAGAAAAGGGGAGGAGAGGGGAGGGAGAGAAGAGAGAAGAAGAGAAGAGACTGAAGAGAAGAGAGAAGAGAAGGGAAAGAAAAGGGAAAAAGGAAGAGAAAAGAAAGGAGAAAGGGGAAGAGAGAAAATAAACAACAACAAAAACAACAATCAAATCAAACAACAAATAGATTTACAGAAGCAGAAAGAAAGACCTAAGCTTATAGACCAACAGATTGGAGCTCCAGATGACAGTGCTGAGAAAAAAAATCCCCATGGAATCACATGCTAAAGAATATGTGTTTGATTAGGAACTCCAGAGAAGGGGTAGATGCCAGTAATGAAATGGAAAGAGTAACAAGGGAAGAAAAAGGAAATTAATAACCAGAGTGATCAATAACCAGAGGAAAAAACCCACAAGGTAAACCAATAAATGTAAAATAAGCCAAAAGAAATAAAACCAACTACAGTAGATCAATTGTTTAATGAAATGTGAACAGATGAATTCCCATTAAAAGACAAAGGTCAGCCTGGGTTTAAAAATAAAGTGATAACTGGGCAATATGGTGAGATCCCCATCTCTCCAAAAAAAAAAAAAAAAAAAAAAAAAACCAAAAAATTAGCTGGGTGTAATGGTGCATGCCTGTAGTCCCAGCTACTGTAAAGGCTGAGGTGGGAGGATCACCTCAAACTAGGAGGTCAATGCTGAAGCAAGCTGTGATGTTGCCACTGCACTCCAGCCAGGGCAACAGAACAAGACCCTGTCTCAATCAACACCACCACCAACAAAAAAACCCAGTGATGTATATATACAAGAAAAACACTTAAACAATGATAATGGTGGAAAATAAAAGAATGCCAAGAGATACCAGGAAAGTGCAAAAGCTAAAGTAAAATAAAGAGTGGCCATAATAATAATAGAAGGGTGGAATTTAAGGTTAAGCACTGAAATGGGATAAAGAGGGACACCATGTAATGATGGGCACAATTCATAATGAGAGAACACTCGAAATCTGCATGCTCCCGACAGCATCACAGTAAATACAAAAAGCAAAATCTAGTAAAAGATGAGATTTATAGAGAAAATTATAAAGAACACTCAAAATCTGCATTCTCCCCACATCATAGTAAATATAAAAAGCAAAAACTAGTAAAAGAAGAGATTTATAGAGAAAATTTGAGTGGAAGGCTAAATCTCTGTTAGAACTACAGTAAAAGCCTCCTCCCCCAAAGGATACAAAAGAAGTGACAGCTTGAATAACCAAAAACTTGATTTGGTATATATGGGACCTTATATCCCTTAAATAGAAAATATACATTTTTTCAACGTCTATGAAAATCTTAGAAAAATCATTTGTTTGGCCACAAATAAATTCATAATAAATTTTAAAAGTGGAGAGTTTACACATTTGGAGAAAATGAATGCTTTCCTAGTAAAATATAAAGTGCCCCTAATGAACTAGATAATGAGTAGAAACTTAATTACCACTGATGATAAAAAAATCTGCCACTGAAAAAAGCACCAGGTCCAGACGGTTTCATGAGAAGGAACTGTAGAAACCTTTAGAATTCACCTCTGTCAACACCTTCCTCCTCTGGGAAGCACTCCTGGATTTCCCTCTTGCTGACAAGATCCTGGGAGAGTGGTTTCTCCATCATGTCCCTGACACAGCTCCTTGAAGATGTACCATATCATATCATAACCATATGATATCATATCTGCATACCACATCCTAACTGGATTTGATGGCCAATCTGTCCTGGACAATAAGCTACCTGAGTGTAGGAATCACACTTTTTTATTGGTTCCTAGTGCCTGGTACAGCAGCTGACACTGGCTGACTAGGTGAATACGGTAAGTGAAAAAGCAGAATGCACAATAATCAGTACTCTATGATGCCCCTATGGGAACTCCCCAAGACACACACATAGGAAGGAGAATAAATGAAAAGAAACCAAAATGCTAACAGTAATTAGATTGAGATATCCCCCTATTATCCAAATATTTGTGATGGAGTTAAACAATTTTTATAGGGGTGAATAGTAATTTATACAACCACCTGGGCCAAGGAGTAGAAAAGGAGGAGGAAGACTCAGAGGATCTTCAGGCAGGCCCTTCTGCTACCTCGGCTTCCTTTTTCCGGCCAGGTGGTCCAGCCCCCAGGCAGACATGAAGGCCCTGACAGGGGCCTCTGCCCCACCAGCTTCATGCCTCATAGGGGACCTCTAGCTAGGAGAAGGTGAGGAGATAGGGTAGGCACCTACAGGAGCCTAACCTGGACAGAAGGGTCCTGCGGGTCTTACCTGGCCCAGGCAGCAGCTCTGGAAATTCTATCAACACTAGTTTCCTTTAAACAGAGCCTCCCAAATTTTAGCAAGAGCTCTATGCCCTTCAGCCCCAGGGCCTTAGTCCTGTCGGCCCCATTTTCCCCTCAATATAAACCAACAGCCACTGTCCCCTCACTTTGTGGCCCAGATCCAGCTCTGAGTCTCCCTAGCATTCGGGCATGGAGTCCCAACTACATTCCTGGTGATCAGCTACCCCTGGTCATGATCCTGGACTTTCCTATGCCCCAGAACCTGGCACTGACCATCCATCTAGGCTGGCATTCCATACTAATGCCCACCCCTCCCTCTAATGGAGCTGCCAGCTCAGATATGGGGCCTCCAGAGCTGCTTGTATAAGAAGTTGCAGCAGCCAGGCTCCACCGGCCTGGGCTTTCTCCTTTGGGGGTGGGAATGATGACTGCACCCTGAAATCCCTGAGTCAGGATGGCAGCAGTGGGGAGGAGGCTCAGAGGCCCCTTTATTCCACAGGCTTTTGTCTGGCTTCCCTGGGATTCCTGAGTGGCCTCCTTTGAGGGAGGGGAAGAGTTGTCCCTGCTTACCTCCCCCTTACCCCTCTCTCTCTCCTTCAAGAGGGCTTGCTTTCTGCCCTCTCCTAGGCAGCCATGGAACAGGAGACATCCCTCTCCTGGGACATCAAATTCTCCAACTACACCCTCAGCTGCAGAAGGCAAGGTCACGATTTGGAATTCATGTCTCCTTCCCTGCCGCCCATGCCCACAACAGGGATGGGCACACAGAGGATGCTCAGAAGAATGAGTACGTGCTTGCCTTTGGCTTGTATTCTTCTTGCCGAGTCGAACAGGGTGGTCAACCCTGAAGGCCACCTGGCTGAAACTGAACCTGGTGGCCTGGGTGGGTTTTATGGGCAGGAGACCTGCAACTGTCCTGGACACAGCCATTTCCTGGCAGCGTGACCTTTGACCAGTCACTAAACCTCTCTGAACATCTGTTTGTACTCAAGGCAAATGGAGGTGCCTATGTCTGCCTTCCAACTTGTTAGAAGCTTAACCCTGGGTGCAAGCCTTTGAGTAAGAGGCCACAGTACTGTTAGCCCCTTTGGGACTGTGTCTTACCATATTTTATGTCCCCCGTGTCCAACACAGTGACCAGTACATACCAAGTACTCAGTATGTGAAATTAGAGTGCATGGTGAATGACAAAACTGCGCCATACATGGCAGGAGCTCCTCTCTTCTAGGGGTCTGTGGGCTTGCCCAGTAGCCTGCCCTAAGCCATGAGCCGATGCCCAACAGACAGGTGTCCCCACACACTCCCCAATGACCCTGTGTCACTGCCACCCTCACATCGTTGCCCCCTCTGTTCTGCTCCACCTCTACTTTCTTATGAGATCCCTTCTCAGCAATGATCTCCTGCCCATCCACCTAAACTTGGGGATATTTCCATCTATGACCCTACACCCCCTCTATCCACACCATCTCTCTCCCCTTCTGCCTGTTGTCTACACTCTCGATCCACATCATCACCTTCACTCCTGACCCACTGTCCTCTGCCTTCAGCAACACCCTTGACCAGCTGGCCTTCTGGTGGCCACATTGGATAAGTGTACTATGGCCTTTATCTAACTTGACCTTTCTGTAGCCCCCTTCTTCTGGACACTTCTTGCCCTTTGGGCCAGCACTCTTGTGCTTCTCCTCCTTGATCTGTACCTGCTGCTTCCTCTCAGGCTTCTCTTTTCCTCCCTTTGTCTGGCATCTACCTTCAGGCAGGCCCGGTGTTTCCTCCATCCTACTCTTCCTCAGGTCATCTCCCCTCAGTAAAATCACCACTGTCTGCCCATGAGTGCAAACTGGGAAGCTAGAACTCGGTCTGATTTCCCCTAGATGCCCCTCGACCACCAGACCCTGCCTACTCTACTTCTCAAACCTCCGGTCATTGCCACATGCCCATGGTACCACCAAGGACCTTAGCCATTCTTGCAGCCCTGGCCATGGGGATTTTTTTCTCAATCCCACTCCCTTCTCTGCTAAAAGCCTTACAAAGGCCACAGGATGGCATGCACATTCCTGGCAAGGGCCCATGAGACCATGCCCAGGTGGGCACTAGCCACTCGCAACTTCCTACTCCACTCTTGAACCCGACCCACATGTCCTCTCCTGCTGGCCTCCCATCTAAGAGGGTGAGACCCCCAGGACCATGGCTGTGTCTTAGTTCTCTCTAGATGCAAAAGCTCACCTGGGTCTTGGCAGATGTTCAATTAGTTCATGCCTAGTGATTAGGTGAACAGACCTGGAGGATCATGGTGAGAAAAGGGGATAGAGAGGGCCGGCTTTTCCTGAACCCTCTGAGGAGATAACAGGCAGGCTCACCTTTCAGGATATTCCTTCCCAAAATGCTGCTGGAAAATATAAGATCGAGGTGGAGGTCCAACTAACTCCTGACACTGGACTTTGTTGGGGATGGAGTGTCAGGGAGGCCCACAGCTGACTCCTGAATAAAACACAGTCACAGGGACTGTGGTATTGTTGTGCCCATCACATAGTTGTGGGGGGGGGAACAGGACCAGAGATGCTGAATGACTTGTGGAGGTCACATAGTAAATTAGGGACACAATTGGGGTCAGGGAGCAGCCTCTTTGGCCAATGTCCTAGTTCCTTCCTGCAAAAGTCCCTGGCCCCATCACCTGCACCCCTCCTGCACAGGCCACTGCAACCATGAACCTGCTGGGAGCCAGAGGAGAGATGGGCAGAGGCACTATCCAACAGGGACCCTGGTACTGGGATGATGTCTTCTCAGAAGATGCTGGGACCTGGGATGCCACGTTCACCTTAGGGCCTGGCCCCTGGGATGTTGGCCCTTGGGTAGACCTGCAGAGCACTGGCTCATAGGTAAAGGGCTGCCACTCCTCTACCCTCCTCAACACACACTCTGTGCACTCTGTCTGAGCCAGACCCTGGGCCAGAAGGGAGGTTCAAAGGGCATGGCCATTTCCCAACCTCCAGGGGCACCTTTCAGAGGGGGAGACACTCCCACCATCACCAGGACAGAGAATGTGGAGAGGCCTGGAAGTCTGCCACCACGAGCCTATGCAGGAAACAGAGGGATGCCAGGACAAGAGCACTGGCATCCAGCCACCCATCCCAGAGATGCTGCCTGGCCGACTTTCAGGGGCTCCAGACAGGGACCCGCCTAGTCCCCATGCCCTCCTGCCAGGTGCTGTTTTCTAGCCTGGTCACAAGGTGACAGACTGCCTCTGCAGGAGCCTGAGTGAAGGTGGCACAGACCTGGAGGGAAGCAGACCGAGGCCTACCCAGACAGTCTGGGTGGACCACCTGCTGCTGCCAAGCACTTCCAAGCCTCCCCTTGCATAAGGCTGACAGCAACCCTAATTGTGTATTGTGCTTACACACAGGGATGTTGGGCCTGGAGGAATTAAGTGGCTGTCAGCAGCTGGCAGGTGACCCAGTGGAGTCAAATTCACGTTTTCCTGGTCTCAAAACCTGAACTCTGCCTTATAATGAGAAGGGTGGATGGAAGACCCATTAGCAGGCTCAGGGGAATGGTGCCTCCTTCCTCTGGGAATCCGGGACTCAGTCCTGGCACATAGCAGGCATCAATGTTCATCGTAATGACATCAAATACAAAGAAAGAAATCAAAGGCACCCAAGGTTCAGAGGTAATCTGTCCACCCCACTCCCTTTGGGCTAAAGAACAAGCCAAGACCCTGAGAAAGGAAGTGAAAGTGAGGAAAAGAGGAGGCCAGTGCAGAGGCCACATCCCACCCAGCATCCATCCATCCCAATCTCATGTGGCTTCAGGAATGAAAGCCCAAATTGGGAGCTGACCAGAATGGCCCAAGTTTGTGCTCCAACTGTTCCCTGCACGTTGGAGTACTCCCAACTGGGCACTGAGCTACGTGTGGACTGCCTGTGTAATGAAGGGAATGCGAGGATGGACTTGGAAGCACCTTCTGTGTCATCTGTCTGCATCTTTTTTGCAGGTGAAGGTGCAGGACCCCATCCACACCTCACCAGATTATATCCTCTCCCCTACCTGACCTTATTGCTGCTCACACTCTCCATCCCTAAATGTAATCCCAATACAAGGGAGCAGTGTCCTCCTCACGATGGGAGGCACCTGCTTGGCTGGAAACCCAATCCGAGGTAAATTCAAGGAGCCCTGTGGACAGGACTGCTAGGGTCTTTCTCTGGGATGGCCACAGGATAATGAAGCACTGGGAGTTGTCTGTTCTTGGGTGTGGTGTGGTCCTTTTCTTTCTAGATGAGTGGCTTCTTTGCAGAGGGAGGTGACTTAAACCCCGGCGGGTCTCAGCCAGCCTCCCAATTCATCGCGGATTCAGGAACCACGGAAACACAAAGGACACAGAGTCCCACAGCCCAAACAAAGCCACACAGACAGGCCACAAAAAGGTGGGGGAAAAATCTGTAGTGAGTTAGCCGCATTTCTTTAAGCCGACTCCACTTACAGGCGCGCACACACACACGTACACACATACACAAAGCCACACACACACGCAGACATCCAACACTTGCAACACTCCCTCAGAAACACACAGCCCGGCAGCTTCTGAGGCTGAGTGATTCTGAAGGAAGCCCCACCTGGGAGACAGCAACCCCGCGGAAAACAGGGGGCTATACCTAGAAATCAAAGTGGGCAAGTTTCAAAAAGACTCACCCCTACAACGACTAGACAGGCCTGAGGCATCCTTCAGATCCTTTTGGATCCCTAGGGATTTCGCGGTTTACTCCTGGGGCTCTGCCTGACGTTTCTTCAGGCTCGCTCACATCTGCCCTCTCCTAGGATCCTCGGACTATCCTGTGGATCCCACGGAGAAGACAGGCGAGAGTCCACCGCCTTTGCACCTCCACGGTGGTCTCCTTCCCAGCTAAGCCGCAGGGATTTGTCATTAGGTAACAGTGGCATTCATTGTGATGCTAGCCAGAGCTCACAGCTCAGGCCTGGCGCCCTGAAACTAGCGCATGCGCATTAGCGAGGCGGACCGGGGCGCCCGGCTGTCAGAGCTGTCAGCCTGCCCAAGCAGAAGAAAATGGTACAGGCAGAGACGGCCTGGTATCGGGAGAAAGGCTGCCTTCCATAACCCATTGCGGGACCCTAAAAGTCTTGACCTTAGGGCCCCCTCGGGTCGTCTCTGTTGTCGGGTCCCGCTGGAGGAGGAGGCGTTTCAAGAGTGTGAGTTGGTTGCTGGAAACTGCTCTTCTGACTCCCTTCCTGAAAGAGGCTGTTTGCAGGAATCGGGTCCCATGGGGATTGGAATATAGTCTGGTGAGTTGTTGAGGGGTCTTTGGGTGATGGAATCTAAACTGAGACCCCAGAGGCGGGTGTCAGCAAAAGATGGCCGGGCCCTTGGCCTCACTGCCTTACTTCATCCCGGGCCTCGCAGAGGATCTCTGGGAAAGGCAGAAACCGCGACAAATGCAAGTCCAAGGTAGAGCAGTGTTCTCACACTTCGAACTGGCCTCTCATGGCTGCAGATGAGGTTGAGACATTGTCTCAGAGGTTGTCTGTGGTGATTGCAAGCCTGAAAAGGGTGCCCAGCAGTGCTGTGGACGGGCACTGTTGACCCCCCATGAAAGCCAACAAAAATCAAGGCTTGCCTGAGAGAACGAGCTGACTTGCGCTGGAGTCCAACCAATGTTCAAAGCTTCCTGTCAGAAAACCCAAAACCCTCCTGCAAAGTGCAAACAACCTCAGCCCCAAAAGGAGACCACGACCCACAACCTGGAGGGCAGCCTGATTACCTGAAGTCCCTTTTGCTGCCTGAAATCCCTCGCAGCCAAAAGATTTATGGCGAGAGGCAGTCCCACCTAGCAACAGCCCAATGAAAGAACCTCCACAATGAGAAAGGACGTGCAGATGAGATGAAACAGAGCCTAGATTACCAGGCAAAAGCCAGACATGGCTGCCTGCTACTCATCCTATAGGAATCATGCAGCCCTTCAATAGAAGTGGGAGAACAAGAGTTTCCTTGTTGGTGAATGTAATGGGAATTTACGGTTTTAAAATTATAACAGCTGCCAGTCATTAAAACGTGACAGCGTTTAGAAGAAAACACTCATGTAATGGATTCCCATGAGGATCGTCCTCTGTGAACTGTGAAACATTTAGTGTGTAAGACGTTGAGCCAGCCCCAGGAAACCCTAGGCCGATGAGGAACATGGAAGTCAGCAAAAGAAGAGGCAAGTGCGGTGGCCACATCCCACCCAGCATCAACCCATCACACTTCCATTTGGCTCTAGGTATAAAAGCCCCCAAATTGGGAGTTTGTCAGGATGGCCTCAGTTTGCACTCCAAATGTTCCCTGCACCTTGGAGTTTTCCCACCTGAACACCGGGCCATGGGTGTACTGGTTGTGCAATTAAGGGACTGAGGGGATGCAGCTGGAAGCACCTTCATCTGTCTTCACCTTTTTTGCAGGTAGAGGTGTGGGACCTCATTCACCCCACAACAGATTGTATCCTCTCCCCTATCTGACCTTATTGCTGCTCACACTTTCTGTCCCTGAATGAAATCCGAAGATGATGGAGGAGTGCCCCCTCACGACGGGAAGTACCTGCTCGGCTGGGAACTGAATTCGATGTAAATTCTGCCCTGCGGACAGAACTGCTAGTGTCTTTCCCTGACTTGGACGCAAGACGGTAAAACACTGGGAGATGTCCTTTCTTGGGTGTGGTGTGCTCCTGTTCTTTCTAGAAGAACATCTTTTTTTTTTTTTTTTTTTTTTTTTTTTTTTGCAGTGGAGGTGATTTTGACCCAGGCCGGTCTCAGCCAGCCTCCGAATTCACTGCGGATTCATGATCCACAGAAAGATAAAGAGCACCGAGCCGCGCAGACCAAGCAGAGCCACACAGACAGGACAACATAAGGTTGGGAGACTCAAAAAAAAAGAAGCGCTGCAGTGCATTAGCCACATTCCTTTAAGTCGACTACACTTACAGGCACATACACACACACACACACGCAGACTTCCAACACTTGTAACACTCCCACAGAACACACAGACCGGCAGCTTCTGAGGCTGCATGTTTCTGAAGGAAACCCCACCTAAGAGAGAGCAACCCTGAGGAACACAGGTGGGCTGTATCTAAAAATCACAGTGGGGCAAGTTTCAAAAAGACTTACCCCTACGATGACTAGGCAGGCCTGAGGCATCCTGCAGATCCTTTTGGATCCTTAGGGATTTTGCGGTTTATTCCTGGGGCTCCTGCTTGGCGTTTCTTCAGGCTGGCTCACGTCTGCCCTCTCCTAGGATCATGGGACTATCCCGTGGATCCCACAGAGAAGACAGGCGAGAGTCCACCGCCTAGGCACCTCCACAAAGTTCTCTGTCTCCGCCAAGCCGCAGGGATTTGTCGCTAGGTGACGGTGGCATTCATTGTGACGCTAGCCAGAATTTACAGCTCAGGCCTGGCGCCCTGAGACTAGCGCATGCGCTTTAGCGAGGCAGTCTCGGGCGCCCAGCTGTCAGAGCTGTTAGCCTGCTTAAACAGAGGAAAATGGTACAGGCAGAGCTGGTCTGGTATCAGGAAAAAGGCTGCCTACGATAATCCACTGCAGGACCCTAAAAGTCTCGACCTTAGGGCCCCCTCGGACCGTCTCCAAGGTCGGGTCCCGCTGGAGAAGGAGGCATTTCGAGAGTGTGAGTTGGTCTCTGGAAACTGCTCTTCTGACTCCCTTCCCGAAAGAGGCTGCGTTCAGGAATCGGGTCCCATGGGGATTGGAATATAGTCTGGTGACCTGTTGAGGGGTCTTTGGGTGATGAACTCATACCTGAGACCCCAGAGGCGGGTGTCAGCGAAAGATGGCCGGGCCTTTGACCTCATTGCCTCCCTTCATCCTGGGCCTCGCAGGGGCTCTCTGGGAAAGGCAGGAACTACGGCAAAGGCAAGTCCAAGGCGTAGCAGTGTTCTCACACCTTGAACTGGCCTCTCACGGGTGCAGAGGAGGTTGAGACATTGTCTCAGAGGCCGTCTGTGGCGATTGCAAGCATGAAAAGGGTGTCCAGCAGTGCTGTTGAGGGGCACTGTTGACCCCCCCCGCCCCCATGAAAACAAAGGAAAATCAAGGTTTGCATGAGAGAACGAGCTGACTTGTGCTGGAGTCCAAGCAACGTTCAAGGATTCCTGTCAGAGGACCCAAAAGTCTCCTGCAAAGTGCAAACAACCTCAGGCACCACAACGAGATCATAATACACAACCTGGAGCATGGCCTGCCTACCCGAAGTCCCTTTTGCTCCCTGAAATCCCCGGCAGCCAATAGAACTGTGGCGAGAGGCAGTCCCACCCAGCAACAGCCCAATGAAAGAGCCTCTCCACTATGAGAAAGGACGTGCAGATGAAATGAAACAGAGCCTAGATTACCAGGCAAAAGCCAGCCATGGCTGCCTGCTTTTCATCCTATAGGAATCATGCAGCCCTCCAATAGGAGTAGGAGAACAAGAGTTTCCTTTTTGGGGGATATGGTGAAAATGCTTTGTGATGTGTGGATTTATTACATAGAGTTAAACATTTGTTTTGATTCAGAAGGTTGGATACACTCTTTTGAAATGTCCCCTCATTTGGAATGTCCCCTCATAGATTTGTACAATCTTTTGAAATGTCCCCTCATTTGAAATGTCCTCTCATAATTTTGTACTGTCTATGAGGGAACATTTCAAAATTTTTTGAGGCATATAGTGAAAAACTGAATATCCTGGGATAAAAACTACAAAGAAGCTATGTATGAAAATGCTTTCTGATGTCTGATCTCATCTCACAGAGTTAGCCTTTCCTGAGATTCAGCAGGTCAGAAACACTTTCTTTCTAGAATCTACGAGGGAACATTTTTGAGCAAATTGAGGCCTATAGTAAAAAACTGATTATCTTGTGATAAAAACTAGAAACAAGCCTTCAGTGAAATGATTTGCGATTTCTGGATTCATCTTATGAAGCTAAATCTTTGTTCTGATTCAGCAGTTTTTAAGACTTTTTTTGTAGAATCTGTGAAGGGACATTTGGCAGCCCTTTGATACCCATTGAGAAAAACATAATATCCCCTGATAAAAACTTCATGCAAGCTGTCTGTCAAAAGGCTTTAGAATGTGTGTATTTATCTCACAGAGTAAACCTTTGTTTTGATTCAGCAGGTTGGAAGCATGTTTTTTGCAGAATCTAAGAAGAGACATTTCAAAGCACATTGAGGCCTATAGTGAAAAACTGAAAATCCTGTGATAAAAACTACAAACAAGCTGTCTGTGAAAATGCTTTGTGATATGTGAAATTATGTCACACATTTAAACATTTGTTTTAATTCAGTAGTTTGGAAACACTCTTTCTGTAGGATCTACGAGGAGACATTTCGGAGTCCATGCAGTCCTATAGTGAAATAACAAATATCCCATGGTAAAAACTAGAAACAAGCTATCTGTGAAAATGCTTTCGGATTTGTGGGCTCATCTGAAAGAATTAAACCTTTTTTTTGATTCATCAGGTTGGAAACACTCCTTTTGTAGAATCTACTAATAAATTTTGTGGAACCCATTGAGGCATATAGTGAAAAACAAAATATTCTGTGATAAAAACTAAAAGCTTGCTATCTGTGAATATGCTTTGTGATGTTTGGATTCATCTTACAAAGGTAAAACTTTCTTTAGATTGAATAAGTTAAAAACACTCTTTTTGTAGAATCTGAAAAGGAAAGTTTCAGAGCCCATTGAGGCCTATACTAAAAAACCAAATATTTCACGATATAAAGTAGAAACAAGCAATCAGTGAAAACACTTTGCTATGTGTGAATTCATCTCACAGAGTTAAACTTTTTTTTTTTTAGTAGGTTGGAAAAACTCTTTCTGTAGAATCTGCGAAGGAACTTTTTTAAGCCCATTGAGGCATATAGTGAAAAACTGTGTATCCTGTGATAGAAACTAGAAACAAGCTATCAGTGAAAATGTTTTGCAATGTGTGGATCTATCTCACAGAGTTAAACCTTTGTTTTGTTTCAACAGGTTGCAAACACTTTAACTGTGGAAACTATGAAGAGCCTTTTCGTAGTTCATTAAGGCCTATAGTGAAAAATTGATTATCCCACGATAAAAACTAGAAACCCTATTTGTAAAAATGCTTTGCAATGTGTGGATTCATCTCACAGAGTTAAACCTTTGTTTTCATTCAGCAGGTTGGAAACACTTTTTTTGTAGAATTTCAGAAAAGTTATTTGGAAGCCCATTGAGGCCTATAGTGAAAAACTGAATATTTTCAATAAAAAAACTAAAAGAAAGCTTTTTGTGAAAATGCTTTGCAATCTGCGGATTCATCTCACAGTGTTAAACCTTTCTTCTGATTCAGCAGATTGTTAACACTTTTTTTTGTAGAATCTAGGAAAACATGTTTCAGAGCCCATTGAGGCCTATAGTGAAAAACAGAATATCTCATGATAAAAACTAGAAGCAAGTGATCTGTGAGAACACTTTGTGATATTTGGATTTATCTGACAGAGTTAAACCTTTGCTGTGATTCTGCAAGTTGGATACACTCTTTTTGTACAGTCTACAAAGGTACATAGACCCATTGAGAAGTATAGTGAAAAAACGAATGTTCATCAATAAAAACTAAAAAGAAACTATGTCTGAAAATGCTTTGCAATGTGTGATTTCATCTCACAGAGCTAAACCTCTCTTTTACTCAGCAGATTGTGAACACTTGTTTTATAGAGTATACAAAGGGACATTTCACACCCATTGATGCTTATAGTAATAAACCAATATTTTGTAATAGAAACAATAAAAAATATATCTCTGAATACGCTTTGCCATGTGTGGATTCAGCTCACAGAGTTAAACCTTTGTTATTATTCAGCAGGTTGGAAACAATTTTTTTGGAGGATCTAAGAAGGGACACTTTGGAGGTCATTGAGACCTGTAGTGAAAAACCGAATATCCCATGGTAAAAACTAGAAACAAGCCATCTGTGAAAATGTTTTACATTGTGTGGATTCATTTCACAGAGTTAAACCTTTTTTCTGATTCAGCAGATTGAAAACTTTCCTTTCGTAGATTCAACAAAGAAACATTTCAGAGCCCATTGACAAACCGAACATCACACAATAAAAACTAAAAACAAGCTATATGTGAAAATACCTTGTGATGTGTGGATTTATCTCACAGAATTAAACCTTTGTTTTGATTCAGCTCTTTGGATACACCCTTTCTGTACAATCTATGAAAAGAGTTTTAGAAGCCTGTTGAAGCCTACAGAGAAAAGTTGAACATCCCATTATAGCAATAACAAATAACTGTGTCTGAAAATTATTTGCAATGTGTGATTCCATCTCACAGAGTTACACCTTTTTGTGATTCAGCACGTTGATGAACAACCCATTATCCCATGATAAAAACTAGAAACAGCCTCTAAGTAAAAATTTTTTGCAATGTGTGGATTCATCTCATAGATTGAATCCTTTGTCTTGATTCAGCAGATTGGAAAATATCTTTTTGTAAAATCTACAAAGGGATATTTTGAAGCCCATTGAGGCCCATAGTGAAACACTGATTATCCTGCAATAAAAAGTAGAAACAATCTATCTTTGAAAATGCTTTGCAATATGTGGATTCATCTCACAGAGTTAAACCTTTGTATTTATTCAACAGGTTAAAAAAAAACTTTTTTAAATAGAATATACAAAGGACATTTCATACCCATTGATGCCTATAGTAAAAAACCGAATATTTTGCAATAAAAATAACAAAAATTCTATCTCTGAAAATGTTTTATGATGTGTGGATTCATCTCAAAGAGTTAAATCTTTGTTTTAATTAAGCAGGTTGTAGACAGTCTCTTTGTAGAATCTAAGAAAGGATATTTTGGAGCCCATTAGGGCCAATAGTGAAAAACCAAACATCCCACAATAAAAACTAGAAAAAAGCTACCTGTGAAAATGCTTTGTGATGTTTGGATTCATCTGATAGAGTTAAACCTTTGTATTTATTCAGCACATTGGAAACAGTCTTTTTGTACCATCTCTGTGGGACATTTCAGAGGCCATTGAGGCCTACAGTGAAAAATTGAATATCCCACTAAAGAAACTAGAAACAACCTATCACTAAAAACTCTTTGCCATGTGTATATTTATCTCACAGAGTTAATCCTTTGTCTTGATTCAGCAGTTGGAAACACTCTTCTTGTAGAATCTGCAAGGGTACATTTTGGAGCCAATTTTGGTCTACGGTGAAAAACCAAATATCCCACAATAAAAACTAGAAACAAGCTATCTGTGAAATTGCTTTGTGATGTGTCAATACTTCCCACAGAGTTAAACATTTGTTTTGATTTAGCAGGTTGGAAACACTCTTTTTATAGAATCTATGAAGGGACATGTCAGAGTCCATTAAGGCCAAGAGTAAAACACTGAATATCCCACGATAAAAACTAGAAAGAAACTGTGAAAATGCTTTGCGATGTGTGGATTCATCACAAAAAGGTAAACCTTTGTTTTGATTCAGCAGGACGGAATCACTCTGTTTGTCCCTTTGTCTACAGAGTGACATTTCAGAACCCATTGAGGCCTACAGTGAAAAACTGAATATCCCACAAGGAAAACTAGAAACAAGCTATCTATAAAAATGCTTTGCCATGCAGAGATTCATCTCCCAGAGTTAAACATTTGTTTTGATTGAGCAGATTAAAAAGACTCTTTTTGTAGTATCTACAAAAGGACATTTTGGAGCCCGTGGACGAGTATAGCAAAAAATCAAATATCCCGCAACGTAAAATAGAGAAAAGCTATCTGTGAAAATGCTTTGAAATGTGTGGATTCATTTCACAGAGTTAAACCTTTGTTTTGATTCAGCAGGTTGGAAACTCTTTTTGTAGAATCTGTGAAGTGATATTTCAGAGCCCATGGAGAAGTATATGGAAAAAGCAAATATCCTTTGATGAAAAGGAGAAACAAGCTATTTGTGAAAATGGTTTGGGATGTGTGGATCCATCTCACAGGGTTAACCCTTGTTTGCAGGCTGGAAACACTCTTTTTGTAGATTCTATGAAAGGATATTCCAAAGTTAATTGAGGCCTGTAGTGAAAAGTTGACTATCTATGATGAAAACTAGAAACAAGCTATCTGTCAAAAGGTCTTGTGATGTGTGGAATAATCTCTCATAGCTAAATCTTTGTTTTTATTCAGCAGGTTGGAAACGTTCTTTTTGTAGAATATACCAAGAAACATTTTGGAGCCCATGGATGAGTATATTGAAACATTGAATATCTTGCAATAAAAACTACAAAGAAGCTATCTGTAAAAATTCTTTTTGTTGTGTGGATTCATCTTACAGACTTAAACACTTATTTTGATTCAGCAGGTTGGAAACACTCTTTTTGTAGAATCTGCTAAGGGCCATATCAGAGCCCATTGAGGCCTACAGTAAAAGACCAAATATCCTGCCATGAAAACTAAAAACAAGCTATCTATGAAAATGCTTTGCATTGTGTGGATTCATCTCACAGAGTTAAACCTTTTTTTCAGTCAGCAGGTTAAAAAAACTCTTTTTGTATAATCTACAAATAAATATTTAAAAGCCTATTGAAGCCTGTAGTGAAAAACAAAATATGTGGAGATAAAAACTAGAAACAAGCTGTCAAAATGCTTTGCAATGTATGGATTCATATCACAGAATTAAAACTTTGTTTTGATTAAGCAAGTTGTAAACAGTCTGTTTGTAGAATCTACAGGACATTTTGGTGCACATTGAGGCCTATAGTAAAAACTGAATATCCCATATCAAAAATGAGAAACAAATTATCTGTGAAAATCCTTTGTGATGTGTGGATTCAACTCATAGAGGTAAAACTTTGTTTTGATTTAGCCAATAGGAAACACTCTTTCTGTAGAATCTATAAAGGGACATTTCAGAGCCCATAGAGAAATAAATGGAAAAAGTGAATATTCTTTGATAAACAGTAGGAACAAGCTATCTATGAAAATGCTTTGGGATTTGTGGGTCCATCTCAAAGAGTTAAATGTTTGTTTTGATTCAGCAGGCTGGAAGAACTCTATTTGTAGATTCTATGAAAAGACATTACAAATCTTATTTAGGCCTATGGTGAAAAGCTGAATATCCCGTGATGAAACTAGAAGCAGGCTATCGATCAAAAGATATTGTGATGTGTGGAATCATCTCTCAGAGTTAAACATTTGCTTTTATTCAGCAGGTTGGAAACACTTTTTGTGGAATATATGAAGGGACATTTCAGAACCCATAAATGAGTATATTGAAACACTGAATATAATATCCTGCAATAAAAACTAAAAACAAGCTACCTCTGAAAATGCTTTGCATTGTGTGGATTCATCTCACAGAGTGAAATATTTATTTCGATTCAGCAGGTTGGAAACACTCTCTCTGTAGAATCAACTAAAGGCCATTTTGGAGCCCATTTAGGCCTACAGTGAAAGAACAAATATCCTGCGATAAAAACTAGAAGCAAGCTATCTGTGAAAATGCTTCATGATGTGTGGATTCATCTCACAGAGTTAAACCTTTGTTTTAATTCAGTAGGTTAAAAAAAATCTCTTTTTGTAGAATCTACAAAGAAACATTTCAAAGCCCATTGAAGCTTGCAGTGAAAAACAAAATATGTGGAGATAAAAACTAGAAACAAGCTATCCGTCAAAATACTTTGTGATGTGTGGATTCATATTACAGAATTAAAACTTTGTTTTGATTAAGCAGGTTGTAAACAGTCTGCAGAATCTACAACAAGACATTTTGGTGCACATTGAGGCCTATAGTAAAAACTGAATATCCGCATTAAAAATGAGAAACAAGCTATCTGTGATAATGCTTTGAAATGTGTGGATTCAACTCACAGAGGTAAACCTTTGTTTTGATTTAGCATTTAGGAAATGCTCTTTTTGTGGAATCTATGAAGGGACATTTTGGAGCCCATGGAGAAGTAAATAGAAAAAGCGAATATCCTTTGATAAATAGTAGAAACAAGCTATCTATGAAAATGCTTTGGGATGTGTGGATCCATCTCACAGAGTTAAATGTTTGTTTTGATTCAGAAGGCTGGAAATCCTCTTTTTGTAGATTATATGAAAGGACATTACAAAGCTCATTGAGGCCTATAGTGAAAAGCTAAATATCCTGCAATGAAAACTAGAAACAGGCTATGTGTAAAAAGGTACTGTGATGTGTGGAATCATCTCTCAGAGTTAAACCTTTGTTTTTATTCAGCAGATTGGAAACACTCTTTTTGTAGAATATACAATGGGACATTTTGGAGCCCATAAACAAGTACATTGAAACACCGATATCCTGCAATAAAAACTAAAGACAAGCTACCTCTGAAAATGTTTTGCATTGTGTGGATTAATCTCACAGAGTTAAACATTCTTTTTCATTCAGCAGATTGGAAATTCTCTCTTTGTAGAATCTACTAAAGGCCATTTTGAAGCCCATTTAGGCCTACAGTGAAAGACCAAATATCCCATGATAAAAACTAGAAACAAGCTATCTGCAAAAATGTTTTGTGATGTGTGAATTTATCTCACAAAGTTAAACCTTTGTTTTAATCCAGCAGTTTGGAAAACTCTTTTTGTAGAATCTATGAAGAAACATTTTAAAGCATATTGAAGCCAATAGTGAAAAAAAAGTGGAAATAAAAACTAGAAACAGGCTATCTGTGAAAATGCTTTAGAATGTGTTAATTCATATCACGGAGTTAAACCTTTGTTTTGATTAAGCAGGTTGGGAACAGTCTGTTTGTAGAACCTACGAGAAGATATTTTGGTGCACATTAAGGCCTACAGTGAAAAACCAAATATTTCACAATAAAAATGAGAAACAAGCTATCTGTGGAAATGCTTTCCAATGTGTGGATTCATCTCATGGAGTAAAACCTTTGTTTTGATTCAGCACATGGAAAGCACTCCTTTTGTACAATCTACAAGGGGACATTTGGGAACCTATTGAGGTCTATAGTGGAAAACCAAATATCCTGTGATAAAAACTAGAAACAAGCTATTTGTAAAAATGCTTTGCAATGTGTGGATACATCTCACAGATTTAAAGCTCTGTTTTGTCAGCAGATTGGAAACACTCTTTTTGTAGAATCTATGAAAGGAAATTTGGGAATCCACTAAGGCCAATAGTGAAAAACTGAATATCCAGTGACAAAAACTAGAAAAAAGCTATCTGTGAAAACGCTTTGCAATGTGTCAATTCATGTCACAGAGTTAAACCTCTATCTTGATTCAACAGGTCGGAAACACTCTTTTTGTAGAATCTAAGAAGGCACATTCAGAGAACATTGGGCCCTACAGTTAAAAACCTTATATCTCAAGATAAAAACTTGAAACAAGCTATATATGACAATGCTTTGTGATGTGTGGATTCAACTCACAGAGTTAAGCTTTTGTTTTGATTCAGCTGGTTGGAAATATTCTTTTTATAGAATCTATGAAGGGACATTTCAGATCCCATGAAGAAGCATATGAAAAAAACCAACATCCTGTGACGAAAACTGGAAACAAGGTATTTGTGAAAATTCTTTGAGATGTGTGGATTCACCTCACAGAGCTAAACCCTTGTTTTGATTCAGCAGGCAAAAATCTCTCTTTTTGTAGGCCTGAGTGGACATTTTGGAGCCCACTGTGGCCTGTAGTGGAAAAATGAATACACACGATAAAAACCATAACCAAGCTATCTGTGAAAATTCTTTATGATGTGTCATTTCATGTCACAAAGTTAAAACTTTGTTTTGATTCAGCAGGTTGAAAGCACTTTCTTTTTGTAGAATCTATGAGGGGGATATTTGAGAGCCTATTGAGGTCTGCAGTGAAAAACCAAACCAAATATCCAGTGATCAATACTAGAAACATGCTATACGTGAAAATGCTTTGTGATGTGTGGATTCATCTCACAGAATTAAACCTTTGCTTTGAGTAAGCAGGTTTGAAGCACTCTTCTTGTAGAAACCATGAAGGTACATTTTAAAGCCCATTGAGGCCTATAGTCAAAAACTGATTATCCTGCAATAAAAACTTGAAACAAGCTGTCAGTGAAAATGCTTTGTGATGTGTGGATTTCTCTCACAGAGTTATACATTTGTTTTGATTCAGCCAGTTGGAAACACTCTTTTCATAGAATCTATGAAGGGACATTTCAGAGCCCTTTGAGGCCTATATTAAAAAACTGAATATCCCACAATTAAACCTAGAAACAACCTATCTGTAAAAGTGTCTCATGATGTTTGGAATGATCTCTCAGAATTAAACCTTGGTTTGATTCTGCAGGCTGGAAACACTCTTTTTGTAGAATCTACATAGGGATTTTTCAGATCTCAATGTGGCCTCAAATGAAAAACAGAGTATCTCATGAAAAAACTAAAAATAATCCTTCTGAGAAAATGCTTTATGATGTGTGCACACATCTCACAGAGTTAAACCTTTGTTTTTATGCAGCAAATTGGAAACTTTTTTTTAGAATCTACAAAGGGACACTTAGGGGCCTATTGAGGCCTCTAGTGAGAAACCAAATATCCCGTGATAAAAACTAGAAACAAGCTATCTGTGAAAATGTTTGTGATGTGCAGATGTTTCTCCTAGAGTTAAGCCTATATTTATATACAGCAGGTGGAAAACATTCTTCTTGCAGAATCTAAAAGAAGACATTTCTGAGCTCTCTGTGGCCTATAGTAAAAAACAAAATATCCCCGTATAAAAACTAGAACAAACAATTTGTGAAAATGCTTTATGATGTGTAGATCTATCTCATGCAGTTAAAACCTTGTTTTGATTTGGCAGGTTGAAAATACTTTTTTATAGAATCTACAAAGAGAAATTTTGGATCCCATTGGGCCTATAGTGAAAAATCAAATATCACACGATAAAAAACTTGAAAAAAACTATCAGTGAAAATGTTTTGTGATGTGTGGATTTATCTCACAGAATTAAACCTCTCTTTATATTCAGCAGGTTGAAAACCCTCATTTTGTAGAATCTGCAAAGGGACATTTCGGAGACCTTTGAGGCCTATAGTGAAAAACAGAATATCTCATGATAAAAACTAGAAATAATCTATGTCTGAAAATGGTTTGCAATGTGTAGATTCATCACACAGAGTTAAAACTTTATTTTTATATGGCATTTTGGAAACACTGTTTTAGTAGAATCTAAGAGGGAAAAATTCTGAGCTAGTGAGGCCTACAGTAAAAAACCAAATATCTCGTGATAAAAACTGGAAACAAGCTATCTGTGAAATTGCTTTGTGATGTGTGGATTCAACTCAAAGAGTTGAACTATTGCTTTGATTCAGCAGGTTAGAAAAACTCTTTTTGTAGAATCTATGAGGGGTATTTTTGAGCCCACTGAGGCTTACACTTAAAAACAATATTCCACGATGAAAACTAGAAAAAATGATATTTGTGAAAACGCTTTGCAATAGGTGGATTCATCTCACAACGTTAAAACTTTTTTTTTCAGCAGGTTGGAAACTCTTTTTTTGTGCAATCTATGAAGAGACATTTTAAAGCTTATTGAGGCTTACAGTGAAAAACCAAATATCCCATGATAAATCTATATGAAGCTGTCTCTCAAAATGCTTTGCAATGTGTGATTTAATCTCACAGAGTTAAACGTTTCTTTTGATTCAGTGGTTGGAAACACTCTTTGTGTAGATCTTCAATAAAACATTTCAGAGCAAATTGAGGCCTACAGTGAAAAACTGAATATCCAGCAATAAAAGCTAAAAACAAGCTATCTTTTAAAAATGCTTTGCAATATGTAGATTCATCTTACAAAGTTAAACTTTCTTTTGCTTCATTGGCTTGGAAGCTCGGTGTTTGTAGAATCTATGAGGGGACAATTCAAAGACAATATTGACCTGTAGAGAAAAACCAATATCCTGCAATAAAAACTAGAAACAAGCCTCTGTGAAAATGCTTTGTGATGTGTGGATTCATCTCAAAAAGTTAAACGTTGTTTTGATTCAGCAGGTCAAATTTGTACACTCTACAGAGGAATGTTTCAAAGCCCATTGAGCCTTAGTGAAAAACTAAACATCCTGTGATAAAAACTAGAAACAAGCTATCTGTGAATATGCTTGGCAATGTGTGAGTTTATCCCACAGAAGTAAACCTTTGTTTTTATACTGCAGGTATGAAAAACTCTTTTACTTGAATCTAAAAGAATAAATTTCTGAGGGCTTTGAGTCCTATAGTGTAAAACCAAATATTCCATGATAAAAACTAGAAATAAGCTATCTGTGAAGATGCTTTGCAATGTGTGGATTCATCTCTCAGTGTTAAACCTTAGTTTTGTTTCAGCAGGTTGGAAACACCTTATTTGTAGAATCTACGAAGGGACATTTTGGAACCCATTGAGACCTATAGTGAAACACTGATTGTTTCACAATGAAAACTGAAAACGTTATCTAGGAAAATGCTTTGCGTGTGTAGATTCTACTCAGACAGGTAAACCTTTGTTTATATACAGTAGGTTGGAAACACTGTTTTTGTAAAATGTGAGAGAGGGCAATTTAGAGTCCATTGAGGCCTATAGTGAAAAAATGCAATATTCTGTGAGAAAAAGTAAAAAAAGTTTATCTGTGAAAATGCTTTGTAATGTGTGGATTCATCTTACTGATTTAACCATTGTTTGTATTTAGGAAGTTGATAATAGTCTCTTAGTAAAATCTAAGGAGGAATATTTTGAAGCCCATTGATGTTTATATTGAAAAACCAGTTATCCCACGATAAAAACCAGAAAAAAGCTATTTGTGAAAAATGCTCTGTGATGTGTGGATTCATCTCACAGAGTTAAAATTTTGTTGAGGCCAACCCTGAAAAACCAAATATTTTGTGGTGTAAACTATAATAAAACTATCTCTGAAAATGCTTTGTGATGTGTGATTTCATCCCACGGAGTTTAACTTTTCTTGATTCAGCAGGTTGGAAACAATTTCTTTTGTAGAATCTATGAAAGGGCATTTCAGAGCCTATTGAGTCCTACAATAAAAAGTGAATATCCCTTGATAAAAACTAAAAAAAGCTATCTGTGAAAATGCTTTGCAATGTGTGAGTTGATCTCAAAGATTATATTGAAAAACCAATATCTGGTGATAAAAATTAGAAACAAGCTATCTGTGAATTAGCTTTGCAATGTATGGATTTATCTCACAGAGTTAAACCTATGTTTATATACAGAGGTTGGAAACACTCTTTTAGTAGAATTAGAAAAAAGACATTTCTGAGCCCTTTGAGGCCTATTAAGAAAAACCAAATATTTCCCAATAAAAACTGAAAACAAACTATCTGTAAAAACACTTTGCCATGTGTGGATTCATCTCACAGAGTTAAAGCCTTGTTTTGATTCAGCAGACGGTAAATACTCTTTTTGTAGAATCCACCAAGGGACATTTCGGAGCCCATGAAGGCCTATAGTAAAAAACCAATAAAAACTAGAAACAAGCTGTGTGGTAAAATGCTTCACCATGTGTGGAATCATCTCACATAATTAAACATTTGTTTCTATTAAACAGGTTGGAAACACTCTTTTAGTAGAATCTATGAAGGATCATTTTGAAGCCCATTGAGGCCTATAGTAAAAACCAGATATCCCATGATAAAAACTAGAAACAAGCTATCTGTGAAAATGCTTTGTGATGTGCAAATTCATCTCATAGAGTTAAACCTTACTTTTAATTCAGAAGGTTGGAAGCACTTTTTTTGTAGAATCTAAGAAGAGACATTTCAAAGCCCATTGAGTCCTATGGTGAATAACCAAATATTCCCTGATAAAAACTAGAATCAAGCTATCTGTGAAAATGCTTTGCAATGTGTGGATTTTTCTTACAGAGTTAAACCCTTGTTCTGATTCAATAGTCTGGAAACACTAATTTTGTAGACTCTACGAGAGGACATTTTGGAGCCCCTTGAGGCCAATTCTGAAAAACTGAATATATCTTGATAAAAACTATAAAGAAGCTATCTCTGAAAATGCTTTATGACATGTGATTTCATCTCACAGAGTTAAACTTTTCTTCTGATTCAGCAGTTTGTAAACACTTTCCTTGTGGAATCTATGAGGGGATACTTCAGAGCTCAGTGAGTGTGACAATAAATAAATGAATATCCCTTGACAAAAACTACAAACAAGCTATCTGTGAAAACACACTGAGATGTGTGAATTCATCTCACAGAGTTTAAACTTTGTTTTGATTCAAAAGGTTGGAAACACTTTTTTTGTAGAATCAACCAAAAAACATTTCCGAGCCTGTTGAGGCCTATAGTGAAAAACCAATATGCCATGGTAAAGTCTAGAAACAAGCTGCCTGTGAATTATCTTTGAAATGTTTGGATTTATTCCACAGAGGTAAACCCTTTTTTGTTTTTGATTCAGCAGTTTGTAAACTGATGTATAATCTATGAGGAGACATTTCAGAGCCCATTAGAACCTATAGTGAAAAACCAAATATCTTTTGATAAAAACTAGAAACAAGCTAACTGTGAAAATGTTTGTGATGTGTGGCTTTATCTCACAGAGTTAAACCTATGTTTATATACAGCAGGTTGGCAACACTCTGTTAGTAGAATCTAAAAGAAGAAATTTCTGAGTCCTTTGAGGCCTATCATGTAAAACCAAATATCCCCAATAAAAACTGAAAAAAACATTATCTGTGAAAATGCTTTAAGATTTGTGGATTCATCTCACAAAGTTAAACCTCTGTTTTGATTCAGAAGGTTGGAAACACTCTTTTTGTAGCATCTACAGAAGTAAATTTTGGAGCTCACAGTGGCCTGTACTAAAAAAACTGGATATCCCGTGATAAAAACTAGAAACAAGCTATGTGTGAAAATGTTTTTCAATGTGTGGATTCATGTCACAGAGTTAAACTATTCTTTTCATTTAGCAGGTTGGAAACCCTCTTTTTGTAGAATCTATGAAGGGACATTTCAGAGCTTATTGAGGCCTATAGTGAAAAACCGAATATGCCATGCTAAAAACTAGAACAAGCTCTCTGTAAAAATGTTCTGCAATATGTGATTTCATCTCACAGATTTTAACTTTTGTTTTGACTCAGCAGGTTGGAAACACTCTTTTTGTAGAACCTATGAGGGTACATTTCTCAGTCAGCTGAGGACTATAGTGAAAGACTGAATATCCTGTGATAAAAACCAGAAAGAAGTTATCTGTGAAAATTCTTTGCAATTTGTGGCTTTATCTCATGACGTTAAACTTTTGTTTTGATTCAGCAGTTTGGAAACTCTCTTTTTTTTACAATCAACTGGGAGATATTTCAAAGCCTATTGAGGCTTATAGTGAAAAACCTAATATCCCACTATAAAAACAATAAAGAAGTTATCTCTGAAAATGCTTTGCAATGTGTAATTTCACCTCACAGAGTTAAACCTTTCTTTTGATTCAGCAGGTTAAAAACACTCTTTTTGGCTGGGCATGGTGGCTCATGCCTGTAATCCCAGCACTCTGGGAGGCCGAGGCTGGTGGATCACGAAGTCAAGAGATCAAGACCATCCTGGCCAACATGGTGAAAACCCTGTCTCTACTAAATATACAAAAAATTAGCCAGGTGTGGTGGCAGGCATCTGTAGTCCCAGCTACTCAGGAGGCTGAGGCAGGAGAATGGCATGAACCCGGGAGGTGGAGCTTGCAGTGAGCCAAGATCACACCACTGCACTCCAGCCTGGGCAAAAAAGAGCGAGACTCATTCTCAAAAATGAAACAAAACAAAACAAAACAAACAAACAAACAAACAAAAAAACACTCTTTTTGTAGAATATATGATAGGACATTTCAGAGCAAACTGAGGCATATAGTGATAAACCAAATATACTGTGATAAAAACTAGAAACAAGGTATCTGTAAAAATGCTTTGTGATGTGTAGATTCATCCCACACAGTTAAAACTTTGTTTTGCATCAGCACGTTGAAAATGCCCTGCCTGTAGATTCTACAAGGGGACAATTTGGAGCCCATTTTGGCATGTAGTGAAAAATCAATATCCCACGATAAAAACTAGAAACATCTATCTGTGAAAATGCTTTGCAATGTGTGGATTTATCTCAAAGAGTTAAAACTTTGTTTTGATTCAGCAGGTTGGAAACACTTTTTTTTTGTAGAATCTAAGCAGGGACATTTCAGAGCCATTTGAGGCCTATAGTGAAAACCGAATATCTCACAAGAAAAACTAGAAGCAATGTATCTGTGAAAATGCTTTGTGATGTGTGGAGTCATCTCACAGTGTTAAACCTTTCTTCTGATTCAGCAGGTTGGAAATACTCATTTTATAGAATCTACAAAACAATATTTCAGAATCCATTGAGGTTTATGGCAAAAAATCAAATGTCCCACAATAAAGACTAGAAAAAAGCTATTTATGAAAATGATTTGCGATGTGTGGATTCATCTCACAGAGTTAAACTTTGGTTTTGATTCAGTAGTTTTGAAACACTTTTTTTGTAAAATCTACAAAGGAATATTTTGGAGCCCATTGAGGCTTATGGAGAAAAACGGAATATCCTGTGATAAAAACACAAAGCAAGCTATCTGTGAAAATTTTTTGCCATGAGTAAATTCATCTCACAGAGTTAAACCTTCATTTTGATTCAGTAAGTTGGAAATGCTCTTTTGTACAGTCTATGAGGGGATATTTTGGAGCCCATTGAGGCATATAGTAAAAAACCAAATGTCCCATAATAAAAACTATAAAAAAGCTATGTCTGAAAATGCTCTGTAATGTGTGATTTTATCTCACAGAGTCAAACCTTTCTTTTGATTTAGCAGGTTGGAAACACTCTTTTTCTTGAATCTACGAAAAGACATTTTGGAGCAAATTGAGGCCTATACTGAAAAACTGAATATCCCATGTTAAAAACTAGAAACAAGCTGTCTTTGAAAATGCTTTGTGATGTGTGGATTTCTCTCACAGAATTATACCTTTGCTTTGAATCAGCAGGTTGGAAACACTATATTTTTAGAATCCATGAAGCAACATTTCAGAGCCCAAGGAGGACTATATTGAGAAACTGAATATCCTGCAATGAAAACTAGAAATAAGCTATCTGTGAAAATGCTTTGTGATGTGTGGATTCATCTCACAAAGTTAAACTTTGGTTTTGATTCAACAGGCTGGGAACACTTTTTTTTTGTAGAATCTACAAAGGGACATTTTGGAGCCCGTCGAGGCCTATGGTGAAAAACTGAATATTCCCTATAAAAACTAGAATCAAGCTATCTGTGAAAATGCTTTCTAATATGTGGGTCTCAGAATTAAAACTTTGTTTTGATTCAGCAGTTTAAGAACACCCTTTTTGAAGCATTGACAAAGGGATATTTTGGAGCCCATGTGCATATATATTGATAAACCAAATATCCTATGATAGAAACTAACAACTATTTATTTGTGAAAATGCTTTGCAATGTGTGGATTTATCTGAGAGAGTTAAACTTTATTTTCACTAAGAAAGTTGGGGCAATCATTTTGTAGAATACACAAAAAATACATTTTGGAGATCATTGAAGCCTACAGTAAAAAATTGAATATTTCACAATAAAAACTAAAAACAATCTATGTGTGAACTTGATTGGCAATGTGTGGATTCATCTCATGGAGTTAAACCTTTGTTTTGATTCAACAGGTTGGAAATGCTTTTTTTTGTGGAATGAACAAAGGGCCTTTTTGGAGCCCATTGAGGTCTATAATAAAAAACCTAATATTTCGTGATTCAAGCTAGAAACAAGCTATCCGTGAAAATACTTGCTGATGTGTGGATTAATTTTACAGAGTTAAATCTTTGTTTTTATTCAGCAGGTTAGAAATGCTCTTTTTGTAGAATCTGTGAAGGGACATTTCAGAGCCTATTGAGGCCTAGAGTGGAAAACAAAATATCCCACAAAAAAAAAATAGAAACAAACTCTATGTGAAAATGCTTTGCAATGTGTTCATTCATTTTACAGAGTTAAACCTTTGCTTTCATTCAGCAGGTTGAAAACACTCTTTTGTAGAATCTACAAGGCAACATTTCTAAGCTGATTGAGGCCTATGGTGTAAGAGTGAATATCTCGTGATTAAAACTAGAAACAAGCTATCTGTGAAAATAATTTGTGCAGTTTGCATTCATTTTACAGAGGTAAACCTTTGTTTTGATTTCATAGGTAGGAAACACTCTTTTTGTAGGATCTACAAGGGGACATTTCAGAGCCCATTGAGGTCTACAGTGAAAAATCCAACATCCCATGATAAAAACTGGAAACAAGCTATCTGTAAACATGCTTTGCGATGTGTGGGTTCATCTCACAGAGTTAAACCTTTGTTTTGATTTAGTAGGTAGAAAAAACTGTTATTGTAGAATCTAAAAGGGACACTTTGGAGCCTGTTTAGGCCTATAGTGAAAAAACCGCATATCCAGCAAAAAAACTAGAAAGGAGCTGTGTGTGAAAATGCTTTGCAATGTGGGCATCTCAATGAGTTAAATTTTTCTTTAGATTGAGGAGGTTGGAAACACTCTTTTTGTAGAATCTATGAAGGGACATCTTGGAGCTCTTTGAGGCCTGTAGTGAAAACCAGAATATCCTGTGATAAAAACTAGAAACAAGCTATCTACAAAAATGCTTTGTGATATGTTCATTCATTTTACAGAGTTAAAACTTTGTTTTGATTCAACAGTTTGGAAACACTCTTTTTGTGGAATCTATGAAGGGTCATTTTTAAACCCATTGAGGCATATAGTGAAAAACTGGATATCCCTCTATAAAAACTAGAAACAAGCTATCTGTGAAAATGCTTTGTAATGTGTGGATTCATCTCATAGAGTTAAACCTTAGTTGTAATTCAAAGGTTGGAAACACTTTTTTTTTTTTTTTTTTTTTTTGTCTAAGAGGGGACATTTCAAAGCCCATTGAGGCCTATGGTGAAAAACTAAATATTCCCTGATAAAAATGAGAATCAAGATTTCTGTGAAAATGCTTTGTGATGTGTGGATCATCTCTCAGAGTTAAACATTTGCTTTGATTCAGCAGATTGGAAACACTTTTTTTTTAAGAATCTACAAAGGAACATTTTGGTTTCCATGGATGAGCATATTGACAAACCAAATATCCCATGATAGAAACTAGCAACAAATTATTAGTGAAAATGCTTTGTGTTGTGTGGATTCATCTCACAGAGTTAAACCTTTGTTTTGATTCTGCAGTTTGGAAACCCACTTTTGTACAATCTATGAAGGGACATTTCAGAGCCCATTGAGGTCTTATAGACTGAAAACTGAATATTTCACTACGAAAACTAGAAACATGTTCTCTGTGCAAATGCTTTGTGTATATAGATTCATCTCAAAGAGTTAACCTCTGTTTATATACAGCATGTTGGAAACACTCATTTTGTAGAATTTAATAGGGGATGATATAGAGTCCATTGAAGCCTATTGTGAAAAACCCAATATTCCATGATAAAAAGTAGATAAAATCTATTTGTGAAAATGCTTTGAGATGTGTGGATTCATCTCATGGAGTTAAATCTTTGTTTTTATTCAGGAGGTTGAAAACAGTCTCTTTGTAGAATCTAAGAAGTTCCATTTCAGAACCCTTTGAGGCTTATATTGAAAAACTGAATATCCCATGATACATATTAGAAACAAGCTATCTGTTAAAATGCTTTGCAATGTGTGGATTCATCTCACAGAGTTAAACCTTTGTTTTGACTAAGTATGTTGGAAACACTAATTTTGTTTACTCTTTGATAGTACTTTTCAGAGCCCATGGAGGCAAATACTGAAAAAATGAATATTTAATGATAAAAACTATTTAAAAAACTATCTCTGAAAATGCTTTGTGATGTGTGATTTTATCTCATAGAGTTAACTTTTCTTCTGATTCAGCAGCTTGGAGAAACTTTTCTTATAAAATCTATAAGGGGACATTTCAGAGCCCACTGAGGCCTACAATAAAAAAAAGAACAACCCTTGATAAAAACTAGAAACATATTATCTGTGAAAATATTTTGTGATTTGTGAATTCATCTCACAGAGTTAAATATTTGTTTTGATTTAAAAAGTTGGAAACAATTTTTTTTTGTAGAATCAATGAAAAAACATTTCCAAGCCCATTGGGGCCTAGAGTGAAAAAGTGAATATATCATGATTAAAAACTAGAATACGCTATCTGTAAAAATGTTTTGAAATGTGTAGTTTCATCTCACAGAGTTTATCATTTGTTTTGACTTGGCAGGTCAAAAACACTATTTTTGTAGAATCTACAAGGGGACATTTCAAAGCCCACTGTGGACAATAGTGAAAAACTGAATATCTGGTGATAAAAACTAGAAACTAGCTATCTGTGAAAATGTTTTGTGGCTGGGTGCAGTGGCTCACACCTGTAATCCCAGCACTTTGGAAGGCTGAGGCTGGTGGATTACCTGCAGTCAGGAGTTCAAGAGCAGCCTGGCCAACATTTTGAAACCCTGTCTCTACTAAAAATACAAAAAAAAAAATAGCTGGGCATGGTGGTGTGTGCCTGTACTCCTATCTACTCAGGAGGCTGAGGCAGGAGAATTGCTTGAACCCAGGAGGTGGAGGTTGCTGTGAGCTGAGGTCACACCACTGTACGGCAGCGTGGGTCATAGAGTGAGATTCCATCAAAAAAAAAAAGGCTTTGTGATGTGTGGATTCATTTCACAGAGTTGAATGTTAATTTTGATTCAGCAGGTTGGAGAAACCTATTTTGTAGATTTGATGAGGGGACATTTCTTAGCCCACTGAGGCCTATAATGAAAACCAAATATCCTGTGATAAAAACTAGAAACAAGTTTTCTGTCAAAATGTTTTGCAATTTGTGGATTTATCTCACAACATTAAACCTTTGTTTTGATTCAGGAAATTGGAAACTCTCCTTTGGTACAATCGACAAAGAGATATTTCAAAGCCCATTGAGGCTTACTGTGAAAAATAGAATATCCAGTGATAAAAACTATAAAAAAGGTATCTCAAAAAAATGCTTTCTTGTGCATGATTTCATCTCATAGAATTAAACCTTTCTTTTGGTTCAGCAGGTTGGAAACACTCTTTTTGTAGAATCTACGGAGGGACATTTAGGAGCCTATTGGTGCCTATAGTGAAAAACAGAATACCCTTCAAAAAAAAAAAAAAAAAAACTAGAAACAAGCTATCTGTGAATAGATTTGCAATGTGTTGATTCATCTCAAAGAGTTAATTTTTTGTTTGTTTGTTTCAGCAAGGTGGAAACAATCTTTTTGTGTAATCTATGAAGGGATGTTTCAAAGCCCCTTGAGGTCTATAGTGAAAAACTGAGTATCTCCTGATAAAAACTAGAAACAAGCTTTCTGTGAAAATTCTTTGTGATGTATGCATTTGTCTCAAAGTTAAACCTTTGTTTTTATGCTGCAGGTTTGAAATACTCTAAGACATTTTGGAGCTCTTGGGGCCTATAATGAAGAAACGTATATCCTGCGATGAAAACTTGAAACAAGCTACCTGTGAAAATGCTTTGCAATGTGTAGATTCATCTGACAGTTAAACCTTTGTTTTGATTCAACAGGTTAGAAACACTGTTTTCATATAATCTACGAAGGGACACTTCGGTGCCCATTGAGGATTATAGTACAAAACCAAATATTATGCAATTAAAACTACAAACAAGCTATTGGGGAAAATGCTTTGCAATGTGAAGATTTGTCTCACAGAGGTAAACACTTACTTACATACAGCAGGTTGGAAACACACTTTTTGAAGAATTAAGAAGTTACAATTAAGAGTCCACTGAAGCCTATAGTGAAAAACCCAATATCCAGTGATAAACACTAGAAACAAGTTATCTGTGAAAATACTTTGAGATGTGTGATTTCATATAGAAGAGTTAAACCTTTATTTTGATTCAGAAAAATAAAAGCCTTTTTTTTTTGTAGAATCTACAAAAAGACATTTCTGACCCCATTGAGGCCAATAGTAAAAATTCGAATGTCTCATCATAAAAGCTAGAAACAAGCTATCTGTGAAAATGCTTTGCATCGTGTGGATTCATCTCATAGAGTTAAACCTTCATTTTTTTTTCAGGGGTTTGGGAACATACTTTTTATATAACTTATGAATGGACATTTCAGAGCCCATTGAAGCCTATACTGAAAATCCAAATATCCTGCGATAAAAACTAGGAGTAAGCTATCTGTGAAAATGCTTTGCGAGGTTTGGATTAATCTCACAGATTTAAGCTGTTGCTTTGATTTAGCAGGTAGGAAATACTGTTTTTGTAAAATCTACTATGAGACATTTCTGAGCCCATTGAGGGTTATAGTGAAAAACCAAATATCATGCTTTAAAAACTAGAAACAAGATATCTGAATATATGCTTTGTGATGTGTGGATTCCTCTTAAAGCGTTATACCTTTGTTTTCATTCAGCAGTTTGAAAACACTCTTGTTATAGAATCTACAAAGGGACATTTCAGAGCACTTGAGAATTTCAGTGAAAAGCCAAATATTCCACAATAAAAATTAGAAACAAGCCAACTGTGAAGATGATTTGCAATGTGTGGATTTATCTCACAGAATTAAACCTTCCTTTTTATTTTGCAGGTTGGAAACACTTTTTTTGTAGAATCTACAAAGGGATATTTCAGAGCTCATTGAGGCTTATATTGAAAAATCTAATATCCCATGATAAAAACTATAAAGAAGCTATCTCTGAAAATACTTTGTGATGTGTGATTTCATCTCACCAGTTGAACTTTTCTTTTGATTCAGCAGTTTAGAAAGTTTTTTTGTAGAATCTACTAGGGGACATTTTGTAGCACATTGAGGTGTACTGTGAAAAATAGAATATCTCTTGATAAAAACTAAAAACAACCTTTTGTAAAAATGCTTTGTGATGTGTAGATTCATCTTACAAAGTTAAAACTTTGTTTTGCTTCAGCAGATTGGAAATTCTTTCTTTGTAGAATCTACAAGGGACTGTTCATAGCTCATTGAGGCATTTAGTGAAAACCAATAACCCACGATAAAAACTAGAAACAAGCTATGAGTGAAAATGCTTTGTGATGTGTGGATTCATCTTACAAAGTTAAAATTTTCTTTCGATTCATCAGGTTGGGAACACTCTTTTTGTAGAATCTACAAAGGGACATTTCAGAGCCCTTTGATGCTTATAGTGAAAAACCAAATGTCCTATGATGAAAACTAGAAACAGGCTATCTGTGAAAAGCTTTGCATGTCATCTCACAGAATTGAACATTTGTTTTGAATCAGCAGGTTGGAAATATTCTCTTTGTAGAATTGACAAGGGGTAAATTTGGAGCAAAATGAGGCCTACAGTATGAAATCTAATATCCTGTGATAAAAACTAGAAAAAATCTTTCTATAGAAATGCTTTGCAATGTGTGGGTTCATCTCCCAAAGTTAAATCTTTGTTTTCATGCAACATGTTAGAAACACTTTTTTTGTAGAACCTACGAGGGGACATTTCATAGCCCATGGAGGCCGATAGTGAAAAACTGAATATTCCATGATAGAAACTATAGAAGCTATATGTGAAAATGCTTTGCAATTTGCAGTTTCACCTCATAGAGTTTAAACTTTCTTTTGATTCAGCTAGGTTGGAAACACTCTTTTAGCAAAATATATGAAGGGACATTTTGGAGCCCATTGAGGCCTATAGTGAAAAGCCAAATAATTCTTGATAAAAACTAGACACAAGCTATCTGTGAAGTAGGTTTGCAATGTGTGGATTCATTTCACAGAGTTAAACTTTTGTTTCTATACAGTAGGTTGGAAATATTCTTTTAGTAGAATCTAATAGGGGACAATTTTGAGGCTAGCAGTGAAAAATTCAAAATTTCATAATAAAAACTAATACAAACTACTGTAAAAATGCTTTTTGATGTGAAAATTCATCTCACAGTGTTAAACATTTGTTTTGATTCAGTATGTTGGAAAAAAATTTTGTAGAATCTACAAAGGGACATTTTGGAGCCCATTGAGACCAATATTGAAAAAAAATCCTGCTATAAAACTAGAAACAAGCTGTCAGTGAAAATGCTTTGTGTTGTGTGGATTCACCTCACAGACGTAAACCTTTGTTTTTATTCAGCCAGTTGGAAACACTCTTTGTATAGAGTTTACTATGGGACATTCCAGAGCCCATTGAAGTCTCTAGTTAAATACTGAATATCCCATGATAAGAAAAAGAAACAAGCTATCTGTGAAAATGCTTTGCAATGTGTGGATTCATCTCACAGTGTAAAACCTTTATTTTAAGTCAGCAAGTTGGAAACACACTTTTTATAGAATCTACAAAGGAACATTTCATAGCCCATTGAGGCCTACAGTGAAAAACCAAATATCCTGTGATAAAAACTAGAAACAAGCTATTTGTGAAAAAGCATTGTGATCTGTGGATTTCTTTCACAGCGTTTAATATTTGTTATTATACAGTACATTGGAAGCAAATATTTAGTAGAATAAGAGGAGTCTTTTTTGAGCCCATTAAGGCCTGTAGTGAAAAACTGAATATCCCATGATTAAAACTAGAAACTGGCTATCTGTAAATATGCTTTGTGATATATGGATGTATCTCACATAGTTAAATTTTGATTTTTATTCAGAAGGTTGGAGACACATATGTTTTACTATCTGCTTGGCCACAATTCAGTCTTTGAGGCCTATAATCAAAAACTGAATATCCCATGATAAAACTAAAAACAATCTATCTGTGAAAATGCTTAGTGATGTGAGGATTCATCTCAACAAGTTAAATGTTTGTTTTGATTCAGCAGGTTGGAAACACTCTCTTTGTAGAATCTTTGAAGTGACATTTCAGAGCCCATTCATTCCTATAGTGAGAAATGGAATATCCCATGATAAAAACTAAAATGAACTACCTGTAAAAATGTTTTGCAATGCGTGTATTTATCTCAAAAAGTTAAACCTTTCTTTTGATTCAGCAGGTTGGAAACACTCTTTTTGTAGAATCTATGAAGCAACATTTTGGAGCCCATTGAGGCCTATAGTGAAAAATCAAATATCCCGTGATAAAAACTAGAGGCAAGCTATCTGTGAAAATGCATGGCGATATGTAGATTTGTCTTACAGAGTTAAATGTTTGTTTTGATTCAGCAGATTGGATATGCTCTTTTTGTACAATCTACCAGGGGAAATATCAGAGCTCATTGAGGCCTATAGTAAAAAATCAAATGTCCTGTAATAAAAACTACAAAGAAGCTATGTCTAAAAATTCTTTACAATGTGTGATTTTATCTCACAGAGTTTAACCTTTCTTGTAATTCAGCAGGTTGGAAACCCTCTTTTTCTACAATCTACTAGGGTACTATTCGGACCAAATTGAGGCCTATACTGAAAAACTGATTATCCCGTGATAAAAACTAGAAAAAAGCTGTCAGTAAAAATGCTGTGCAATATGTGGATTCATGTCACAAATTTAAACCTCTGCATTTATTCAGCAAGTTTGGAATACCTTTTTGTAGAATATACAAAGGGATGTTTCACACCTATAAAAGCCTATAGTAAAAAAGTGAGTATTTTGCGATAAAAACAATAAAAAAAATTATCTCTGAAAATGCTTTGTGATGTGTGGATTCATCTCACAGAGTTAAACCTTTGCTTTTATTCTGCAGGTTGGATACACTCTTGTTGTAGAATCTACAAAGAGACATTTTGAAGTTCATTGAGGTCTATAGTGAAAAACCAAATATCCAGTGATAGAAACTATAAAGAAGCTATCTCTGAAAATACTTTATGATGTGTGATTTCATTTCACAAGTTGAACTTTTCTTTTGATTCAACAGGTTGGAAACTTTTTTTTGTGGATCTAGAGGGGACATTTCATAGCCCATTGAGACCTACAGTGAAAAATCAAATATCCCTTGATAAAAACTAAAAACAACCTATCTGTGAAAATGCTTTGTGATGTGTAGGTCTATCTTACAAAGTTAAACTTTGTTTTGCTTCAGCAGGTTAGACTCTTTGTTTGTAGAATCTACAAGGGGACAATTAGGAGCCCATTGAGGCCTCTAGTGAAAAAATAATATCTCTCGGTAAAAACTAGAAACAAGCTATGGGTGAAAATGCTTTGCGATGTGAGGATTCGTCTCACAAAGTCAAACCTTTGTTTTGATCCAGCAAGTTGAAAATACTTTATTGTAGCATTTAAGAAGGTACAATTAAGAGTCCACTGAAGCCTATAGTCAAAAACCCAATATCCTATGATAAAAACTAGAAAAAGCTATCTGTGAAAATCCTTTGTGATGTGTGATTTCATATCACAGAGTAAACTTTTATTTTGATTTGGAGAAATGAAAAATCTGTTTTTGTAGAATCTAGGAAGAGACACTATGGAGCCCATTGAGGCCAATAGTGAAAAATTGAATGTCTCATTATAAAGGTTAGAAACAAGCCATCTGTGAAAATGCTTTGAGTAGTATGGATTCATCTCACAGAGTTAAACCTTTGTTTTTATTCAGCAGATTGGAAACGCTCCTTTTGTAGAATCTGCGAAGGGATATTTCAGAGCCCACTGAAGCCTATACTGAAAAACTGAATATCCTTTGACAAAAACTAGAAGAAAAGTATCTGTGAAAATGCTTTGCAATGTGTGGATTCATCTCACAGAATTAAACCTTTCTTCTGATTCAGTAGGTTTGAAACACTCCCTTTGTAGAATCTATGAAGAAACATGTCAGAGCCCATTGAGGCCAATAGTGAAAACCTGAATATCCCGTGATAAAAACTACAAGCAAGCTATCTTTGAAAATACTTTGCAATGCATGGATTTATGAAAGGATACATCACACCTGTTGGGGTGATCAGACCCAACACCAGGTTGTGGGGTTGATGAAGTCCGGTGGAGTCAAATGATTGAGAAAAAGACAGTTTGAGAAGTAAAGTGGGACCAGGGTCCATCACGATCATGGAGGCTATGAAGGCCTTGAGCTCTGGAAGCCCGTAGTATTTATTGGTAATCCAACAAAGAAACAGGTGGTGAGAATGTGGTCAAAAGAGTGTGTTGCATTAAACACATGATTTACAGCTGTGATGGTTTAGCATTTGCTCTGCTACTTGAGATAATGGAGAGCAGGTTCTTCTAACTCAAGATACAATCAATTCTGGGAGAGCAAGGAGCAAGGATCCAGCAATTCTGGACACATTCCAAAGCCACAAACCCTGGATTCTATCCCTGCCATCAGGGATTTTATGCCCTGGGCTTAGATTATTGTGCATCTGGATAGCCTTCCACCCTTTAGCACAGACTTTGGTGTTCCAAATGCCACAAGGGGTTTTAGACCCTGGACCCTGGACATGTTCCAAGACTCTTTTACATTATGTCAGACATGCAAGCCCTGTCTCAGCTTCTCCCAACACTCACCTTTTCCCAACAACACCCATTAATGCCTACGGTAAAAATCTGAATATTTTGCAACAATAACAATAAAAAGTCTATTTCTAAAAATGCTTTGTGATGTGTAGATTCATCTCACAGAGTTAAACCTTTGTTTTGATTAAGCAGGTTGGAAACACTCTCTTTGTAAAATCTAAGAAGGGACATTTTAGAGTCCATTAGGGCCATTAGTAAAAATCCAAATATCTCACGATAAAAACTAGAAACAAGCTACCTGTGAAAATCCTTTGCAATGTTTGGATTCATCTGATAGAGTTAAACCTTTGTTTTGATTCAGCATGTTGGAAACAGTCCTTTTGTACCACCTACGTGTGGACATTTCAGAGGCCATTGAAGCCTACAGTGAAAAACTGAATATCACATCAAAAACACTGGAAACAACTTATCACTAAAAATTATTTGCCATATGTATATTCATATCACAAAGTTAATCTCTTGTCTTGATTTAGCAGAGCTGGAAATACTATTTTTGAAGAATCTATGAGGGGACATTTCAGAGCCAATTGAGGTCTATAGTGAAAAACTAAATATCCCATGATAAAAACTAGAAACAGTCTATCTGTGAAAATGCTTTGTGATGTGTGGATTCATGTCACAGAGTTAATTCTTTGTTTTGATTCAGCAGCTTGGAAACACTCTTTTTGTATAATCTACGAAGGGACATTTTGAAGCCCATTGAGGCCAAGAGTAAAAAACCAAATATCCCATGATAAAAACTAGAAAAAACCTATCTGTGAAAATGCTTTGCAGTCAGTGGATTCATCCCACAGAGTTAAACATTTGTTTTGATTCCACAGACTGGAATCACTCTTTTTGTAGAATCTATGAAGGGACATTTTGGAGCCCATTGAGGTGTACAATGAAAAACTAAATATCCTGAAATTAAAAACTAGAAACAGGCTATCTGTGAAAATGCTTTGTGATGGGTGGATTTATCTCTCAGATTATTAAACATATGTTTTGAATGAGCAGATTGAAACTATTCTTTTTTTAGAATCTATGAAGGGGCATTTTGGAGCCCATGGATAAATATATAGAAAAAGCAAATATTCTTCTATGAAAAATGGAAACAAACTATTTATGAAAATGTTTTGGGATGTGTGGATCCATCTCACAGAGTTAAATATTTGTGTTGATTCAGCAGGGTGGAAACACTGTTTTTGTAGATTCCATGAAAAGACATTACAAAGCTCCTTGAGGACTACGGTGAAAAGTTGAATATCCCACAATGAAAACTAGAAACAAGCTATCTGTCCAAAGGTCTTGTGATGTTTGGAATCATCTCTCAGAATTAAACCTTTGTTTTTATTCAACAGGTTGGAAACACTCTTTTTGTAGAATATACAAAGGGACATTTTGGAGCCCATGGAAGAGTATATTGAGACACCAAATATCCTGCAATAAAAACTCAAGCAAAATATCTGTTAAAATGCTTTGCATTGTGTGAATTTGTCTCACAGACTTAAACAATTATTTTAATTCAGCAGGTTGGAAATACTCTTTTTGCAGAATCTACTAAGGGCCATTTCAAAGCCCATTGAGGCCTACAATGAAAGACAAATTATACCATAATAAAAACTAGAAACAAGCTATCTATGAAAATGCTTTGTGATGTGTAGATTAATCTCACAGAATTAAATCTTTGTTATAATTCAGTAGGTTGGAAAATCTCTTTTAGTACAATCTATGAAGAAACATTTCAAAGCCCATTGAAGCCTGTAGTGAAAAACAAAATATCTGGAGATATAAACTAGAAACAAGCTACCTGTGAAAATGCTTTGGGATGTGTGGATTCATTTCACAGAGTTAAATCTTTGTTTTGATTAAGCAGGTTGGAAACAGTCTGTTTTTGGATCTACAAGAAGACTTTTTGGTGTGCTTTGAGGCCTATAGTGAAAAACTGAATATCCTGTGATAAAAACGAGAAACAAGCTATCTGTGAAAATGCTTTGTGATGTGCAGATTGATCTCACCAAGTTAACTGTGTTTTGATTCAGCACGTGGAATACAATCTTTTTATATAATCTAGGAGGAGACATTTTGGAGCCTATTGAGGTCTAAAGTCAAAAACCAAATATCCTGTGATAAAAACCAGAAACAAGCTATTTGTGAAAATGCTTTGCAATGTGTGGAGATTTAAGCCTTTGTTTTGTTTCAGCAGGTTGGAACTACTCTTTTTGCAGAATCTATGAAGGGCCATTTTGGAGTCCACAAAGGCCAACAGTGAAAAACTGAATTTCTGTGACAAAAACTAGAAAAAAGCTATCTGTGAAAATGCTTTGCAATGTGTGAATGCATCTCACAGATTTAAGCCTTTGTTTTGATTCAGCAGGTTGGAACTACTCTTTTTGTAGAATCTTCAAAGGGCCATTTTGGGGTCCACAATGGCCAACAGTGAAAACCTGAATTTCTGTGACAAAAACTAGAAAAAAGCTATCTGTGAAAATGCTTTGCAATGTGTCAATTCATCTCAAAGAGTTAAACTTTGGTTTTGATTCAACAGGTTGGAAATACTCTTTTTGTAGAATCTAAGAAGGCACATTTCAGAGAACATTGAGGCCTACAGTTAAAAACTTTATATCTCGAGATAAAAACTAGAAACAAGCTACATATGAGAATGTTTCATGATGTGTGGATTCAACTCACAGAGTTAAACCTTTGTTATGATTCAGCAGGTTGGAAACACTTTTTGTAGAATCTACAAAGGAGCATTTCAGAGCCCATGAAGAAATGCATGAAAAAACCCTAATATCCTAGGATGAAAACTAGAAACAAGCTATCTGTGAAAATTCTTTGTGATGTGTGGATTCATCTCACAGAGTTGAACCTTTGTTTTGATTCAGCAGGCCAAAATCACTTTTTGTAGAATCCACGAAGGGACATTTTGGAGCCCACTGTGGCTTGTAGTGAAAAACTGAATGTGCCATGACAAAAACTAGAACAAAGCTCTCTGTCGAAATGCTTTATGATGTGTCATTTCATGTCACAGAGTTAAACTTTTGTTTTTATTCAGCAGGATGAAAGCACTTTTTTTGTAGAATCTATGAGGGGACATTTCAGAGCCTATTGAGGTTTATAGTGAGAAACAAAATATCCCACAATAAACAACTAGAAACAAGCTATCTGTGAAAATGCTTTGCAATGTATGGATTTATCTCACAGAGTTAAATGTTTGTTTTGATTTGGCAGGTTGGAACAACTCTATTTTTAGAATCTATGAAGAAACATTTTGGAGCCCATTGAGGCTTGTACTGAAAAACTGAATATCTCATAATAAAAATTAGAAACAAGCTGCTTGTGAAAATGTTTGTGATGTGTGGACTCATCTCATGGAGTTAAACATTTGTTTTGATTCAGCAGGTTGAAAACACTTTTATTGTAGAATATAAAAGTTTACATTTCAGAGCCAATTGAGGCCTATAGTAAAAAATCAAATCTCCCATGATAAAAACTAGAAACAAGCTATATGTGAAAATGCTTTGTGATGTGTGGCTTCATCTCACATAATTTAACCTTTGCTTTGATTAAGCAAGTTTGAAGCACTCTTTTCGTAGAATCTACGAGGGGACATTTTAAAGCCCATTGAGGCCTATAGTCAAAAACAGATTGTCCCAAGATAAAAAGTAGAAACAATCTATCAGTGAAAATGTGCTGTGATGTGTGGATTCATCTCCCAGAGTTAAAGCTTTGTTTTAACTCAGCAGGTTGGAGACAAACTTATTCAAGAATATATTAAGGGATATTTCAGAGTACATTGAGAACTGTAGTAAAAAACCAAATATTCCATGATAAAAACTAGAAAAATGTATCTGTGAAAATCCTTGGCAATGTGTGGATGTATCTCACAGAGTTAACTTTTGTTTTGATTCAGCAGACCAAAATTACTCTTTTTGTAGAATCTACAAGAGGACATTTCAAAGCCCATTGAGGCCTGTAGTAAAAAACTGAATATTCTGCAATAAAAACTAGGAACAAGCTACCTGTAAAAATGCTTTACAATGGGTCATTTCATGTCACAGAGTTAAATCTTTGTTTTGATTCAGTAGGTTTGAAACACTCTGTTGTAGAACTAAAAGGGGACATCTCAGAGCATATTGAAGTCTATAGTGAATAACCAAATATCCCATGATGAAAAGTAGAAACAAGCTGTCTGTGAAAATGGTTTGTGATGTGTGGATTCATCTCACAGACTTAAACCTTTATTTTTATTCATCAGGTTGGAAATACTCTTTTGACACAGTTTACAAAGTGACATTTCGGAGCACATTGAGGCCTATAGTCATAAAACTAAATATCCCGCTATAAAAACTTGAAACAAGCTACATATGAGAATGTTTCATGATGTGTGAATTCATCTCACAGAGATAAACCTTTGTTTTTATTCAGCAGGATGGAAATACTCTTTTTGTAAAATCTACAAAGGGGAGGTTGGAAACATCCTTTTAATGGGATCTACAAAGGGACATTTTGGAGGCCATTGAGGCCTATAGTGAAAAACCGAATATCCTGCAATTAGAACTAGAAACAAACTATTGGTGAAAATGCTTGGCAATGTGTGGATTCATTTTACAGAGCTAAATCTTAGTTTTTATTCAGCAGGTTGGAAACACTCTTTTTGTAGTATCTGCGAAGGGACATTTTGGAACCCATTGAGGCCTACAGTGGAAAACTGAATATTCCATGATAAAAACTAGAAACAAGTAATTTGTGAAAATGATTTGCAAAGTGTGGATTCATCTCACACAGTTTAACCTTTGTTTTGTTTCAGCAGGTTGGAAACACTCTTTTGTAAAATCTACAAAGAAACATTTTGGAGTCCATTGAGGCCTATAGTGAAAAACTGAATATTTCGCCTTGAAAACCAGAAACAAGCTATCTGTGAAAATGCTTTGTGATGGAAGATTTATCTCACAGAGTTAAACGTTTGTATTGATTCAGCTGGCTGGCAACACTCTTTTTGTAAAATCTACAATGGGACATTTCAGAGACCATTGAAGTCTACAGAAAAAGACTGAATATCCCATGATTAAAACTAGAAACAAGCTATCCATCAAAATGCTTTGTGATGTTTGGATTCACTTTACAGAGTGAAACATTTATTTGGATTAAGTAGGTTGGAAACACTCTTTTTATAGAATCTACGAATGGATATTTTAGAGCCCAGTGAAGCCTATAATGAGAAACCAAGCATTCCATGATAAAAACTAGAAACAAGCTATCTGTGAACATGCTTTGAGATCTGTGGATTCATCTCACAGGGCTAAACCATTATTTTGGTTCAGCAGGTAGGATACACTGTTCTTCTAGAACCTAAGAAGGGACACTTCAGAGCTGATTTAGGCCTACAGTAAAAAACCGCATATCCCATGATAAAAACTAGAAACATGCTATCTATGTAAATACTTTGTGATGTGTATATTCATGTCACATAATTAAACTTTTGTTTTTATTAAAAAGGTTGAAAACACTGTTTTAGTAAAATCTACTAAGTGCGGGTTGGAAACACTTTATTTTTAGAAACTACAAAGGAACTTTTCGGAGCCAAATGAGGCCTATAGTGAAAAAATGAATATCCCGTGATAAAAACTAGAAACAAGCTATCTGTAAAAATTCTCTGAAATATGTGCATTCATCTCCCTGAGTTTAACTTTTGTTTTGATTCAGGAGGTTTTAAATACCTTTTTTGTAGAATCTAGAAAGGGACATTTCAAAGCACATTGAGGCCTATAGTGGAAAAAAAGCATCCCACGATAAAAATTAGAAAAAAGCTATCTGTGAAAATGCTTTGTGATGTGTTCATTTATTTCACAGAGTTAAACCCTTGTTTTGATTCAGCAGGGTGGTAACACTTTTTTGCAGTATCTACAAAGGGACATTTCTTAGCCCATTGCAGCCTATAGTGAGAAACTGAATATCCCATGATAAAAACTAAAAACTAGTTATATTTGAAAATACTTTATGATGCATGCATTTATCTCACAGAGTTAAACATTTGTTTTGATTCAGCAGGTTGGAAACAAGCTTCTTGTGGTATCTATGAAGGGACACTTCAGAGCCCATTGAGGCCTATTGTGAAAAAAATGAATATTTGCGATAAAAATTAGAAAGATGCTACCTGTGGAAATTCTTTGCAATGTGTGGATTCATCTCACAGTGTTAAACCTTTCTTTTAATTCAGTAGGTAGAAAACACTCATTGAGTAAAATCTAAGAAGGGACGTATCAAAGCACATTGAGGCCTATAGTGAAAATCTGAATATGCCACGATAAAAACTAGAAACAGGCAAACTGTGGAAATGCTTTTAGATGTGCGGATTCATTTCACAGAGTTAAACCTTTGTCTTGATCCAGCAGTTAGAAAACATTCCTTTTGTAAAATCTATAAAGGGACAGTTCGAAGCCCATTAAGGTATATTGTGAAAAACCGAATATCCTGCCATTAAAACTAGAAACAAGCAATGTGTGAAAATGCTTTGCTATGTGCAGATTCCTTTCACAGAGTTAAACTTTGTTTTGATTCAGAAGGTTGGAAACATTCTTTTTGTAGAATCTAGGAAGGGATCATTTAGAGCCCATTGAGGCCTGTTGGGAAAAATCAAATTTCCCTTAATAAAAACGACATACAAGGTACCTGTGAAAATCCTTTGTGATGTCTGGATTCATCTCACAGATTTAAACCTTTGTTTTGATTCAGCAGGTTGAAAACATTCATTTTGTAGAATCTACAAGGGAACGTTATGAAGCCCAGTGAGGCCTATGGTGGAAAACCGAATATCCCATGATAAAAAGTAGAAACAAGATATCTGTGAAAATGCTTTGTGATGTGTGCATTCATCTCACATAGGTAAACCATTGTTTTGATTCACAAGGTTGGAAACACTCTTTTTAAAGAATCTACAAAGGGACATTTAGAAGCTTATTGAGGCCTATAGTGAAAAATCGATTATCTCTCAATACAAACTAGAAACAAGCTATCTGTGAAAATGCTTTCAGATGAGTAGATTCAGCTAAAAGACTTAAACCATTGTTTTCATTCAGCACGTTGAAAACACTGTTTATGGAAAATCTATGAAGGGCGGGGTGGAAACACTCTTTTTGTAGAATCTATGAAGGGACACTGTGGAGCCCATTGAGGCCCGTATTAAAAATCTGAATGTCCCGTGATAAAAACTAGAAATAAGCTACCTGTAAAAAAGTTTTGTGATGAACAGATCCATTACACAGAGTTAAACCATTTTTTTTTTTTTGATTCAGCATGTTGGAAACACTCTTTTTAAAGAATCTACGACAAGACATTTAGGGACCCATGGACAAGTATATTGAAAAACCGGGCTGGTGTGGTGGCTCATGCCTGTAATCCCAGCACTTTGGGAGGCTGAGGCAGTGGATCACAAGTTCAGGAGATCAAGACCATCCTGGCTAACACAGTTAAACCCCGTTTCTACTAAAAATACAAAAAAAAAATTAGCCAGGCGTGGTGGCGGGCGCCTATAGTCCCAGCTACTCAGGAGGCTGAGGCAAGAGAATCGCTTGAACTCAGGAGGCAGAGGTTGCAGTGAACCCAGATGGCACCACTGCACTCCAGCCTGGGCAACAGAGTGAGACCCTGTCTCAAAAAGATATAAATAAATAAGTAAATAGGCCTCTTCTTCCTTTATCTGTGATCTCTGACTCTCTGGAAATGTTTAGAATGTTCTTTTTGTCTCTGGTATTCTTAAATTTCCCCAAAATATTTTTTTTTAGACAGGGTCTTGCTCTATTGCCCAGGCTGAAGTGCAGTGGAGTGATCATGGCTCACTGCAGCCTCCATCTCCCAGGCTCAAGCGACCCTCCTACCTACAGGTTTGTGCCACCACACCAGGCTAATTTTTTTTTTTTTTTTTTTTTGGTAGAGACAGGGTTTTGCCCACCCAGACTGATCTCCAACTCCTAGGTTCAAGAGATCCTCTGGTCTTGGGCCTCCCAAAGTGCTGGGATTACAGGCGTGAGCCACCACGCTTGGCCAAAAATTTGTTTTTTTTTTTTTTGAGACAGAGTCTTGCTCTGTCGCCCAGGCTGGAGTGCAGTGGCATGATTTCGTGAGCCACCGCGCCTGGCCACGCTTGGCCAAAATTATTTTTAATGAGGAATAATCTGTATACAGATCTTGTGTTCACATTTCATCTTTTTTCCTAATTCTGAGAATTTTTTATTCTTTATTTTTTCAAATATTTCCTCCTCTCCATTTTTCTCTTTCTCTTTCCAGGAATCCTATCTTCTGAATGTTGCCATTTCACTTTTATTCTCCATATCCCTTAGCTATTCTTTTATATTTCCTTTTTATATTCTATTTTGTATATTCTTTTTATATTTCCTGTTCTTTTTTCTTCTTCCTTTAGGGGAATTTCTGTTATTCCAGTCCACTAATTTATTCCTCAGCTCTGTCCATCCTGCAGTTTATTCAATCATTTGTGTTCTTTAGTACAACTGTTATGTTTTCTTTTTTCTTTTTTTCTTTTTTTTTTTTTTTTTTTGAGACAGAGTCTCGCTCTGTCACCCAGGCTGGAGTGCAGTGGTGCAATCTCAGCTCACTGCAAGCTCTGCCTCCTGGGTTCATGCCATTCTCCTGCCTCAGCCTCCCGAGTAGCTGGGACTACAGGCACCCAACACCATGCCCAGCTAATTTTTTTTTCGTATTTTTAGTAGAGACGGGGTTTCACCATGTTAGCCAGGATGGTCTTGATCTCCTGACCTCGTGATCCCCCTGCCTCGGCTTCCAAAAGTAAAGGGGTGACCTGCCCCTCCACACCTGTGGGATATCTTGCCAGGTGGGATGAGAGACTGAGAAAAGAAATAAGACACAGAGACAAAGTATAGAGAAACAACAGTGGGTCCAGGAGACCGGCACTCAGCATACCAAGGACATGCACTGGCACTGGTCTCTGAGTTCCCTCAGTTTGTATTGATTATTATTTTCATTATCTTAGCAAGAGGAATGCAGTAGGAGAGCAGGGTGATAATAAGGAGAAGGTCAGCAAAAAAAAAAAAAAAAAAAATGTGAGCAAAAGAATCTATGTCATAATTAAGTTCAAGGGGAGGTACTATGCCTGGATGTGCACGTAGGCCAGATTTATGTTTCTCTCCGCCCAAACATCTCAGTGGAGTAAAGAATAACAAGGCAGCATAGCTGCCAACATGTCTCACCTCCTGCCATAGGGTGGTTTTTCTCCTATCTCAGGCAGGAGACAGTGGCCTTCCTCTATCTCAACTGCAAGAGGCTTTCCTCTTTTACTAATCCACCTCAGCATAGACCCTTTACGGGTGTCAGGCTGGGGGACAGTCAGGTCTTTCTCATCTCACGAGGCCATATTTCAGACTATCACATGGGGAGAAACCTTGGACAATACCGGCTTTTCAGCGCAGAGGTCCCTGCAGCTTTTCACAGTGCATTGTGCCCCTGGTTTATTGAGACTAGAGAATGGCAATGACTTTTACCAAGCATACTGCTTGTAAACATTTTGTTAACAAGGCACGTCCTGCACAACCCTAGAACCCTTAAACCTTGATTCCATACAACACATGTTTTTGTGAGCTCAAAGTTGGGGCAAAGTGGCTGGGGCGAAGTGGCTGGGGCGAAGTGGCTAGGGCAAAGTTACAAATTAACAACATCTCAGCAAAGCAATAGTTCAAGGTATAGGTCAAAATGGAATTTCTTATGCCTTTCCTTTCTACATAGACACAGTGACAGTCTGATCTCTCTTTCTTTTCCCTACACCAAAGAGCTGGGGTTACAGGCCTGAGCCACTGAGCCCCGCCCCCCCACCTTTTTTTTTTTTTTTTTTTTGAGCCAGAGTTTGCTCTCATTGCCCAGGCTGGAGTGCAATGCTGTGATCTTGGCTCACCGCAACTTCCACCTCCTGGATTCAAGCAATTCTCCTGCCTCAGCCTCCTGAGTAGCTGGGATTACAGGCAAATGCCACCACACCTGGTTAATTTTGTATTTTTAGTAGAGACGGGGTTTCTCCATGTTGGTCAGGCTGGTCTCAAACTTCTGACCTCAGGTGATCTGCCCGCCTCGGCCTCCCAAAGTGCTGTGATTACAGGAGTTAGCTGCTGCACCTGGCATTAACTGTTATATTTTCTTTTCTTTCTTTTTTTTTTTTTTGAGATGGAGTCTTGCTCTGTCACCCAGGCTGTAGTGCTGTGGCACGACCTCGGCTCACTGCAACCTCTGCCTCCCAGGTTCAAGCAATTCTCCTGCCTCAGTCTCCTGAGTAGCTGGGATTACAGGCATGCACCACCACGCCTGGCTAGTTTTTGTATTTTTAGTAGAGACGGGGTTTCACCATATTGGTCAGGCTGGTCTCGAACTCCTGACCTCAGTTGATTCACCCTCCTTGGCCTCCCAAAGTGCTGGGATTACAGGCTTGAGCCACCGTGCCCAGCCTCAACTGTTATGTTTTCAACTTAGTATTTCTTGTCGGTTCTTTTTGGTGTTTTTGTGTTCATTTGTTTCATAGTTCTAGTATCTTCCTTATATCTTTTAATGTGTTTATTGGGCTAATTAAAAATTCTTATTTTGAAGAATTTCAGTTCATGGCTTTTTCTTTTCAAAGTGGTGATGCTTGTTATTGTGGCCTGGAAATTTATTCCCTTAATGGGTATATTCTGTTTGGCCAGGCAGGCCCCAGTGAGCTCAGGGCACGGGGGTAGATGAGCCTCAAGGAGGTTCCGAAAAAAGACAGCCAATTATGCCTCATCCCATGAGACAACTCCTTGGGTCAATTTTCACACATTGCTCTCCAGAGAGAAGCAGCATTACAAGGACTCATCCCCAAAATGTTACTCCCCAGCCTGGGTGTTTGGAAGAGGGTGGATGAGTAGGCAACTGCTGGAAGCCAGTTAGTCTTTCTCAGCATTTCACAAACACAGGATGTCTGGGCAGCCCTGATTTGACTGCAAGTATGCCCAGAGCAGAGATCTGAGTCATTGCAGATGTGGAGGCAGACACCATTTGTTCCAAGGCGATGGTGCAGAACCCCCATGGCTCTGTTTTTATCTTCCCATTTCAAAACAGCACACCCCTTCCCATCACCTCAAGAGCTTTTTCACACCTTTTCCTGCAGGAAAGGCCGGCAGTATGCCAATGCAACACCTTGCTTGACTCTGGCCTGGCTCTGTATCATGACATATCCCCAGCATCTGTTTACTTATCTGTCTCTGCTCTATTCCCAGCATCTCTTTACTTATCTGTCTCCACTCCATGACTGAGCATATTTGTCAGGGAAGCAGTTTGCCCAGGGTAGGAAAGAGCAATTTTATTCCTACAAATATCAGGCTTTTTGGGTTAGGTTGAGAACAACATGTTTATTTACTCAGCAGGCATTTTAGACCTGAACTGTAACAGGACACTGGTTCCCCACGCAAAGCTGTCAGGCCCCACCTTTCCAGAAAAGAAGGGGTGGTATTGGCCTGTTTCTAGGTGCACCCAAGCCATGACCTGCAGGAAAAAGTCCACGTCTCTCCCTCCCCACAACCCACATTCTGTAGTCCAGGGTCACCCGAGAGAGCCTGTACAGTGTTATATTTACTTTGTGGTATGTCTTAAGGCATGGGTCCCTTATTTTATTATAAATTTCCATGTTATCTGTTTCAGGCCCTGCTCACCTGAGCCCAGTGGACTGTTGGCAAAAATGTATTTGAGGAGATTTATTCTGAGCCAAATATGAGTGATCAGTGGCCCATGACACAGCCCTCAGGAGATCCTGAGAGCAGGTGCCCAAGGTGCTAAGACACAGCCTAGTTTTATATATTTTAGGGAGACATGAGACATCAGTCAAATACATATAGGACTTACATTGGTTCCATATGGAAGGGCAGGACAACTTGAAGTTCTTGTGGGGAGTGTATCCAGGTCACATGCAGATTTTAAATTTTTTCTGATTGGCAATTGGTTGAAAGAGTTGTTTAGGGGCCATGGCTCACGCCTGTAATCCCAGCACTTTGGGAGGCGGAGGCGGGTGGATGACCTGAGGTCAGGAGTTCGAGACCAGCTTGGCCAACATGGAGAAACCCCGTGTCTACTAAAAATACAAAATTGGCTGGTTGTGGTTGTGCATGCCTGTAATCCCAGCTACTCAGCAGGCTGAGGCAGGGGAATCACTTGAACCCGGGAGGCAGAGGTTGTGGTGAGCTGAGATGGGGCCACTGCACTCCAGTCTGGGCCACAGAGCGAGACTCTGTCTAGGAAAAAAAAAAGAAGAAGAAAGAGTTATTATCAGTAGAAAGGAATGTCTGGGTTATGATAAGCAGTTGTTGAGACCAAGGTTTTATCAGGCAGATGAAGCTTCCAGGTAGCAAACTTCAGAGAAAATAGATTGTAAATGTTTCTTACCAGACTTAAGATCTGTGTTGATGTTAATGCTGGTTGGCTTTTCCTGAATTCCAAAAGGGAGGAGGTTATAATGATGCTTGTGTGACCTGCTCTTCCGTCATGTCCTGAACTAGATTTTCAGATTTCCTTGGGAATGTCCTTAGCCAAGAAGAGGGGCCCATTCAGATGGTTGTGGAGGGGCCTTAGAATTTTATCTGTGGTTTACAGGACAGAGCTTGGGACCTCATTGTACTGCTCTGGCCTGAAATGCAAGTGGAGAGGACAGAGCTAACAATGAAATGAGTGAATTATTTTAAGTGCATGAAGTCAGTCTGCAGAGGAGCAGACACTTAGAGTGAATCAGCACATTGCGGGAAGCTTTTGAGCAGCCGCAACCTGAGCTCTTGTAGTTTTGTGAAAGAAGAAGAGACGGCAGAAGCATCAGCAGCACAGGCAATGGCCAAGGCCCAGAGCAGCAGACAGGCTGCCATCTACACATCTCCAGGCTCTTCTAGCACCCACTTCTTCAGCTTCTCCCTGCTTGTGTTTGGAGGGTCCCTCTTTTTCTTTTTTCTTTTTTCCTTGTTTTTGGAGAATGGGGTCTCACTATATTGCCCAGGCAGGTTGGAAGTCCCTGTTTTTCTAAGCTCCCCTGGCCATGTGCTTGAGTGGCTCAGCACCTTCTCTCTTCTCAAGGTCTTGGCTGGTGTGGGGGTAGGAACCATACTGTTCCAGTAAACCTTGCCAACCTACTTCCAGGAAAAGCCCAGAGGGGAGGGAGAAGCATATATAAATCTAAAAGGTCAACAGAATTTCTGTATTAAAGTGCTTTCAGTAAAAGAAGAGCAGACCACTTCAGCTGCTAAAGCAGATTATGCTCAGGCCTGATGCTCAGAAAAACAGCTTTCACAGGGGCTGCTTCTCAGGAAAGGAAAACAGCAGAGTGTTGGAGGCTGGCAGCTAATCTGAAAGTGGGGGTGGGAGCCCTGGGTCTAAGGAAAGGCTGCTTGGCATGATGCGGAGATGACAGTAAGGCCCTCGTCAGATAAGCCCTACAGGCCCTTCTTCCCAAAACAGTGCTGAAACATCTCCTTTGCTAGATGCAGCAGTCAGTATTTTCCACTCTGACTCAGAGTGAGCAGAGCAGTTCTGAAAATTCGGAGCATTATCTTTATTCCTCAAGGCTGGTTTTTGGGAAGCCTGGACCACTGCCTTCCCCTGCTGTGTCCAGCAGAGCCACATGGTCCCAGAGCTTACTCAGTCCCTCCCACCACAGCTAATTCATATCCATCCCTACCACAGGCTTCACAGAGCAAAGGTGATGGCTGCCTTGCTGCTGCTAATGTTCACCTTTCTTATTTTATTTTATTGTATTTTATTTATTTTGAGATGGGGTCTCTCTCTGCCACCCAGGCTGGAGTGCAATGGTGTGATCTCGGCTCACTGCAACCTCCTCCTCCCAGGTTGAGGTGATTCTCCCAACTCAGCCTCCTGAGTAGCTGGGACTACAGGGGTGTGATGCCACGCCTGGCTAATTTTTGTATCTTTAGTAGAGACTGGGTTTCACCATGTTAGCCAGACTGCTCTCCAACTCCTGCCCTCAAGTGATCCACCCATCTCGGCCTCCCAAAGTACTGTAATTACAGGCGTGAGCCACCGCGCCCGGCCTTGAGTGTATTTCTATTATTAACGATACTGCAGGGAACATCTGTGCGCATACTTCTTTTTTCACATCTGTGAGAGTATCTGTAAAATTCCCGGTTGTGGAATTACTGGCACAAACGGTACGTGCACTTGAGATTTTATTTTGTTTGTTTGTTTGTTTGTTTTTTGAGATGGAGTCTCACTCTGTTGCCCAGACTGGAGTGCAGTGGTGCCACCTCGGCTAACTGAAACCTCTGCCTCCTGGATTTAAGCAATTCTCCATGCCTCAGCCTCCAAGTAGCTGGGATTACAGGTGCCTGCCACCATGCCTGGCTAATTTTTTTTTTTTTTTTTTGTATTTTTAGTAGAGACAGGGTTTCACTATGTTAGCCAGGCTGATCTCAAACTCCTGACCTCAGGTGATCCACCCGCCTCAGTCTCCCAAAGTGCTGGGATGACAGGCACCTCACCCAGCTGCATTTGAGATTTTCATAGCTACTTACCCAACTGCCTTCCAAAGAGGTTGTACCAGTTTACACTGACCAACAATGCATGAGGATGCATTTCTCTGCACTCTTGTAAACAAAAGTATTAACAGTCTTGTTTTATCTTTGTCAATCTGAAATATTAAAAAATGCCACTTCATACATTGAATGGTCATTTTTCTTATGCTAAGTGAAGCTGCACATCTTGTCATGTGTTTAAGAACAATTTTTGGCCGGGCATGGTGGCTCACACCTGTAATCCCAGCACTTTGGGATGCTGAGGGGGGCGGATCACGAGGTCAGGAGATCAAGACCATCCTGGTTAACACGGTGAAACCTCGTCTCTACTAAAAATACAAAAAACAAAATTAGCCGGGCGTGGTGGCCGGCACCTATAGTCCCAGCTACTTGGGAGGCTGAGGCAGGAGAATGGCGTGAACCCCGGAGGCGGAGCTTGCAGTGAGCCGAGATAGTGCCACCACTGCACTCCAGCATGGGTGACAGAGCAAGACTCCATCTCAAAAGAAAAAAAGGAACAATTTTCTTTTCTGTGAATTGTTTGCTCCTGTCCTATGTCCATTTTCCTATTGTGTTATTAATCTGTTTCTCATATATTTATAGAAACCACTTACATATTGAAGAAATTAGTCCTTTCAGTGGGTGCAGTGGCCCATGCCTGTAATCTCAGCACTTTCAGAGTCTGAGGCAGAAAGATCGCTTGAGGTCAGCAGTTCAAGACCAGTCTGGGAAACATGGCAAGAACCTGTCTCTACAAAGAGTTTTTTAAATTAGCCAGGTGTAGTATGTGCCCCTGTAGTCCCAGCTACTTGGGAAGCTGATGTGGATCACTTGCGCCTGGGACATGGAGACTGCAATGAGCTGTGATTTTATCACAGCACTCCAGTCTGGGTGACAGAGTAAGATCCTGTCTCAAAAGAAAAGAAAAAAAAGAAAGAAATTAGTCCTTTAAGGTCAGGCGCAATGCCTCATGCTTGTAATGCCAGCACTTTGGGAGGCCAAGGTGGGCGGATCACTTGAGGTCAGGAGTTTGAGACCAGCCTGGCCAATATTGTGAAACCCTGTCTCTACTAAAAGTACAAAAAATTAGCTGGGCATGGTGGCACACGCCTGTGTTATAAATATTTCTTCCTTGTTTTTTATTTACAAAATATGTCAAGAGACTGGGCACAGTGGCTCATGCCTCTAAATCCCAATGATTTAGGAGGCTGAGGTAGGAGGATCACTTGAGGCCACGAGTTTGAGACCAGCCTGGGCAATATGGTGAGACCCCAGCTCTACAAAAAAATAAAAATAAAAATAAATTAGCCAGGCATGGTGGCACCTGCCTGTGGTCCCAGCTACTCAGGAGGCTGAGATGGGAAGATCACTTGACACCGGAATTCAAGGTTACAGTTAGCTATGATTGCACCACTGCACACAAGCCTGGGCAGCAGAGTGGGAGCCTATCTCTAAATACACACACACACACACACACACACACACACACAAACACACACACATATATATATGAAGAGATGCATTTCTATCATAGATTTGTTTACAAATGCCCCATTAGTATGAGTTAAATAAATTATGATATATACAACAGAAAGCTATGCAGTTATTTCAATGAAGATATATATTTATTAGCATAAAACAATGTAAGTAGAAAAATTAAGTTTAAAAAAGCAGGATAAAAAATAGAAAGCATTATATGATAACCCATTTTTTAAAAATCTGTGCTATGAATAGTTACCTCCAGATGATGGGAATTTGGTAATTTATTTAGGTAATTTTACTCTCTTCTTTTTACCATTCTAGATTATCTGATTTTTTTTTTTTTTGAGAGAGAGAGATTTGCTTTTGTTGTCCAGGCTGGAGTGCAATGGCGTGATCTTGGCTCACCACAACCTCCGCCTCCTGGGTTCAAGCAATTCTCCTGCCTCAGCCTCCCTAGTAGCTGGGATTACAGGCTCCCGCCCACCACACCCAGCTAATTCATTTTTTTAAATTTTTTTTGAGACGGAGTTTTGCTCTTGTCACCTAGGCTGGGGTGCATTGATGCGATCTTGGTTCACCGCAACCTCTGCCTCCCGGGTTCAAGTGATTCTCTGGCCTCAGCCTCCCAATTAGCTGGGGTTACAGGCATGGGCCACCACACCTGGCTAATTTTGTATTTTTAGTAGAGACGGGGTTTCTCCATGTTGGTCAGGCAGGTCTCGAACTCCCAATCTCAGGTGATCCGCCCACCTCAGCCTCCCAAAGTGCTGGGATTACAGGTGTGAGCCACCACGCCCAGCCCATGCCCAGCTAATTCTTTGCATTTTTAGTAGAGACAGGGTTTCACTATGTTGGCCAGGCTGGTCTTGAATTCCTGACCTCAGGCGATCAACCTGCCTCAGCCTCCCAAAGTGCTGGGATTACAGGCATGAGCCACCACCCCTGGCGTCATGCTATTTTTAAATGTGTTACAAACTTATGAAGAAGCATGTGGGTATCACATGGGGTATTAGGAAACAATTATAATAGTGTTCAGTATGCTTGGCAAAGTATAGCCATGTGATATAAAAGGCCTTTGTCAAAGCTACTACTGACACTGGAGTTAAGATAGGCATTAATCAGTAGAGTTTTCTTTTTCTTTTTTTTTTTTTGAGATGGAGTCTTGCTCTTGTCACCCAGGCTGGAGTACAATGGCACAATCTTGGCTCACTGCAATCTCTGCCTCCCAGGTTCAAGTGGTTCTCCTGCCTCAGCCTCCTGAGTAGCTGGGATTACAGGAACCCGCCACCACGCCTAGCTAAATTTTTTTTGTATTTTTAATAGAAACGGGGTTTTGCTATTTTGTCCAGGCTGGTCTCGAGCTCCTGACCTCGTGATCCTCCCACCTTGGCCTCCCAAAGTGCTGGGATTACAGGTGGGAGCCACGGCGCCTGGCCTTAATCAGTAGATTTCAATGGTTCTAGAGTCTGTCACTGGTTTGTTGATCCCTGGAGGGAATAATTGCTATTATGGTCTAGGGGTTGTGGGATGGCAGGTTTCCTCTTCCTGGAACATCCTTACCCTAAGAAGGTCATTAATTTGATTTCCCCACCCCAGCCCCTGCCCCCGTTTTGTCCCTGCAAATTTGATCCAGGCTTGGGAGAGGGCTCCAGGGTTAAAAAGCTGCCTAGTGGCTGGAGGGGGAGGCTCAGGCAGGCAGAAACCCTGATCCTTTGAGAGGAGCCTCTCAGAGGTCACTGGGCTCGCTAGGCTCCCAGTCATGCTTGAGGGTGGCCAGACTTTGGAAAAGACAGTTGCCTGGCCCGGCTCCAGGTGGCCAGCCCGCAGAGGTCAGGTGATCATCCACCCTCTTGACGAGTTTCACTCCCCCATCTAGGAAAGGCCTCTCTAGGAAGTCCCAGAGGTGACGTCTGTGTCAGCAGAACCCAGGTTCAGGCTCCTCTCCAGGGCCAGGGCTACCCCCACGGCGTCCAGGGTTTTATCCCATTCATCTCATCTGCAGGTCCTGCAAAAGAGCAGGCTGCCACGCTGGCTTTGCATCTTCCAGAGATGCTTGGCCAGTTCACCTTCCAGAGCCATGTCATCGTGGCCAAAGTAGAAGTCCAGAGAGATGCCGGTTGACGGGGCAGTTGGTGGCTGCCTCTGCCTGGGTGGAATCATTCTAACACATCTAGGAGCTCATGCTTGGGGACAAGAAGAAGATATCCACAAAAACGGTGTTGGCTGGGCCCAGAAGCAGGAGGTTGCCAAGAAGATGGTCTGGGAGGCTCAAGTGAAAAGGAGATGGGAGGCGATCACAGGCTGGAAGAGGGATCCCCCTGGTCTGTTCGTTCTAAACACTGTTGAAGCAAGAGACAGAGCCAGAACCCAACATGCTAACTTCAGGCAATGTGCTGTAGATTTCAAATGTGTGTTATGCATAGTTTTTTTTTAATGTGTGTTATTAATAGTTATCAACAAGCCTTATACCTTCATTTATTCCTTTGGCCCAGAAGCCATAAGGAAAAAGATTGTCAGATGATGATGATGATGATGATTGAGACAGGGTCTTGCTCTGTCGCCCAGGCTGGAGAGCAGTGGGGAGATCACAGCTCACTGCAGCCTCGACCCCCTCGGCTCAAGTAATCCTCCCACCTCAGTCTCCCGAATAGCTGGGACCACAGGTGTGAGCTACCATGCCCAGCTAATTTTTTATTTTTGGAGAGATGGGAGCTTTTTTTTTTTAATTAAAAACTTCTTTTTTACAAAAGACACCATAATTGAAAAGTGAAGTAAGGCCAGGTGCAGTGGCTCATGCCTGTAATTCCAGCACTTTGGGAGGCTGAGGAAGGCGGATCCCTTGAGGCCAGGAGTTCGAGACCAGCCTGACCAACATGGTGAAATCCTGTCTCTACTAAAAATACAAAAATTAGCCGGGTGTGGTGGCGTGTGCCTGTAAGCTCAGCTACTTGGGAGTCTTGAACCCAGGAGGTGAAGGCTGCAGTGAGCTGAGATCACACCACTGCACTCCAGCCTGGACAACAGAGTGAGACACTGTCTCAAAAAAAAAAAAAAAAAAAGTGAAGCAAGTCTGAAAGACAATATTTACCACAATTAAATAAATTATTAGTTGTTAGAATATATAGTCGAACAAATTCATACTAAAATTGGGCAAAGGAAATGAACAGATAATTTGCAAGACAAATTAATGTTAAGTAAACATTCAAAAGGTATCCAATCTCAGAAGTAATTGGGCACATGCAAATTAAAACAATCAAGTGTTGTTTTTGCCCCTCAATATGTTCAAAGTTGAAATTATTCATAATGTATAATATTAATGAAGTGGTGGAGGACTAGATACTCTCTCTTATGCAATACTGGTGGGAATTGATATTGGTACAGTCTTTTTAAAAATTGTGATCAACTATAAATACCAAAAAATGTACCGTTTAAGCCATTTTTAAGTGTACAGTTTCGTAGCATTAATATTCATTGTGTGTGACCATCACCACCATCCATCTCCAGAACTTTTTTCATCTTGCAAAACTGAAACTCTGTCCCCATTAAACACTAACTCCCCATTCCCTCCTTTCCCAGCCCCTGGCACCCACCATTCTACTTTATGTCTCTATGAGTTTGACTACTCTAGCTACCTCATATAGTGGAATCACACAGTATATGTCCTTTTGTGTCTGTCTTGTTTCATTTAGTGTAATGTCTTTAAGATTCATCCATGTGGTAATATGTGTCAGAAGTTCCATTTTTTTTTTTTTTGAGACAGAGGTTCGATTTTGTTGCTCAGGCTGGAGTGCAATGGCACGATCTCGGCTCACTGCAACCTCCGCCTCCCGGGTTCAAGAGATTCTCCTGCCTCAGCTTCTAGAGTAGCTGGGATTACAGGCACCTGCTACAACGCCCAGCTAATTTTTGTATTTGTAGTAGAGATGCGTTTCACCATGTTAGCAAGGCTGGTCTCTTTTTTTTTTTTTTTTTTTGAGATGGAGTCTCACTCTGTCGCCCAAGCTAGAGTGCCACTAGTGGCTCAATCTTGGCTCACTGCAACTTCCACCTCTCGGGTTCAAGTGATTCTCCTACCTCAGCCTCCCGAGTAACTGGGATTACAGGCATGCGCCACCACACCCAGCTAATTTTTGCATTTTTAGTAGAGACAGGGTTTCACCATATTGGCCAGGCTGGTCTGGAACTCCGGGCCTCGAGTGATCCTCCCACCTTGGCCTCCCAAAGTGTTGGGATTACTGGCATGAGCCACTGTGCCCAGCAGAATTTTTTTTTTTTTTTGAGACAGAGTCTCACTCTGTCTCCAGGCTGGAGTGCAGTGCCCTGATCTCGGCTCACTGCAACCTCCGCTTCCTGGGTTCAAGCGATTCTCCTGCCTCAGCCTCCAGTGTAGCTGAGTGGAACTACAGGTGTGCACCACCACGCCCAGCTATTTTTTCTATTTTTAGTAGAGACGGGATTTCACCATGTTAGCCAGGATGGTCTCCATCTGTTGATCTCGTGATCCGTCCGCCTCGGCCTCCCAAAGTGCTGGGATTACAGGCCTGAGCCACCGTGCCCAGCCGAATTTTCTTCCTTTTAAGGCTGAATAATATTCCATTGTTGTACAGTCTGTTGATGGGTAATTCTGTAATAATCCCCAATTTTTAAATGCCATAATCTTTGATACAGCAATTCTACTTCTAGTATATCCTGAAGAAATACTTGCACATTTGTGACAAGAGACATTTACAAAGATATTAATTGCAGTATTGTTTTAATAGTAAAAATTAGAAACAATATAAATACCATCAGTAAGGAGAAGGGTAAAATATGGTGTATCTATACCATGAAATATTTTGCAGCAGTTTGAGAAGAATAAGGCACATCTATATGTGTTAGCATGGAAATGTCTCCAAGAAAGATGGGTGTGTAATGCATAATTGCATTTATATATGATTTTTAAAGTATGTTTTTATATAACACAAACATATGTGACACATTGAAAACAATCTGGTCGTAAATACACCAAACTTCTAGCAAGTGGCACAGAAAAAGATGTGTGGGAAGAGGACATCTGGGAAGGGACGCTGAAAAAGGACTTCAATGTTTTTACTCACTCTCTGTATATCTGCTGGTCAAGTCCTTACAACTTGTATTGTATTCATTGTTATTTAAGTAAAAAATTAATACTGGGAAAAGAGGAAACATGCCAAACTGAATATACTTGGATCGTAGGGATAATGAGTGCTTTCTTTTTCTATATTTCCTAAATTTCATACACTGAGCATATATTACATTCATAGTTAGCATTAACATTATTTGAAGGAGAAAATTGTATATCTAGTGTAAGAGCAGCTGTGAACAAGGTGAGAGTAACTATATATGGAGATATCTATATACATATGCATGTTTACATTGTCATAGAAGTTCAGAAAGACAGGTATAAATGTGGTATTAGTGTGCTCACACAGCAATTACCAGCAATGTTCCTACTACCTTTTTTTTTTTTTTTGAGACAGAGTTTCATTCTTGTCGCCCAGGCTGGAGTGCAACGGTGTGATAGCCCACTGCAACCTCCGCCTCCCGGGTTCAAGTGATTCTCCTGCCTCAGCCTCCTGAGTAGCTGGGATTACAGGTGCCTGCCACCACCCCCAGCTATTTTTTTGGTATTTTTAGCAGAGACGGGGGTTTCACCATGTTGGCCAAGCTGGTCTGGAACGCCTGACCTCAGGTGATCCACCCGCCTCGGCCTCCTAAAGTGCTGGGATTATAGGCGTGAGCCACCGCGCCTGCCCCCCCCCCCCCCATTACCTTTTGTTTGTTTGTGTTTTGGAGACAGGGTCTCCTCGCTCTATCACCCAGAGGCTTGAGTGCAGGGGCGCGATCAGGGCTCTTCCTTTCCGGAAGGCAGGGGAGCGCTTCCCGAAAGAGGGATATTTCCGGCGAGAGAAGGAGAGGTCTTTCGCTCCCGCCTCCAAAGTTCCAATTCCCCAAATTCTGCATTTTCGGGCAGAAGGCTAGGAAGAGCGGGCTCTGAAGCCAGTTTCTCAGGCCACCGCGCCTCAGAAGCGGGACGGCGCGGCACCCGATGTCGCGACACCTGGTGGTGATGGTGACGCACAATTCCCTCTCTCACATCTTAAAAATCGCGCGCCCCTCACACACTGGCCGGTTTTTTGTTTTTTGTTTTTTTTGAGACAAGTTCTGCCTCTGTCCTCCAGGCTGGAGTGCAGTGGCACGATCACCGCTCACTGCAGCCTCGAACTCCCTGGCTCAAGCGATCCTCCCACCTCAGCCTCCAGAGTGGCTGGCTGGGACCACAGGCGTGCGCTACCATGCCTGCCAAATGCTTGGTTTTTTTTTTTGTTTGTTTGCTTGTTTTTTTGTTTGTTTGTTTGTTTTGTTTTTTGAGACGGAGTCTCGCTCTGTCGCCCAGGCTGGAGTGCAGCGGCACGATCTCGGCTCACTGCAACCTCCGCCTCCCGGGTTCAAAATGCTTGCATTTTTTTCAGAAACGAAGTCTCGCTATGTCGTCCAGGCTGGTCTCGACTCCTGGGCTCAAGCGATCCCCTCGCCTCGGCCTCCCAAAGTCCTGGGGATTACAGACGTGAGCCACAGTGCTCGGTGAGACTCCATCTCTTTAAAAGAAAGAAAAAAAAAGGCGTCGGCTGGGCTCTGTGGCTCACGCCTGTAATCCCACTACTTTGGGAGGCTGAGGCGGGCGGATCACGAAGTCAGAAGATCGAGACCATCCTGGCTAACACGGTGAAACCCCCGTCTCTACTAAAAATACAAAAAAATTAGCCGGGCGTGGTGGTGGGCGCCTGTAGTCCCAGCTACTTGGGAGGCTGAGGCCGGAGAATGGCATGAACCTGGGAGGCGGAGTTTGCAGTGAGCTGAGATAGCACCAAGGCACTCCAGCCTGGGCAACAGAGCAAGACTCCGTCTAAAAAGAAAAAAAAAAAAAAGCCCAGCGCCGTGGCTCACTCCTGTAATCTCAGCACTTTGGGAGGCCGAGATGGGTGGATCACCTGAGGTCAGGAGTTCAAGACCAGCCTGGCCAAGGTGGCGACACCCCGTCTCTACTAAAAATACACAAAATTAGCCGGGCATGATGGCGGACGTCTGTAATCCCAGCTACTCCGAAGGCTGAGGCAGGGAGGCGGAGGTTGCAGTGAGCCGAGACGGCGCCACTGCACTCCAGCCTGGACGGCAGAGCAAGACTCCATCTCAAAAAAAAAAAAAAGAAGAAGAAGAAGTTTTTTAATTAGCCTGGTGTGGTGGCAGGTGCCTGTAGTCCTAGCTACTCGGGTGGCTAAGGTGTGAGGATCGCTTCAGCCCGGGAGTTTAAGGCTGTAGTAAGCTATGATTGTGTCACTGCACTCCAGGCAGGGCCACAGAGTGAGACCCTGACTCTAAAAACTTAAATTACATTTTTTTAAAAAACAGCAAACACCTAATATTTGTTGAATGAATAAATAAATGAAAACATATACTCTCATTAAACGGTTTCTTCTGGGGATACAAGGAAAGGTGAGAGGGGAGTTTTTACTGGATACTTTTTTTTTTTTTTTTTTTTTTGCGACAGCCAGGCTGGAATGCAATGGCGAGATCTTGGCTCACTGCAACCTCCGCTTCCCAGGTTCAAGCTATTCTCCTACCTCAGTCTCCCTAGTAGCTGGGACTATGGGCGTGCACCACCACGCCTGGCTAATTTTTGTATTTTCAGTAGAGACAGTGTTTCACCATGTTGGCCAGGCTGGTCTTGAATTCCTGACCTCAAGTGATCTGCCCGCCTTGGACTCCCAAAGTGCTGGGATTACAGGTGTGAGCCACGCACCCAGCCTACTGGATACTCTTATATGCCACTGAATGTATTTTTATCAAGAGCTTGTATCACTTTTGTATTTTACAAAACCAATCAGGCTGGTCACCGTGGCTCATGCCTGTAAATGCAGCACTTCGGGGGGCAGAACACTTGAGGTCAAGAGTTTGAGACCAGCCTGGCCAACATGGTGAAAACCCATCTCTACTAAAAAATATGAAAAGCAGAGCATGGCTGGGGGCACCAATAATCCCAGCTACTTGGGAAGCTAAGGCAGAAGAGTCGCTTGAACCCGGGAGGTAGAGTTTGCAATGAGCGGAGATTAGGCCAGTGCACTCCAACCTGGGCAACAGAGTGAGACCCTGTTTTGAAAAAACAAAACTAAACTAGGGCCGGGCAGGGTGGCTCAGGCCTGTAAGAGAGGTGCTAATCACCTGAGGTCAGGAGTTTGAGACCAGCCTGACCAAACATGGTGAAACCCTGTCTCAACTAAAAATACAAAAATTAGGCAGGGTGCGGTGGCTCATGCCTGTAATCCTAGCACTTTGAGAGGCTGAGGCAGGTGGATTGCTTGAGGTCAGGAGCTTGAAACCAGCTTGGGCATCATGGTGAAACCCCATCTCTACTAAAAGTACAAAAAATTAGCTGGGCATGGTGTTGTGCGCCTGTAATCCCAGCTACTTGGGAGGGTGAGGTAAGAGAATCACTGAACCCAGGAGGTGGAGGTTACAGTGAGCTGAGATCATGCCACCACACTCCAGCCTGGGCGACAGAGTGAGACTCTATCTCAAAAAAAAAAAAAAAAAATTAGGTGGGTGTGGCGGTGCACACCTGTAATCCCAGCTACTCCAGAGGCTAAGGCATGAGAATTACTTGACCCTTGGAAGCAGAGGTTGCAGTGAGCCGAGATCATGCCACTGCACTACAGCCTGGGCAAAGAGTGAGACTCTGCCTCAAAAAAAGGGCAGAGGTTGCAATGAGCCAAGATTGCACCATTGCACTCCAGCCTGGGCGATAGAGTGAGACTCTCTCTCAGAAGAAAGCAACGAATTAGATAATTTTTTAAAATTCCATGTCCAGGCCTGGTACGGTGGTTCACTCCTGTAATCCCAGCACTTTGGGAGGCCGAGGTGGGCGGATCACGAGGTCAACAGTTCAAGACCAGCCTGGCCAATATGGTGAAACCCCGTCTACACTAAAAAATACAAAAATTAGCCAGGTGTGTGCCAGGCATGGTGGCTCATGCCTGTAATCCCAGCACTTTGGGAGGCCAAGGTGGGTGGATCACCCACCTTGAGATCGAGGCCATCCTGGCCAACATGGTGAAACCCCATCTCTACTAAAAATACAAAAATTAGCCGGGTGTGGTGGTGTGCGCCTGTATCCCAGCTATTCAGGAGGCTGAAGCAGGAAAATCCGTTGAACTTGGGAGGCAGAGGTGGCAATGAGCTGAGATCATGCCACTACACTCTATCCTGGGCGACAGAGTGGGACTCTGTCTCAAAAAAAAAAAAAAATTCCATGTCGAAATTTGTCTGTTAATTTTTCTGGTAACATATGCTTAAAGACAAGCTGCAGCAAAGTAGCAACTGATTAAGATAATCTATAAACCGGGCATGATGGCTCACGCCTGTAATCCCAGCACTTTGGGATGCCAAGGCAGGCAGATCATGAGGTCAGGATATTGAGACCATCCTGGCTAACACAGTGAAACCCCATCTCTACTAAAAATACAAAAAATTGGCCGGGTGCAGTGCCTCACACCTGTAATCCCAGCACTTTGGGAGGCCAAGGTAGATGGATCACCTGAGGTCAGGAGTTCAAGACCAGCCTGACTAACATGGTGAAACCCTGTCTCTACTAAAAATACAAAAATTAGCTGAGCATAGTGGCACACACCTATGGCACACACAATTCTGGTCCCAGCCACTCAGAAGGCTGAGGCAGGAGAATTGCTTGAACTGTTGCGGGATTCAGGAGGACGAGAGAGACCTCGGGTTGAAACAGGAGAATATTGAGTGCACTCAGGCCCGGCTGACTCACGTGTAAAAGACTGGGCCCGGAATAAAGACAGCACCTGACTTTTATACACACTTCAGAAAAGGGGGTGGGCTAGCTTGAAGCAAGGTTACAGTGGCATGAAATCAGGGATACAGAGGCAGGACAAAGACAGGATTGCACATGACTGTTGCCAAGCAACCCAGATGTCTGTTATCTAGGTTTGTCAGGGCACAGGCTTATCCTATAACCTTCACTATGGTGCTCAGGCAGCTGTAGTTCAGGCCTACTCAGGCTTCTTGTGACCTTCGTTGTACTTCTTAGATAAAACAGAATACTTGAAGTCATTAGTTACAGAGAACAAGAATCTATAAACTCATTCCATAAAACAAAGGAAAATTTGTTTTTCTTCTCCCAATGTTGAGGGAGTGCTGGGAGAATCTCCAGAGCACATTAGATAATATTATCAAGACTTTTCCTGGGTCTGGGCTGTGCCCGTTGCTGCACAAGTCAGCCTAATATAGGAAAACTTATTTCTCTTTCTTCTAAATTTTATTTTTCGTTCATTTTCCGCCTCAGAACCTGGCAGGTGGAGGTTGCAGTGAGCCGAGATTGAACCACTGTACTTCAGCTTGGGCAACAGACCAAGTCTTCGTCCCCCTCAATATTTGAATTGTTCTAGTTTTTTTGAGACGGAGTCTTGCTTTTCCTTTTTTCATGCTTTTTTCTTTTCTTTTCCTTTCTTTTGAGACAGAGTCTCACTCTGTCACCCAGGCTGGAGTGCAGTGGCGGGATCTCACTGCCACCCGAGTTCCAGTGATTCCCCTGCCTCAGCCTCCTGAGTAGCTGGGATTACAGGTGCCCAGTGCCATGCCCAGCTAATTTTTGTATTTTTAGTACAGACGGGGTTTCACCATGTTGGCCAGGCTGATAGTGAACTCCTGACCTCAGATGATCCACCTACCTCATCCTCCCAAAGTGCTGGGATTACAGGCGTGAACCACCACACCCAGCCTGTATTGTTCTATTTTAAAAGTAGAAGATCCAAGCCCAGTGTGCAGCCTGCCTCGAATTCACAGCAGCATGTTTCTATCATCGAAAGACGCCTAGAACCAAGCACAATCAGCAGTACTAGATACGGAGACAGGAGACAGGGCATGGCTTGAACACTGTTTCTCAAATTATGAGAAATGTTATGTCATTGAAAAAGAAAGTGATGGCCAGGTGCAGTGGCTCACACCTGTAATCCCAGCACTTTGGGAGGCAAGGTGGGCAGATCACAAGGTCAAGAGATTGAGACCATCCTAGCCAACATGGTGAAACCCTATCTCTACTAAAAATACAAAAATTAACTGGGCGTGGTGGTGCACACCTGTAGTCCCAGCTACCTGGGAGGCTGAGGTAGGTGGATCTCTAAATATCTCAGTGCTGGCTAGCCTCAGAAACTTGAGCCTTGCTTAGTCCATTTTCTGGAATGTTGTTTTCCAGATCCTTATGTGACTGACTTCTGCTTATTCTCTCAGGAGATCTTATCTCGAAGCATTAAGAGCAAGAACTCTGGAGCCAGCCTGTCTGGGCTCAAACCCCAGCTCTGTGTGCCTAAGTGGGTGGATAGTTGTGAAAATCAAATAAGCCAGTTCATGTAAAACCTTAGAATAATGCCTATTGCATGGTAAGCGTAAATAAGAGTTAACTATTATCATTCATTAATAATAATATGTCACCTCCTGTTAGAATCACATGAACCTGGGAGGTGGAGGTTGCGGTGAGCTGAGAACACGCCACTGCACTCCGGCCTTGGGGACAAAGAAAAAAAAATGATTGCCAGACGCAATGGCTCACACCTGTAATCCCAACATTTCGAGAGGTCAAAGTGGGTGGATCATTCGAGGCCAGGAATTCAAGACCAGCCTGGCCAAACTGGTGAAACCCTGTCTCTACTAAAAATACAAAAATTAGCCAGGCATAGTGACACATGCCTGTAATCCCAGCTACTCAGGAGGGTGACGCAGGAGAATCTCTTGAACCTGGGAGGCAGAGGTTGCAGTGAGGCGAGATCACACCACTGTACTTCAATTTGGGTGACAGACCAAGACTTTGTCTCCCCCACCAAAAAAAGGTGAGGCCGGGTGCAGTGGCTCACGCCTGTAATCCCAGCACTTTGGGAGGCTGAGGTGGGTGGATCACCTTAGATCGGGAGTTCAAGACCAGCCTGACCAACAAGGAGAAACCCCATCTCTACTAAAAATACAAAATTAGCTAGGCGTGGTGGCTCATGCCTGTAATCCCAGTTACTTGGGAGGCTGAAGCAGGAGAATCACTGTTGAACCTGGGAGGTGGAGGTTGCCGTAAGCCAAGATGGCACCACTGGACTCCAGCCTGGGTAACAAGAGCAAAATGCCATTTCAAAAAAAAAAAAAAAAAGTGAAACATAAGTGAAATTGAAAATTGGAAAACACTGGGTTAAACAATGTTAAACCAGTTCCTATAAGGTAGAACTCCTTAGAGACTTAAATATGCTAATGTACAATTGTAGGACATTGTAGGTCTTCAGGAGGGAGATAATGGATAACTCCTTGTGATCACAGCATCGTTTTTCGTACTGGTTGTAATGTTTGGAAGATAGTTTGGGGAAACACTGATATCAGAAATTTCTGAAGATAATAGTGTTTCTTAAAAGGGGCCCTGGTTAGTGTTGTGTGGTTAGAATAGGTTTTAGAATTTTATAGGAGCTGTCTGGGACCTACTGGCGGAGAGTGAACTTCACCACCCAACATTTGATGATTAAAAAAAGTGGGAGGCCAGGCACGGTGGCTCATGCCTATAATCCCAGCACTTTGGGAGGCTGAGGCGGGCGGATCACCTGAGGTCAGGAGTTTGAGACCAGCCTGACCAACATGGTGAAACCCTGTCTCTGCTAAAAATACAAAATTAGCTGGGCATGGTGGTGCCTGCCTGTAATCCCAGCTACTCAGGAGGCTGAGACAGGAGAATCACTTGAACCTGGGAGGTGGAGGTTGCAGTAAGGCAAGATCGTGCCATTGCACTCCAGCCTGGGCAACAAGAGTGAAACTCTTTCTCAAAAAAGAAAAAAGAAAAAAAAAAGTGGGAGATCAGCTGGGCGCGGTGGCTCACGCTTGTAATCCCAACACTTTGGGAGGCCGAGGTTGGCAAATCAGCGGAGGTCAGGAGTTCGACACCAGCCTGACCAACATGATGAAACCCTGTTTCTACTAAAAATACAGAAATTAGCTGGGCGTGGCTGTGGGCACCGGTAATCCCAGCTACATAGGAGGCTGAGACAGGAGAATCACTTGAACCTGGGAGGCGGAAGTTACAGTGAGCTGAGATCGCACCACTGCACTCCAGCCTGGGCGACAAGAGCAAGACTCCGTCTCAAAAAAAAAAAAAAAAGTGGGAGATTAAGAAAGTATAAAACTCAGCTACTTGGGAGGCTGAGGCAGGAAAATAGCTTGAATCCATGAGGTGGAGGTTGCAGTGAACCGAGATCATGCCACTGCACTCCAGCCTGGGTGACAGAGAGAGGCTCTGCCTCAAAAAAAAAAAAAAAAAAAAAAAAAAGATAAGAAAAAAGTATGAAAAAAGGAAAAACCTCAAAACCTACTTCCTTGTTGCACTGAGGAAACTAAGTACTTATTGTCAGACTAAGGAAACTAAGTGCTCATATACTAAATAATTATTGCTGCGCTAAGTACAAGATCCTTTCCCAGAACCCAACATGTATCTAAAGCTTCCATTTAGAGTTAGCTGGGCCTGATTAAAATAGAGTCATGGCTTGCCTGCTCAGATTCTTTGAAGAATGAATAAAGTGTAGCTAAAATGAAGTGTGTCGCGGTTCAGGAAGTCTCATGAGATAAAGTTTCTAGAGGCCCTATAGGAGTGATAGAGATTGAACCAGAGATTTGTGCAAAATGTCTACTCTATCCAGAAACACAGTCTGACTTCAGGGCTGTTATATTGCTGGCTCTTAAACATGGAGTGCTTGTGGACAATGCTGATGTTATGTGGGTGCCAGATTTAAGAATATCTAGAGAGGAGCTGAAATATACCTCCCTTTAAAACTACTCCTCTATTCTCCTGAAGCAACCATTGTTAACAGTGGCCCACCTGTCTTTGTGCTTAGGCATATTTTTTCCTATAGCATTTTTTCCTCTATTGGATATTGCCCCACGAAGTTCCTATCACCTTCATTCAGTTTACTTATTGCATTATCATCTTTTTTTTTTTTTTGAGATAGGTTCTCACTCCCATCACCTAGGCTGGAGTGCAGTGGCAAGATCACAGCTCATTGCAGCGTTAACCTCATTGCAGTGATCCTCCCGCCTTTTATTTCATTTTTTGTAGAGATGAGTTCTTACTATGTTGCCCAGGCTGATCTCAAACTACCAGGTTCAAGCGATCCTCCCACCTTGGGCTCCTAAAGTGCTGAGATTACACAGGTGTGAGCCACAGCACCCAGCCTATCATCTCATCTTGATTGGTAATTTTATTACAAAAAATAGCATATTAAGCACTACGCAAGTGTGTGGGGTTTTTGGTTTTGTTTTGTTTTTAGAGACAGGGTTTCATTCTGTTGCCCAGGCTGGAGTGCAGTGCAGTGGCATTACCTGGTAACTCACTGCAGCCCTGAATTCCTGGGCTCAAGCCATTCTGCTTGTTTCCCAAGTAGTTGCGACTTCAGGCATGAGCCACCTCACCTGGCCAAGTTTTTACATTGTTTTAAGTGCTTCACAGGTAATTATAACTAGTCTGAGACAGGTGTAATTAACCCAATTTTTATAGATGAGGAATTTGATGTACTGACAGGATTAGTTGCCCAACGTTACAAGCTAGTAAGCAGCCAGATTTGACTCAAGAAGTCTTGTATCCAGAGTCACACTAAACCATTAGACCACAACATTTTTACAGAGGACATGTCTTTTAAGTTGAATACATTTTTTATGTAAAATCCACTGAGCTGTTCTTTTTTTTTTTTTTTTTTTTTGAGATGAAGTCTCACTCTGTTGCCAAGGCTGGAGTGCAGTGGCGCCATATCAGCTCACTGCAATCTCCGCCTCCTGGGTTCAAGCAATTCTCCTGCCTCACCCTCCTGGGTAGCTGGGATTACAGGTGCGTGACACCACACCCAGCTAATTTTTTGTATTTTTAGTAGAGACGGGGTTTCGCCATGTTGGTCAGGCTGGTCTCGAACTCCTGGCCTCATGATCCGCACCCCGCCCCCCACCCCGTCCTCCCAAAGTGCTGGGATTACAGGCGTGAGCCTTTGCACCTGGCCGCTGTTCTCATTTTTATTTAACTGAGAGCTGACAAGAACTATTTTGGACTGGCATCAGGCCATAGACCAGGCCTCCAACACATATTTAAAGAGCCTTTCCCTGGCCAGGTGCAGTGGCTCACGCCTGTGATCCCAGCACTTCGGGAGGCCAAGGCGGGCAGATCGCCTGAAGTCAGGAGTTCAAGACTAGCCTGGCCAACATGGTGAAACTCCGTCTCTACTAAAAATACAAAAATTAGCTGGGTGTGGTGACCACTCTTGTAATCCCAGCTACTCAGGAGGCTGAGGCCCAAGAATCGCTTGAACCTGGGAGGCAGAGGTTGCAGTGAGCCAAGATTGTGCCACTGCAGTCTGGCTTAGGCTACAGAGCAAGACTCTGTCTCAAAATTGCTCAGATTCATTTGTGTGCAGAGTGAATTTGCTGAGATCCATGAATTACTTAGAGGGGGATCTCTATGGAAAATAAAATATTCCAAAAGAGAACTAAAGAGCAACAGCTGAATCTTCTTCTGAAGGATTCACCAGACTACAGACCTATGAGCCTATATTGTCAGACAGTGACACTTTGGGAGAAATGACAGCACAATATTTTAAGCCCTATTGCCCCAGATAATAGTTTTTAGGTATTCAGTGAAACGTTTTAATTTTCCAGGTTTGAAGAGCTAGGTTTTTAGTGACAAGATCTTGCTGTGCTAGGCTGGCCTGGAACTCCTGGACTCAAGCAATCCTTCCACCTCAGCTTCCCAAGTAGCTAGGACTACAGGTATATGCCACCATGCCCATTTTAATTTTTTTTTTTTTGTAAAGAGCCCATTGCCCAGTCTGGCCTCAAGCTCTAGCCTCAAGTGATCCACCCACCTCCACCTCCCAAAGTGCTGGGATTATAGGCATAAGCCACCACGCCTGGCCACGTTTACTGGTTTATTATAAAGATATTACAAAGGACTCAGATGAAGAGATGCATAGGACAAGGTATGGGGGAAGGGGTGCAAAGCTTTAATGCCTTACTTGGGTGTGCCATCCTCCAGGAACCTCCATGTGTTCAGATATCCAAACTCAGTCCTCTTGGTTTTCTAAGGAGGCTTCACGATGACAGCATTCCTTTCCCCAGGGTACAGGACAGAACCCTCTCTGAAATGGGGGTCTCAGGACTCAGAAAGGTAGGGGAAGATTATGAGTCCTGTCTTAGGGAAGGTAAAAGGGCAGAAGTTAAGTGAGTTTCCTGTGGCCTAACACACCCAACATGACTATAACAAGGGCTATAGAAGTTATGAACCAGGAACTGTGGGCAAAGATCCGTAAAACCAGAGTGACTAAGGCAGATTACCTAAAATTATGTGTGAAACCATTCTCAGGTACACTATGAATATCAAAGGCTTATTTCTAGATATGCTATTCCCGCATTTGTGTAATATACCCATGGGTACTTCTTGCATGCTAAACCACCAACTAGAGATTAACTGGCCAGTGATTTAAAGTCCTTACCCTAAGTATGCACTTACCACGCCAGTTTTAGTACCAGAAAACATTATTTCCCTACTATAAACCTGAAAAAAAAAATTAAACAGGGCTCCCCACACTACTCCCAATTTTGTGCCAAGATGAGAATCACATTTACTGAAGTTGTATTACAGAAGATAGTGAAGCAGGAAGATTTGAGAACTTCCTTAGTACACCCTTACTCCCTCAAATATTTTCTATTAGCACTGCGCATGTATTACTGCCTAATGTCCATTGGGATAGAAGCCTAAAAACTGCTTATGTTGCCAGACTTAGACAAGGATAAGCATTTTTACCAAATACAGATAAAATCTCATTTGTTGCTGCAGTCTTTCACAATAAAGTTAAGCTGTTAGACATTAAGAAACAACAGCGTGGCCCGGAGTGGTGGCTCATGCCTGTAATCCCAGCACTTTGGGAGGCCAAGGTGGGTGGATCACTTGAGGCCAGGACTTTTGAGACCAGCTTGGTCAATATGGTAAAACCCCATCTCTACTGAAAATACAAAAATTAGCTGGTGGGCCCCTGTAGTCCCAGCTACGTGGGGGGCTGAGGCAGGAGACTTGCTTCAACCTGGGAGGCGGAGTTTGCAGTGAGCTGAGATCGCACCACTGCATTCCAGCCTGGGGCAAAAGAGTGAGACTCTGTCTCAAAAAAAACAAAAACAAAAACAAAAACCAACTGTGTGAGGAACCACTTTAATTTGCCACCTAACTCATCAAGACCAGGAAGATTGTCTTAGATCAGGATACAGTTTTAAACATTAAGTACCTGCAAGCCATCTTTCTCCTCAGCCAGTAGTCTTCCATACTCAGTAATTAGCTGCTTCTTGGCTCATCATTTAAAACATATACAGCAAACAGACAAGATTACGGTCCCATACTACCACCCAGGTTAAACACTTCGGTGTTACTACACTACAGAGCAATAAACACACAGCTCATAGTCACCCAATAATTGCAGAATTGAAAGCAGTTACGTTACCACTATTCAGGCAGCCTCAATCAAAACTATTTCTCCAGCAATCTTTGATTAGGCCTAGGCAGGCATATTTGTAAAGAAAATCCCTGCAGTCACTTGAGCCCAAGAATGATACGGTGAGCTGTCATTGTGCCACTGTATACCAGTCTGGACTACAGAGCAAGACCATCTTTAAAAAAGCCTGCATATCCAACTTTTTGAGATGGAGTCTTGCTCTGTCACCAGGCTGGGGTGCAGTGGCACCATCTCAGCTCATTGCAACCTCTGCCTCCCAGGTTCAACTGATTCTCCTGCCTCAGCCTCCTGAGTAGCTGGGACTACAGGCAGGCGACATCACATCCAGCTAATTTTTTTTAGTAGAGAGAGGATTTCACTATGTTGGCCAGGAGGGTCTTGATCTCTTGACCTCGTGATCCGCCCACCTCGGACTCCCAACAGACTTTAAATTCGAGCTTCAGAAAGTTTGCCATTAGTCCAGGATCCTAACTTGTAATGACTTACAGCAAAGAAGGCTCTTACCCCTCAGCCCACCCAAGTGTATACCAGAGTCAAGTGACTTAACTTTGGGCACATTACCAATCTCAAAATTAAATCCCTCCCTAGACATTTTCACCAGTTTTAAGTGTACCCACACATCACTAGAGAATATCATGACAAAACACCAAGTATGCTACCATTCAACGAAACCTTTATTAACATTTTGAACAGGTTCAGCTATTACTGAAACTTGTAATTTCTAAACCTAAGTTGGGGCAAATGGCTATAGTGCAGAGTAATGCCATCAGTGGGCACTGCTAATGCAAGACTGAAGAATTAACAGCCACCCCTCAGGCGCAGGACCAGGTGCAGGGTCGACTCTTTCTGGATGCTGTAGTCAGAAAGAGTGCGGCCATCTTCCAACTTCTTGCCTGCAAAGATGAGCCTCTGCTGATCGGGGGGGATGCCTTCTTCATCCTGGATCTTGGCTTTCACATTTTCGATGGTGTCACTGGGCTCCACCTCCAGGGTGATGGTCTTTCCAGTCAGGGTCTTCACGAAGATCTTCATACCACCTCTCAGACGCAGGACCAGGTGCAGGGTCGACTCCTTCTGGATGTTGTAGTCAGAAAGAGTACCGCCATCTTCCAGCTGCTTGCCTGCAAAGATGAGCCTCTGCTGATCGGGGGGATGCCTTCTTTATCTTGGATCTTGGCCTTCACATTTTCGATGGTGTCACTGGGCTCCACTTCCAGGGTGATGGTCTTGCCGGTCAGGGTCTTCACGAAGATCTGCATACCACCTCTCAGACGCAGGACCAGATGCAGGGTCGACTCTTTCTGGATGTTGTAGTCAGAAAGACTGCGGCCATCTTCCAGCTGCTTGCCTGCAAAGATGAGCCTCTGCTGGTCGGGGGGGATGCCTTCTTTATCTTGGATCTTGGCCTTCACATTTTCGATGGTGTCACTGGGCTCCACTTCCAGGGTGATGGTCTTGCCGGTCAGGGTCTTCACGAAGATCTGCATACCACCTCTCCGACGCAGGACCAGATGCAGGGTCGACTCTTTCTGGATGTTGTAGTCAGAAAGACTGCGGCCATCTTCCCGCTGCTTGCCTGCAAAGATGAGCCTCTGCTGGTCACAGGGATTGCCTTCTTTATCTTGGATTTTGGCTTTGACATTTTCGATAGTGGCACTGGGCTCCACTTCAAGGGTGATGATCTTGCCGGTAAGGGTTTTCACGAAGATCCGCATTTTGACCTAGATTAAAAGTAAAACATAAGCGTGTCATCTCAGGATCATTGTATTTCTTGCTTTTACATCTAATATGCTTCAAAGTTAGCAACTACTCCTTCAAAATGCCTTAAACATGGTAACATTCCGCAAACCTCCCCTGATTTTTATGAGGCTAAGTCACTTAATACAAAATTCGTCACTCAAGGTTTCAATGTCAACAGTGGAGAATCCAGAGCGCTCTCTAACCAAGCGTCCACAACTTTCTCCACTACCTGTTCTGGATATTCAAACTCCCCTGACCGAACTCCAACCTGCCTCAAACCTAAGCACGGTGTTAGGTAAACTGAAAACAAAACCGAACCCACAAGACTCGCGAAGTAAAAATCCCATTGAAACACAAGAAGGGACACCATTCTCATACTGGGATTCCAAATTTAGGGTTTCCAGAAGCCACACAAACTACCTCTTTTCCGCCTTCCTCCCAAGTAAACGCGACGGAATCGCTGTTGGTTAATGTCTGTTAGTTTCTGTCGGCGCGTGCGCGTGCCAACTGCCCTCGCCCCCCTTAGGTCAACAAGGCCCACTCTCCCAGAAAGGCCGGGTGTCGCGTCACCTCGCCCTCCCCTCCCCTCAGCGGCCCACCCAACCCCAAGAAGCCTCCAGCTTGACCTCACCCATTCCCCCCTCTCACGCCCCCGCAGGTCTTTACGGCTGTGGGCCAGTACCTGTTAGCGGATACGAGGATGCTGCGAATCACGTCCAGCCACAGGAACACCACAACAACCTCACCCAACAAAGCCAGTCGTGCCTGAATGCTCTGGTTTGGCAGAGCGCAAATTTGTGCAAGGTGTGTTGCGTTATCACTTCTTACATAGACACCGTCTCCGTGCGCCACTGAAAGTAGTTCGCCGCGCCCAACATCCCCAGACGCAGTTCAGGCTTTTCAACTGAGCCCCAAATTCCCATAGCGTAAGAAAGGATCCTAACAAATTATGTCCCTTCTCCTCTATGCACTTCTCTTCTTTAGGAAAATATAAGAAAATTATTGGGCGGATGAATTCGAGTTAAAGAAACCTTCCTCGAAAGCTCTGGAAACTTTCTTGCAGCACCAGCACTGATTGGTTAGGCCTGCGAAGGCGAGGTCGGCGCTGATTGGTGGGGGATGCGGTGGCTCTGTTGTTCCTGGGCTCCGCCTTGGGTGGTTTAGCCCAGACTTTGCTAAGTAACTGAGTGTGCGTATGCGGCACAGGCGCGCCTTCCTGAAAGAGGGTATTTCCGGCTAGAAAAAGAGGGGTTTTTTTTCCTTTAAAAAAAATTTTTTTTTTCCTGAGACGGAATTTCGCTCGTTTCCCAGGCTGGAGTGCAATGGCACGATCTCGGCTCACCACAACCTCGCCTCTGGGGTTCAAGCGATTCTCCTGCCTCAGCCTCCCAAGTAGATGGATGGCATTACTGGCATGCGCCACCACGTCTGGCTAATTTTTTGTGTTTTTAGTAGAGACCAGGTTTCACCATTTTGGTCAGGCTGGTCTCGAACTCCTGACCTCAGGTAATCCACCCGCCTCGGCCTCCCAAAGTGCTCCGTCGTGCCTCAGAAGCGGGATGGAGTGGCACCCGATGTTGCAACAGCTGGTGGTGATTCTGAAGCACAATTCCCTCTCCCATGTTTTAAAAAACACGCACCCCTTGTCGGGCACAGGGGCTCAAGCCTGTAATCCCAGCACTTTGGGAGGCCGAGGCGGGTGAATCACGAGGTCAGGGGTTCAAGACCAGCATGGCCAAGATGGTGAAACCCCGTCTCTACTAAAAATACAATAAAGTTAGCTGGGTGTGGTGGCAGGCACCTGTAGTCCTGGGGAGGCTGAGGCAGGAGAATGGCGTGAACCCAGGAGGCGGAGCTTGCAGTGAGCTGAGATTGCGCCACTGCACTCTAGCCTGGGCAACAAGAGCAAAACTCCGTCTCAATAAATCATTCAATCAATCAATAAATAAAGGAAGCAAGATTTAAGGAGACAGGAGAAGTAACTGTGAACAGAGGTACGCACACATGCGAAAGCCAGGCTGAAGCTGCATGTGGTGGTGCACACCTGTAGTTGCAGCTACTTAGGAAGCTGAGGACCACATGAGCCCAGGAGTTTTGAGACTGCAGTGAGCTATGGTGGTGTCATGCATTCCACCCTGGGAGACACAGCGAGACCCCCATGTCAAAAAAAAAAAAAAAATTGGCTGAATTGGAGGCTTTTAATGGGAAGAAGTAATGAAGAGATCAGAAAGGTATGTTGAGGATAGAATGGACGGTCTTGGATATTAGGCTCAGGAATTTGGCCTTTATTTTGTAGGCATTGGGAAGCTGTGACCACCTCTGAACAGGATGAATAAAGCCCGGCCTGATATAGTCTTTTGATTGGTTGCCATCTCCCTCTCTTCTTAACTTCACATTGCTCCATATTACTATCATATTAACTTTCTTCAAACATTCCTGCCATTACCAAATACTGAGTACAAATAATGGCAAATGCTTAATAAATATTTGCCCTTTGCTTTAGGAAAATTAATCATGAAATGATTTGTGAGGTAGACTAGACAAGGAAAAAGAACAGGGAGAAGAAATAAAGATCTCAGAACAAAGGTCTCTGAGAAAAAAAAAAAAAAAAAAACATTGGGAAAAAAAGGCCGAGTGTGGTGGCTTACACCTGTAATCCCAGCACTCTGGGAGGCCAGGACGGGTGGATCACCTGAGGTCAGGAGTTCAAGACCAGCCTGGCCAATATGGTGAAACCCCGTCTCTACTAAAAACACAAAAATTAGCTGGGCGTGGTGTCGGGCACCTGTAATCCCAGCTACTTGGGAGGCTGAGGCAGGAGAATGGCTTGAGCCCAGGAGGCAGAGGTTGCAGTAAGCTGAGATGACACCATTGCACTCCAGCCTGGAAGACAGAGTGGGACTCTGTCTCAAAAATGAAAAACAAACAAACAAAAGAAATATAGATGGCCAGGCCAGGCAAGGGGGCTCACACCTGTAATACAGCACTATGGGAGGCTGAGGCAGGAGGATTGCTTGAGTCCAGGAGTTCAAGACCAGCCTGGGCAATATGTTGAGACCCCCCCCCCCATCTCTAGAGGAAATAATAAAATACAACAAAAATGGCAGTTTCTCAGTTTGCTGTGCTGGGGTTCTCTGTGGCCATTGCTTCTTCAGAATCACTGATGGCCAGGTTCACTCCTCAAGACTGGAAGGAGCGCCCACAAGGATGGGATTTTCAAGGCCAGAACTCCAGGTATTTTTAATTTTTTTTTAAATTTTAAAATTGTACAGGGGCCAAGCACAGTGGCTCACACCTGTAATTCCAGTACTTTGGGAGAACATGGCAAAACCCTGTCTCTACTAAAAATACAAAAAATCAGGCCACGCGCGGTAGCTCACACCTGTAATCCCGGCACTTTGGGAGGCCAAGGCAGGTGGATCACCTGAGGTCAGGAGTCTGAGACCAGCCTGGCCAACATGGCGAAACCCCGTCTCTACTAAAAATACAAACATTAGCCAGGCATGGTGGCATACACTTTTCATCCCAGCTACTAAGGAGGCTGAGGCAAGAGAATTGCTTGAACCTGGGAAGTGGTGGTTGCAGTAAGTCAAGATTGTGTGCCATTGCAATCCAGCCTGGGTGACAGCAAGACTCCTTCTCAAAAAATAAATAAATTAAATAAATAAATAAATAAATAAATAAATAAATAAATAAATAAATTAGCTGGGTGTGTTGTTGCTCACCTGTAGTCCCAGTTACTCAGGAGGCTGAGGTGGCAGGATCACCTGAGCCAGGGAAGTTGAGGCTGCAGTGAGCTGTGATTGCACCATTGCACTACAGCCTGGGCGACAGAGCGAGACTCCATCTTAAAAAAAAAATTTTTTTAGAGATATGTGATCACAGCTCACTGTAATCTTGAACTCCTTACTTCAAGCAATCCTACCACCGCCTACAGGTATGTACCACCACACCTGGCTAATTTTTAAAAATTTTTTGTAGAGATGGGGTCATGCTCTGTTGCCCAGGCTGGTCTCAAACTCCTGGCCTCAAGTGAGCCTCCTGCCTTGGCCTCCCTAAGTGCTGGAATTATAGGTGGGAGCCACTGCACCCGGTTGCATTTTTTTATTTAACTACATCTTGATCTTTTCATATCAATATACATATCCTCATTATTAACTGTTATGTAGAATAGCATAGTGTGGGCATAGTTTATTTAGCTATTCTTTTTTTCATGGAAATGATGATTGTTTCCAGTTTTTTTGCTATTACCAAGAGTGTTGACAGTGAACATTCTTGTACATACCTCTTTAAACATACATATGTGTATTATTTGAGAATAGAGAAGTGGGGTTGCTGAGCTGAAACATATGCATTTTTTTTTTGAGATGGAGTTTCGCTCTTGTTGCCCAGGCTGGAGTGCAATGGCATGACTTGGCTCACTGAAACCTCTGCCTCCCTAGTTCAACCAATGATTCTCCAGCCTCAGCCTCCCAAGTAGCTGGGATTACAGGCACCCGCCACCACGCCCAGCTAATTTTTTTGTATTTTTGGTAGAGACAGGGTTTCACTATGTTGGCCAGGCTGTTCTCCAACTCCTGAACTCATGATCCACCCACCTCGGCCTCTCAAAGTGCTGGGATTACAGGCGTGAGCCACCACGCCTGGCCGAGTTTTAATTTTTGATGGAGTCAAATTTATTAGTCTTTTTTTTTTTTTTGTCTTAATGGCTCTCTGATTTGGGTTTTCTGGGTTTTTTTTCTTTTCTTTTTTTTTTTTTTTGAGATGGAGTCTGGCTCTGATGCCCAGGCTGGAGTGCAATGGCATGCTCTCGGCTCATTGCAACCTCCACCTCCCGGGTTCAAGCCATTCTCCTGCCTCAGCCTCCTGAGTAGCTGGGATTAAAGGCGTGGCCACCATGCCGGGCTAATTTTTGTATTTTAGTAGAGACAGGTTTTCACCATGTTGGCCAGGCTGGTCTTAAATTCCTGACCTCAGGTGATCCATCAGCCTCAGGCCTCCCAAAGTGCTGGGATTACAGGTGTGAGCCACCGCATCTGGCTGTGATTTATTTCTTGTTCAAGAATATCTTTCTGGGACTAGGTGTGGTGGCTCACACCTGTAATCCCAGCACTTTGGGATGCCACATGAGGAAGGCCACTTGAGGCCAGGAGTTTGAGACCAAACTGGGCAATACAGGGAGACCTCATATTTGCAAAAACATTTTAAAAATTAGCTTAGCAGGGCCGGGCGCAGTTGCTTATACCTGTAATCCCAGCACTTTGGGAGGCCGAGGCAGGCGGATCACGAAGTCAGGAGATTGAGACCATCCTAGCCAACATGGTGAAAGCCTGTCTCTACTAAAAATACAAAAAAATTAGCCGAGTTGTGGCAGGCTTCTGTAGTCCCAGCTACTCGGGAAGCTGAGGCAGGAGAATGGCGTGAACCCAGGAAGCGGAGCTTGCAGTGAGCTGAGATCCTGCCACCGCACTCCAGCCCAGACAACACAGCGAGACTCCGCCTCAGGAAAAAAAAAAAAAAAATTAGCTTAGCAGTGCAATGGCTCACGCCTGTAATCCCAGCACTTTGGGAAGCTGAGGCAGGTGGATCACCTGAGGTCGAGAGTTCGAGACCAGCCTGACCGACACGGAGAAACCCTGTCTCTACTAAAAATACAAAATTAGCCGGGCATGGTGGCACATGCCTGTAATCTCAGCTACTCGGAAGACCGAGGCAGAAGAATCGCTTGAACCCGGGAGGCAGAGGGTGCAGTGAGCCCAGATTGCACCATTGCACTCCAGACTAGGCAACAAGAGCGAAACTCCGTCTCAAAAAAAAAATTAATTAATTTTAAAAATAAATAAAAAATTAGCTTAGCATGGCACATGCCTGAGTCCTAGCTATGCAGGAGGCTGAGGTGGGATGATAGCTTGAGCCAAGGAATTCAAGGCTGCAGTGAGCTGTGATCAAGCCACTGGACTTCAGCCTAGGAGACAGAGCAAGACGCTGTCTCAAAAAAAAAAAAAATTCTTCCTTACCCAAGCTTATAAACATATTTACTTGTATTTTCTTCTACTACTTTTACAGACTTTTGTTTGTTTATTGGTTTTGTTTGTTTGTTTGTTTAAGATGGAGTCTCGCTCTGTTGTCCAGTCTAGAGTTCAGTGGTGCAATCTCAGCTCACTGTAACCTCCACCTGCTGGATTCAAGCAATTCTCCTGCCTCAGCCTCCTAAGTAGGTGGGACTACAGGCACATGCCACCATGACTGGCTAATTTTTTATATTTTTAGTAGAGACGGGGTTTCAGCATGCTGGCCAGGCTGGTCTCAAACTCCTGACCTTGTGATCCACCCACTTCAGCCTCCCAAAGTCCTGGGATTACAGGCGTGAGCCACCACACCCATATGTGTTTTTTAACCATATAGTTCTTTGATCTACAAAGAGATTTCCCCAACCTTGCTAGAGAGGTTGACATTCAAATTCAGGCAATTCAGAGAACTCCTGTGAGACAGTGGAAAAGACAACCATCCCCAAAACGCATAATCATCAGATTCATCAAGGTCAGTGTGAACGAAAAAAATATTAAAGCAGCTACAGAAAAGGGTTAGGTCACTTACAAAGGGAACCCCATCAGACTACAGCAGACCTTTCAGCAGAAACTCTGCCACCCAGAAGAGATTGGGAATCTATATTTAGCATTTGTAAAGAAAAAAATCCAACCAAGAGTTTCAGATCCTGCCAAACTAAGCTTCAAAAGTGAAGCGGAAATAAAATCCTTTTCGGATTTGCAAATGCCAAGGGAATTCATTACCACCAGACCAGCCTTGCAAGACGTCCTTAAGAAACCCATTATATCAACCACACTCCCAAACCACATCGCAATAAAATAGAAATTTATACCAAGAATCTCTTTCAAAACCATATAATTACATGCTAATTAAACAACCTGCTCCTGAACGACTTTGGGGAAAATTTAAATTAAGGCAGAAATGAAAAAAAATATTTGAAACAAATGAAAACAAAGATGCAACATACCAAAATCTTTGGGACACAGCTAAGCCATGTTAATTTGGAAGGTTATAGTGGAAAACACCCATGTGAAAAAGTTAGAGATCTGAAATTGACATCCTAAAATCACACCTAGGGAGACGAAAATAACCAGTAGCATATTAAAAAGCTAATCCAGCAGCTTTATTCCTGGAATGCTAGGTTGTTGCAATATATAAAAATTAATAAATGAGATTTATTATAGAAATAAAAATAAAAACCACATGATTATCTCAAAAGACATAAAAAGGACTTTTGATAAAATTCAAAAACACTTAATATTAAATACCCTCAAAAAACTAGGCATTAAAGGAACATATCTCAAAATAATAAGAGCTATCTATGGCAAATCCACAGCCAACCCCATACAGAATGGGCAAAAACTGGAAACACTCCTCCTGAGAACTGGAATAAGACAAGGATGTCCACTCTAACCACTCCTATTCAATATAGTACTAGAAATTCTAAACACAGCAATCAGGCAAGAGCAAGAAATAAAAGATATCCAAATAGGAAAAGAAGAATTCAAACTCTCTTTGCTAATGACATGATTCTATTGCAAAATGCTAAAGAGTCTACCAAAAGGCTCCTAGAATTGATAATCAATATAAGTAAAGTTTCAGGATACAAAATCGATGTGTAAAAATAAGTAGCATTTCCATACACCAACAACATCTATGCTAAGAGTTAAGAGTGAAATCAAGAACACAATTCCACTTACAATGGACTCAAAGAAAATGAAATACCTAGGAATACAGCTAACCAAGGAGGTGAAAGATCTCTACAAGGAGAACTACGAAACGCTGCTGAAAGAAATCAGAGGTAACACAAATAAATAGAAAAAACATTCCATGCTCATTGATTGGAAGAATCAATATCATAAAAATGGCCACGGTGCCTAAAGCAATTTGCATTGCTATTCCTATCAAACTACCAATGTCATTATACACGGAATTAGAAAAAAATGATTTTAAAATTCATAAGGCACTAGAAAAGAGCCCAAATAACCAAAACAATGCTAAGCCAAAAGAACAAAGCCAGAAGCATCACATTACTCGACATTACATCATATTATAAAGCCACGGTAACCAAAATAGCTTGATGTTGCTACAAAAATAGACACACAAACGAATGGAACAGAATAGAAAAATCAGAAATAAAGCCACACACCTATAACCATCTGATCTTCAACGAGGCTAACAAAAACAAGCAATGGGGAAAGGACTCCCTTTTCAATAAATGATGCTGAGGTAACTGGAATTCAATCGCACACATGTTATAAAGGAGTTTAAAGAGTTACTGAAAATATGTAATAATATAAATAAATTGCTCTCTATTTTTGAAGAGCTAAATCAGGTAATTTTAGTAAATATGAATTTCCAGTTTGAAGACATTGTTTTAAACACAAACATTTGCATCTGTTTCTTCTGAGAGTTAGAAGGGGAAATAATAGCAAAAGTATTTTAAGCAAAGAAAAACCAGCATAATGGTAACTGTCAATTGGCCTTAACAAGTAAAATCCTAAAGAGGCAGTATGGACAGCTGAGCAGCAAAGTGACGTGCACTGTGGAACATTTGCAGGGTTCAGTAATTGGCAACATGAGGTAGGTTAGGAGAAAGGGTGAAAATTGGAAGATTGCTTGAAAGTTGGATTTTCTACTTCAGGCAATCAGAAGAGGCTGTCTTTCATTATCTTAGAAAATTGAAATTTATTACCCATCGAGGTAGAAAAAGTATCTGGACCACAGTGCTTCTGGCCACAGTTCTACCACAATTGAGAGGAAGAATACCACACAAATAGGAAGTAGGGGCAGCTAAAGAGTGAAAGATTTATATTTTCAGAAACCTGATTATTCCCTCAAAAATGACCTGATACATTGGCTCTGGGTATTTTCCAGTAATATTGTCTTGCTAGGTCACCACATGTGCAATCCACAAACAGCATGCATGTGTACAAATTCTCAAATAAGATTTAATGACTCCATCTTAAACATGAGTCAAGATCACAGATACGAAAGGAATGTTCTAATATTAAACAGACAAACTTAAAGAAAGCAACTTGGAAAAAACAGAGACTGTGAAGATAGGTAACTAAAAATAAAATAGAAACAGAAAAAAGCAAAAACTTTCATTACCATTTCAGAGATAAAAGAAATGCTATCATGTCTGTGAAACAAGATTATGGTACTTCATAAATACTCAGAGAACAAAAGAATTTTTTAAATTAAATATATGAGCAGAGAATTGAAATTTAGTAGAAAGACTGAAAGATATTATTGTGACACTCTAAGAACAAAAGTGAAACTTAAAATTGCAAACCAGACCAGAACTTTTGTAGACCATATATATGTATGTAATATAGACAAATTATACATGATAAATATATGTATATTGATATATGCTTATATATAACTATATATAAAATTTGTCTGTTAAAGTGTAAAGAAAAGCACAATAATACTATACTTAATTTTAGCAACCAGTGATTCATGAATAAGGCTGCTGTAAACCAAAAGTGGCTGTGCTGAAGGAATGCCAGGGGAAGGCTTTTATACAGAGAACATGGAAGTAAAGTAATGACAATTTTTGAGTCATTAAAGTCAAATATATTAACATTATTATCAATCCAAAAATAGACCAATAAAGCCTTATTTGGTCTATCCTGCTGCAACATTCATAATAACTATAATTAATTGATGGCTTTTGATTGGTTAGCCTTAAATGTTAGTTTTCTTTAATATGGGTATATAAGAGAGATAGCTCAAGTTAAATTATGTTTACAAACCAAGCAAGATTAATATAATATCACTAATGAGGCCTTAATGGGTTTGTCTACTCAGGGGTTCTCCAGTTCTGGTCTCCATTTTACTTTATGCTAACTACATATATGTACACATACATGCACACACGCACACATGTATATACATGTTATACCTATATGTATATGTATACATATACATTGTATAACATAAACATATATATGTATATATAGATACGTTATATACCATAATTTTAATATACATTAATAAAATACCCCTGATGTATATTATATAGAATATAATAATGTAATGCATAATATATATGCATTGATAACATTAATATATATTTTAATATATTATTGAATATATAGTTAATATACCGTAAATTTAATTTAATAATGTAATACTTAAAAAGAACACAGATATAATAGAGAGTAGACAATCATTGAACAAATAATTTAAATTTCTAAGTTGCAAGGCCCCATTGAGAGACAAAAAATGGATGAAAATAGATCCATTCTGGGGCAAATAAGCCTGAAATTTAAGATTACTTGGGAAAAAGAGAATATCCTAGGTGAATTCAAAGCGGAAAAGCTAATATAGTAATGATAAAAAGTTAAATTGACACTGGATTTCTCAACAGCATCTCTGAAGCTGAGAGAGAATGATGCAATGACTTTAACTTCTGAAGCAAATTTGATTTCCAAACTTAAATTATGTCCCATGCTAACAATTATTTGAAAGTTAAGTGTAGATTTCAGATGTACAAGGTCTCAGAAATCTTAACTCCTATGGACTTTAGGAAACTACAGTAGAGCATATAACAAAACAAAGGAGATACCAAGAAAGGAAATAATATGCAATTCTGAACAAAAGGTGATCCAGCACCAAAGTAGGGAATGGATGGAAGCCACGTGACACTGTCAAGATCCTCCTTCAGTACAGGATTATGTGTTACTCCCAGTGCTGGGAGGGCCACCTGCAAACAGCCCTGAGCTGCCAGCCTTTTGAGAGTGCCTTAGCTGAAGGGAGGAGCTGGCCACTCACCGTACCTTGGGATAGCTGTGTACTTTTGTTTATAATCCCTATATTTCTAAATGTCATGCTTATACTCTCATTGCTCCTTGGTTTTTCTGTTTTTGTCATTAAAACAGAGCTAGGGTTGGCTACTGTGTTTTGTTTTTGTAATAGATAAATTTTGTAGATTATTTGATTCTTCAAAATGTATGTATGTTTAAAAATCAAGCTTACAATGTAATGCATTATCGTGATCAAATTGGAGTCACTGGGATATATATCACCTCACACATTTATAATTTATTTTTATTAGAAAAATTCCCATTTCGTTCTTTTAGTTATTTTGAAATATACAATAAACTATTATTAACTATAGTCACCCTATTGTGCCAGAACACTAGGTTGTATTGATTCTATCTAACTTTATTTTTTACCCATTAACCAATGTCTCCTCATCTTCTCCTCCCCACAACCCTTCCAGCCTCTGGAAACCACTATTCTATTCTTTATTCAAGATTTTAACCTTCTTAGCTTTCACATGTAAGTGAGACCATGCAATATTATAAAGTTAAAATAAAAAATTAAATAACTTATATCAAACAGGTATAAAAATGGTGACCTAAATGAAATAAGTCATGAGGTAAAAGGCATTTTCATCCCTTTTGCATTACTAAAAAGGGTGGCTATTCTAAACATCACTAAGAGTAAAGACATTTCCTGATATAAAGATGTTTCCAGAGTTTACTAAGTAGAAAAAAATTTATTGCTTCATACCTGCTTTACATATTTACAGTTTTCATAATCATTAATCTGATATATAAGAAATGAGTTACTTGCCTAAAAAAACTGTAGACAGTTTTGTTGAAACAGCAGCATAGCATATTATTTGTAGCAACTCTACAATATGGTAATAATTTTATTATTCCTTTACTCTTCTTGATGATATAAAACACTTTTTGGTGAGTATATGCTCCTCTAGAAAATCAAACACATATAACTATACAATTATGATAATAGTTTCAGAGACTAAACTTTTTATTATAGATGAAGAAAAACTCCTTAAATTATAAAGCTAGGTAACTGACAAATGTTTTACAGACTAAATAAAATACCTTTGAAGAATTTATTTAGTTCAGTAATAAATTTACAATCCACTATTTAAGTATTAGAATTGTTGAAGTATTTAAATATTTACTACTGGGAAGTCACTCACTTTCATTTTTGAAGTATAAAATTCATTACAAATATAATATACAGCTTGCATTTTCCAAATTCTATTTTGTTTTAAAAACATAAAAAAAAGCCAACTGATCAGATAAAAACCTTACAGATATTTCCAAGATGAACTACCACAATGCTTTGCTTTCTTCTGCTTGTAATGACAAGTTGAGTTAACTTGAGCGAGGTCTTTTGTGTGCGTGGGTTAAGGGCACATTCCTAAAAAAGTCTATAAAAAGTATCAAAAAGTACCAAATCCAGTTGTATAAGAGTGTGTGTGTGTGTATGTGTGTGTGTGTGTTTGGATCCAAATATGAAATGCAAATTTTGTGATAACTCTTTTTGTACCATCTCTCCCTGACCCACTGTACTTCCTAAGTTCTTATGTAGCTTCTGCCCCCACCCAACACTATGTATCCCGAAAGATTTGTATACTGCCTGATGATATGTTCCATTTTTAATTATTTTATATGCAGTATCAATGTATTGGCCCATATTATATTCAAACTCTGAATTTATAAAAGTGAGAAAAACACACCCCTACTAGCGGGCAACTTTCATTGCAGTACTGTTCGGATGTTATTCTTTAACAAGCCAATGGATATCCTCGTTTTTTAATATTGGCTAACATAAATATGTTCTATAAATTACAATAATATATCTAAAATTTCAGGTGTCTGATGGCATATGATGGCATATATATGTATATATATGACTAGCAACGGATTAACTACTGGGAGTTTTCCTCACTACAGAAGTAGCCCACTCATTCTCAAGATACAGATGTTGAAAAGAAGATGAGTACAAAAGCTGATATTTTATAATTTTCCTATTGTAAAGCACACATTTATTTAATGTGTTTTTCCCTGAAGCTTTGTACTCATTTTTTTTTGCATGTAACTTGATCCAAACAGTTTACAAAAACAAATTAGTTGAGATTTTTATATATTGTCTGATTTAGAGCCATTAACCCATTTTAGTGTCTCAGGTTCACAATTTCTAAGACAAGGGTAAAAATAATCACACACTGAGTGATATTTAATGGCTAATAAAAGTACCATTTGAAAAGAGAATTAGTAGTATAACCTTTAAGCTCAGGCTCTCTTAGGCGTGATATATAGCCTTAGGAGAAATAGTTTGCAATTAATTGTGTAATTTCAAGTTTTGTCTTTTCATCACTGTGTTCCCTTTTCAGAGAGTCAGCTACGTAATTACAGACTCAGATGAACACAGATACTTGTGACAAGTAACTATAACCAATAAACTCCAGAAAACTGCTTTTATATCTTTTACTGATTTTTCTGTTTTGTCTTTCTCATTCCCCAAGAAAGGTGAGAGTAATTTATTTGTCCCATCAGAGTATTTTATGTCATTATTATTTCAGACTATCATGACAAGCAGGCTAGAGGTTGAGAATTAAGTTTGAATAAAGTTTGAAATGACATTATAATTTTAATTAATATATTTGATAAAAATATGACTTAAAATGTGTTCTCTTGAAATGAGCATTTTTCATAAAAGAATACAAGAACAACTCACATGTGTTTAAAATTCTATTAAAAGAGGAATAAACTTTTTTATTTGGTTATAATAAACATGCCAGATAATGTATTAATATGTAGTAATTTTAACCTTCCTAAGACTTCTAAATAATCTGAAATATTTGCATCAAAAGCATACAACTGTGGACAATGGTATCAAAACGATATAGAAAAGCAGAGCTGAGCACTTTCAAATTATAAATAAAATTTTCTTACAAATGGAAACACATTTGAAAAAAGATTATTATGACCACTGATCTCTCTATTAGTCAACATAATAAACCAAGACCGATCACTGTTTACTGTTCATTTAGACCAGGTTACATATATGACAAAGTTACTTGCCTATCTGAATATTAGGTACAAAGTTACAGTTAGACAGGAAGAATAACTTCTAGTGTTTTATCACACGGTAGGTGAAAATAGCTGACAATAATGCTTTGTATGTTTCAGGATAACTAGAAGAAATGATCTTGAATGCTATCATCACAAAGAATTGGTAAATGTTTAATGTTAAGGATAAGCTAATCACACTGATTTAATCATTATACAATGTATCCATTACTGAAACATGATACTTTAACTCATAAATATGTACAAACATGTGTCACTTATAATAAAATGAAACAACAAAATCCAAAACTGTTTGTTTAAAAGCAAAAAAAAAACCCACAAGATGAATGTTATGAGTATTACATATATTACAAATGATACAGCCATTATTTTCAAGGGTAATACTTCTTCTCAGATTCTATTTATATGCTGATTATTTTCTCTAATTCCAGATTCATGTATCATTGTTTTAATTCTGTTTTATAAATGTGTATTTTGCAGTTTATTTTTGTCTACCTCATGAAAGTTCTTTTCAAAAGTCACCATCAAGCAATTCAGAAAAAAAGACTTGTTTTAAGTGTAATGTTGGAAAAATTAGCTGATTTTATCTAGTGAATAGGCTGTTATGACTTTGAGGGAAAGAAATAGATACTAATAATACTTTAATAATAATAATAATGAAACGTGACAGACTTATTTACTAGCTGAAAACACTATACGCTATTTCTAATGAGCAAGCTGATTAGATATGATTGAAATAGATTTTACACTTACTAACAAAAAAATTATACTACTTAGAATACATTTTGGAATTTGGGGTCTTTGAATTGCTATTTGATTCTATAATCTCACCATACAGAATATTCTTGATTTATATTTTACATATGTTTTTAAAGTTCACAAGGTCAATAGGGTATAAGGTGTTATAACAATAAAATATTTATATTTATCTTATTTAAAGTTGCATATTCTTGTTTGTCTTAATGTTTTCTCCCTCCAGTCTTACTCTCTGCCAGGACTTTTGTTTCACTAACGCTGACACTCATTTTTTTATGTGAACTTTTTGGAAATCTTTTACCGTATTGCCATCCCTTAGAGGATAAATCTATCTACCAATGTTATGTTCACAGCTGTTCTTCACCCTGTTGTAGTTTTTCATCCCAGTGTTATCACTTCCTTCTCAACACTCCTTGGCATTAATGCTTTATTCTTCCTTTGCTTCCTTTGCCTAGAATGCTCTCCCCTCCTTCCCACGTTATGCATCTAGTCTAGTGGCATGTCCTTTAACTTTTACAGCATATATAAGACTTTCCCTTTTCTACGATAACTTTTTTGAAAAATTTATTCAGTGTCAAGTGACTTTGTGGCTTCTTTTCTATTTACTCATACTTTTTTTACAATTAACTGTGCATATTTAAATTGTGGAAGTTGGTAGGTCTTATACGTAAAAATGCATTGTATTAACACAGTGAACAAATCCATTACCTTCAAATGTTTTCTCATGTTCCTTTCAGTCTCACTCTCCTAATGCTGCCTAGTTTTCATCCCCAAGGAAGCACTGCCCTGACTTTTGTCAGTATGGAATAGTTTGTGCTCTCTATAATGTTACATACATGAAACCATTTAATATTGTCTTTTTTGGAGGCAGGTAATAGCTTGACTCCTTTTACTTAGTATAATTCTTGAGATTTATCAATATTGTTGCATGTATGAAGAGTTTTTCTCTTATTGACGAATACTCTTCCATTGTATGGATATGTTCATTTTTTTCACCATTCCCCTATTCATAGACACTTGGGTTATTTCCAGTATTGGGCTACTAGGAAAAAATTAGTTATGAAGATCAGTGTACAAGTTTTTGTATGGACATATATTATCATTTATTTTGGGTTAATATCTAAGGATGAAATAGCTGGCAGGTATTATGTTCAATGTATGAAGATGCTGCCAAACTATTTTCCAAGGTGGTTATAAAGTTTGATTTTTTACCCAAATGTGTGAGAGTTTTATTTGTTCTCCATCCACAGCAACACGGGCTACGATCAATTTTGTTGATTTTAGTTCCAATAATATGTACGGTTTTCTCATGGTCATTTTAAGTTGTATCATCTCATCCCAGTTAAAATGACTTTTATGCAAAAGATAGGCAATAAAGAATGCTGGTAAGGATTTGGAGAATAGAATAATCTCATACACCATTGGTCGGAATGTAAAGTAGTATTACCACTATGAACAGCTTGGAGGTTTTTTAAAAAAAACTAAAAATAGAACTACCATATCATCCTGCAATACCATTAATGGGTGTACACCCTAAAGAAAGTAAATCAGTGTATCAAAGAAATATCTATACTTTCATGTTTATTGCAGCAATAATATTGCAGCAATTGTTTATTGCAGCAATATTCACAATAGCCAAGGTATGAAATTGACTTAATTTTCCATCAATAGATGAATGGACAAAGGAGTGTAGTATATATACATAATGGAGCACTATTCAGCCATAGAAATGAATGAGATCCTGTCATTTGCAACAACGTGAATGGAACTGAAAAACATTATGTTAAGTGAAGTAAATTAGGCTCAGAAAGACAAATATTATATCTCTTCACTCATATATGGAAGCTGAAAAAATAAACTCATGGAGATAGAAAGTAGAAAGATGGTTTTCAGTGGCTGAGAAGGGTAGCAGAACAAGGGGATAGAGGGGAAATGGTTAATGGGCACAAAAAAATACAATTAGAATGAATAAGATCAAGTATTCAGTAGCACAATAGAGTGACTGTAGATAATAGTCGTTTGCTGTATATTTTAAAATAACTGAAAAAGTAGACTTGGAATGTTCCTAACACAAAGAAATAATAAATAATTGAGGTGATTAATATCCCAGTTACCCTGTTTTGATAATTACACATTGTATGTCACTATCAAAACATCACATGTACCCCATTAATATAGACACTATTATGTACCCATAATAATGAAAAGTAAATTGATAACTTTAGCCAATGGAAGGGTTTTATAATTTGTACTTAATTATATTGTTTAAATTTAAAAAAATAAAATATGCTTTTCAAAAACCATAAGACAAAAAATTAAGCCATAGACAGAGACAGTTTCAAGTAATATTTTTAATAAGAAATTCTCAAAATTCAATAATTATCCATTACTTTGATATAGACCTTCCTCTAATTTGATTCAACTTTTCACTTGCCTGCCTCTTAAAAGATTTACATTCCTTGAAATTAGAGAGTTTTTATATTCTAAAATTTTTTGAGTGATTGTAATAGCCTTCTCATGTAAAAGCCTCCAAAAGTTTGATAAATGCACATATAATTTGGCGCTGGTTATATAAAATCTATATTTTTACTTATATATTTTTATTCTTGTAGTCAATAGTATCAATGAATGATAAAGTTAAAAGGTATATATTCCTATTATGTTTTTTTAAAAATTGCCAGCTAATAGGTAATGGCTTACATATGTAAATATGTATAAAGAAATAGAAGATTGTCTTATTTTTCAAATAATATTTGTGAGTAAAGATATACAAACTGAAATACATCATTAGAAATAGCTCTGATATATTTAGGCATTTGAGTATTATTTTAAACCTGGGGAAAATTTTATGTAATCTCTTCATATTCTTCACTGTAATATTTTAAATAACATTTAACAAGACTGTAATTTATTATTTGAATTGAAATATTGCTTTCTGTGGAACTGACTTTTCAACATCAGTGTAAAATATGGAGACAGGTTGAGAAGTTATTCTGATTGTGGTAATTTGATAGCACAACACGGTGAATACAGTCAACAATAATTCATTGTACATTTTTAAATAACTAAAAGAGTATGGTCAGACTGCTTGTAACACAAAAAAGGATGAATGCTTGAGGTGATGGATATTCCATTTGTCCTGATGTGATTTTGACGCATTGTATACTTATATCAAAATGTCTCACATATGCCACAGATATAAATACCTATTATGTAGCCGCAAAAATAAAAAATAAAATGTTAACAAATTAACACGAGTGCATTTGAGTTAAAATTTAGATGACATAAAGTCATATAGAAATTTTAAAAATCCATCAAAAGTGGCCAGGTGTGGTGGCTAATGCCTGTAATCCCAGCACTTTGGGAGGCCAAGGCTGGTGGATCACGAGGTCAGGAGATCAAGACCATTCTGGCCAACATGGTGAAACCCCGTCTCTACTAAAAACACACACACAAAAAAAATTAGCCGGGTGTAGTGGTAGGTGCGTGTAATCCTAGCTACTCGGGAGGCTGAGGTAGGAGAATCACTTGAACCAGGGAGTCGGAGGTTGCAGTAACCAAAGATCATGCCACCGAACTCCAGCCTGGCAACAGCATAAGACTCCGTCAAAAAAAAAAATCTTCAAAAGTGAGAAGGAACTAGTAACTCTAAGATATATGGAATAGGAAGACCAGTGTTGAAGTCTTCAATTATACCAATGGTTTATTACATAACTCCTGGAGCCAAGATTAAACATAATTCCAGGGCAAAAAAATGTTTATTTATTTTCAAATAAAATAAGATAAAACTCTGACTAAATGTATGAGAATTCTTCACATGAATCACAGGTATCTGACTATGAAAATGAAGCAGACATGCTATTAGCCATTATTGGAAAATGTTACAAAAAATTATCCAAAAATGTTACCCAAAGATGATTAAGAAGTTCTTAGTTTGATTTGGAAAGATGTAATCACCTTGTATTAAACTCTTACTAGATCTTAATACTTAATAATTGAAATTAATAATTTATATAAGCTCCAATGCTATTCAATAAGCATTTTTGATAAGCATCTGGGGTCAAGCTACATTTTGTAGCATCTTTCAGTGTTGTTGAATTTTGCAAATGAAAATATTTTAAGACAAATTGCTCTAAACTTCCAATGCCAGCCCAAACCATAGTGACCGTTCTGCCAAAACTAAAACATTGAACAACATATGCGAAACAGTAGCTTTCAAGGCATTCACCAAAGGTTGGTAAATACTTTCTTTCGGCTTGCTTGACTAAAAGAACAAATCTACAGCTGAAACCTCTGAGCTTCCCATGGCTTTTCCAACTCCATCTATACCATTTCCCCTCAGAAGTATAAGAACCAGTCCACTGAAGGTTCCTCATTAACCTAATTAATGGTACCTCATTTCTTCTGTTTAATTCACCCTGCTTTGATGTAGGTAGCTGCTTCCTAGTCTTTCTGTAATACCTCAATTCCCGAGTTGGAAACTTCCTAATATTTACATCACGTGAGCATTTCCTTTTCGATTTTTTAGTATTATACTTTTCAGGATTTTCTTGGTCAAGAATAAATGCAGACAGTATATATTTTGCCACTTTTTTCTCTATAATTACAAGTGGAATTTAAATTCTACAAAATTAGTCTCGTAGAGAAAAATATGTTTATTTGTGTCTAACTAACCTTGTTGATTTACCCAGAAAGTATGACTTCCATGTGTTTCTTCCACATCATCAAAGTTCTATAATGCCAACTATTGTACCATCTCCTTATCAGTGTGCAAAGATCCACTCACAGAGGATTTTTCACTGAGTGAATTTGTTTGTTTCTTGGGGGAGAATAGAACAAGTTGATGTTCTCCCATGGGACCTAATAAAACCTTATGAACCTCTCTGCTCTGAAACACTGCACTATTCCAAACCATCTTGGCAATGTTGATGATTTGTAAAAAGCCAGATCAGCTCTAATTCTTAATGAGAATTGTGAAAGAAATACGAATTAAAAGCTTGACTATATGCCATAGTTCAAATTAACATTCATTTCCTAATTCTAGTAAGATTGTGCAATTAACATAATACTACTTAACTCTGGATTCACATAATTTCTATTTTACCTTTAAATTTAAAATATCATGCTTCAGTTAAGTAAGACTCTAAAGTTATAAATTATTTCTTGATACATATCTAAAAATTGAAATAAATCCACAATGGAAAGTTTTCCATAGCTTGAATTTTTTTATATATTTCCAACTGAATTGTAAGTGTATCATTTTTTATATAAAGATTATTTTATTACAATATTTTGCTGTATTTAGTTTTCTCTATTTCTTATGCCTTGGATATGTATTAGACATAAACAAAGATATGCTTTTAGACATAAATTGATATTTTACATTTCTGATATTGATAGGGTCTTTTTAATCATTCTTGCTAGTATTTGGTACTGATTAGCTTCACATCTTTAGATATATTACTTTATGTTTTTATTTCTTTATCTCTAAAATAGAAATAATGGTGGTATCTGCCACAAGATAGTCTACAAGATTCCTGCTTATCTTGCATATTCACTTTACTTTCCCTCCCAAGAAAACTTTCCTTCTCCTAATTTTGTTAAATATTCAAGTTTCTCTAATTAACTATATAATTTCCTGAGAGTTAAAAATAATGCTTTCAGGATAAGGTACTCTCTCAGTCTGCATGACCTTGCACAATTATATCCTTGATTACAACCAAATAATACTCATTGCTTCAATCAATGTAATGGGAATATAAATATCCAGTAGATTTTGATTCATATTTGGCCCTTAAATATTGGTTGATGAATTGCTACTGATGTTCATAGAAACTCAGAAGACAAATTCATAACACTCTTTTTAGCATGATATTCCTAAATAGTTTCTCTATTTATTCTTTGTCTTCTAAATATAATGTACTTTATGGCAACGGACAAAGAGGGAGAGAGCTTGTGCAGGGGAACTCCTCTTTTTAAAACCATCAGATCTTGTGAAAATTATTCACTATGACAAGAACAGCACAGGAAAGTCCTGCCCCCGTGATTCATTTACCTCCCACCGGGTCCCTCCCACAACACATGGCAATTCAGGATGAGATTTGGGTGGGGTCACAGCCAAACCATATCACTCTGCCCCAACCCCTCCCAAATCACATGTACTTACATTTCAAAACCAATCATGCCTTCACAACAGTCCCTCAAAGTCTTAACTCTTCTCAGCGTTAACTCAAAAGTCCACAGTCCAATGTGTAATCCGAGACAAGGCAAGTCCCTTCCGCCTATGAGCCTGTAAAATCAAAAGCAGGTTAGTTACTTTCTAGATACAGTTGGGGTAGAGGCATTGGGTAAATATAGCCATTACAAATGGGAGAAATTAGCCAAAACAAACGGGCTACAGGCCCCATGCCAGTCCAGAATGCAGAAGGGCAGTCAAATCTTAAATTTCCAAAATCATGTCCTTTGACTCCTTGCCTCACATCCAGGTCATGCTGATGCAAGAGGTGGGTTCCCATGGTCTTGGACAGCTCCACCCCTGTGGCTTTGCAGGGTACAGCCTGCCTCCCAGCTGCTTTTACAGGCTAGCATTGAGTATCTGCAGCTTTTCTCTGTGCATGGTGCAAGCTCTCTGTGGATCTACCATTCTGGGGTCTGGAGGACGGTGGCCCTCTTCTCACAGCTCCACTAAGTAGTGCCCCAGTAGGGACTCTGTGTGGGGGCTCTGACCTCACATTTCCCTTCCACACTGCCCTAGCAGAGGTTCTCCACGAGAGCCTTGCCACTGCAGCAAACTTCTGCCTGGATGCCACTGCATCCAGACATTTTCAAACATCCTCTGGAATCCAGGTGGAAGATCCCAAACCTCAATTCTTGACTTCTGTGCACTCACAGGCTCGACACCACATGGAAGCCACCAAGGCTTTGGGCTTGCACCCTCTGAAGCTATGGCCTGAGCTCTACATTGGCCCCTTTTAGCCATGGCTGGAGCAGCTGGGACCCAGGGCACCAAGTCCCTAGGCTGCACATAGCACCGGGACTCTGGGCACATCCAACAAGACCACTTTTTCTCCTAGGTCTTGGGTCTGTGATGGGAGGGACTGCTGTAAAAACCTCTGACATACCCTGGAGACATTTTCCCCATTGTTTTGGGGATTAACATTCAGCTCCTTGTCACTTATGCAAATTTATGCAGCCGGCTTGAGTTTCTCTTCAGAAAGTGGGATTTTATTTTCTATCACATTGTCAGGCTGCAAATTTTCTGAACTTTTATGCTCTGCTTCCTTTATAAAACTGAATGCCTTTAGCAGCATCCAAGTCACATCTTGAATGCTTTGCTGCTTAGACATTTCTTCCACCAGATACCATAAATCATCTCTCTCAAGTTCAAAGTTCCACAGATCTCTAGGGCAGGGGTAAAATGCCAACAGTCTCTTTGCTAAAACATGACAAGGGTCACCTTTGCTCCAGTTCCCAACAGATTCCCCATTTTCATCTGAGACCACCTTGGCCTGGACTTTATTGTCCATATCACTATCAGCATTTTGGGCAAGGCCATTCAGCAAGCCTCTAGGAGGTTCCAAACTTTCCACATTTTCCGATCTTCTTCTGAGCCTTCCAAACTGTTCCAACCCCTGCCTGTTACCCAGTTTCAAAGTCACTTCCACATTTTTGGGTATCTTTTCTGCAGCGCTGCACTCTTGGGACCAATTTACTGTTATTAGTCACGCTGCTGATAGAGGCATGCCCAGGACTGGGCAATTTACAAAAGAAAGAGATTTAACTCGACTTACAGTTCCACGTTGCTGTTGAAGCCTCACAATCATGGTGGAAGGCAAGGAGGAGCAAGTCACATCATACCTGGATGGCAGCAGGCAAAAAGAGAGAAAGCTTGTGCAGGGGAACTCCTCTTTTTAAAAGCATCAGATCTCATGAGACTTATTCACTATCATAAGTACAGCACAGGCAAGACTTGCCCCCATGATTCAATTACCTCCCACCAGGTCCCTCCCACAACACATGGGATTTCAAGATGAGATTTGGGTGGGGACACAGTGAAACCGTATCAAATGTGATCAGCAAAAGTATCTTGTCTTTGTAATTAAAGAATAAAGAAAAGTGTGTGTGTGTGTGTGTGTGTTTGTGAACTATGAAGATCATTAAAATAGTGAAATTAACTTGTCAATTGTAGTATCATGGAAATTGTGATTCACCAAGAGAGTAAATAACAATTGTACATGCTCTAAATTTATCATCAATATCAAAGCTTTATTCTCTTTTACTGGGCTTATGTAAGAAAATAATGTTTCTAAGCAAGTCATTAAAAAATATAAAGCAAATCTATTAATGCATCTGAGTTGAATGAAGTGATTATTTATTTATTTATTTGAGATGGAGTTTCGCTCTTGTTGCCCAGGCTGGAGTGCAATGGCATGATCTTGGCTCACCGCAACCTCTGCCTCCCAGGTTCAAGCAATTCTCCTGTCTCAGCCTGCAGAGTAGCTGGGATTACAGGCATGCACCACCAGGCCTGGCTAATTTTTTTTGTATTTTTAGTAGAGACGGGGTTTCTCCATGTTGGTCAGGCTGGTCTTGAACTCCTGACCTCAAGTGATTCACCCACCTCGGCCTCCCAAAATGCTGGGATTACAGGCGTGAGCCACCGTGCCCAGCTTGAAGTGATTATTTTTAAGGAAGGTGATAGGATAGTTAAAAACCACACAACTTTCTCATGTTCTGTACCCACCAGCCACTCTGCAATTATCAGTAGGTAGCAAAGCCCCGAACTTGGTCTTACGTCTTATTTTACATACAGCAACAGACTAAACTGTAATCATAATATCTGCCTCAGGAATCTGCTCCAATTTTAATAAAATTGTATATTTTATAGTATGGAGTAACTATCGGCTGAGCTTTGATTCTGTGATCTGGTTCCCTTTCAACTTGTGATCTTTTGAGGTGGAATAGATTATATATTTTCCAGTTGCAAGAGGATTAATGAGATCTTCTTTTAAATCATTAAGGAAAGCTTGGAAAATAATGTGAGCCAAAATTTGGATTATTGTAAGAATCTACACTCTCTTCTTTGTTTTAGTTGCATCTTCCACAGCTCCTCTAAGCAAAAGCACCACATTGCGTATTATTTCCTGTTGAGCAGGAAAGAAATATAGCATATGGTCATGCTAATGGGAATTGGGAGTAAAAGTTTTGTCCAGGCTTGGACCAGAGCTTATAACAGCAACAACAAAAATAAGAATAACAAGTATCAGGTTGAATTATGAGTTCTCTACTGGGGATATATATATATATATATACACACACACACATATATATATACATAATATGTATGTATATATATGGTTTTGATTTGTTCATTTTTTATGCAAAGATAAGCAGTATTGTAAGAAATAAAATCTAGAAACCTAGCAATGAACATGGACTTAAGTGTTTTCCCTTTGCTGTCATCCAACTCTTCAATGAGGCTTTGAAATTTAAAACCACACTTATTTTAATAGCCATGTGTATATATTTCCATTTGTAATATTTTAAATAATAAACTTAAAATATTATAAGTATATTTAAAGTAAATAAACTTGCTTTCTATTTCTTCTTCTTCCCAAATGCATCTCTTCTACCACCAGACTTATACTGACATAAGTTACAGGAAGTGTTTATATTCTTACTATAGAACAATCAGCTGTGCCTCTAGGTTGCTTGAGGCAGATGTCATTCCAACTGACTTGAAAAGGATAATGACCTTCTGGGACCTTGACACTGATTGTGCAACCTGAATGAAATATGCCTCTTTGGAAAACTCTATACTTGTCCAATATTGGAAAGTAACCTTCTTGTAAGAAAGTGAATGCCCAGATCCCCAAATGACTTCGCCTCCTCACTTCTGTGCAGCAGTGAAGTGTAAAATGGTAGCAGATAAAATGCTACCTTTGTTGTTTATAAAATACTGTAAAGTTTGAAAAGCACTTTTTCCTCAGCCCCAAAGGAATTTTATAAATGAGAAAAAAGTAAGATAAAATATTTAGTATCTGGTGAAGAAAGTTTATTTAAAAAACCATTAAAATTGTATATTAAAATGATGAAAATTATAGTAATAAGACTCAAGTTTCTCCTTTGCAAAACTCAAGTAGGAATTATTTTCATTGAAATTTATTATTTTAGTTTTAATGGAAATGTAGGATGGAAACTTTCTTCCAAAATTTTTAATATTATGTGATTAAGCATATTAGTGAAAATAGTTGCTCTAATATTTTTCCTCTTACAGCATTTTGATAGAAAAAGTTTTCTCCATTTCATACAGAGTATGCTGGATTATATAAAATACTTACAAATTGTTTATTATTCTTACGTTAAAAGCCACACGTTAAATTCTTCCCACCCCACTGATTTAACTCACAATATCCCTTGCACATAAAATATTTTTTCATCTGATATGTGTCTGCTGTTATCAAATTCTAAACTTTTTACAAAGAATCCTTTGATTCATCATCTCATACCAAAATAATCTCTTTTTTTCTCTGAAAGTGTATCTATAGGCCAGGTACAGTGGCTCATGCCTGTAACTGCAGCACTTTGGAAGCCTAAGGCAGGCAGATCACTTGAGGCTAAGAGTTTGAGACCAGCCCGGCTAACGAGGTGAAACCCCTTCCCTACCAAAAATACAAAAATTATTCAGGCATGGTGGCTCACACTTGCAATTCCAAATACTCAGGAGGCTGAGGCAGGAGAATCACTTGAACCCAGGATTGGGAGGTTGCAGTGAGCTGAGATCGCACCACTGCACTCCAGTCTGGGCTACAGAGCAAGACTCTGTCTCCTAATAAATAAATAAAATGGAAGTGTATCTACAGTTTTGTACATATTTCTGCACTTAATACATTTTAATTTACATGATTTATACCACTGACCAAAATATAATTTCTTTGAAGACAGCATGATATTCTTGTTTTTACTTTCTAAATAATCTAACAATAAAATAGAGGAGTGTATAGGAAAGAATTTTATATTTCATTCACATTCTTCCTTCTTATTGTGAGTAATTAAAGAAACTAATCTCTTTGAATTTTTTGTCTTATCAATAAATCAATAATTTTAATGCATGTCTCAAAGCATGTTTTTAATTATTAAATACAATAGCATTTCTGACACATAAAAGTCAGTATTTGTCTATTCCTTTCCCATAGAAATATACCCCTGATATATATACTAAATAAATGGATAAAAATATTATTGTCAATATATAATATATCACTGTTCTTGATCAGATACAAAGGTTACTATGGGGAAAATATTTGAAATTTCAAGAACTTATCGAAAATTTGGAAGAACAAGATGATTTTTTGTAAATTGAAGACTATGAGGATGGCAGTTGTTTTTCATCTTCCCTCAAAACAAAATGAAGATAATGAATTGATTAATTTTTGTAGTGCTACTAAAAATGTAAATGAAGTTGAGATTTCAAAATGAATTATACATTAACAAAACTTTTGCAATTCAGCATTGGTTTTCCATTTTTTTCAAATATCCACCCCTCCCACAATCAATGGGTTTTGTCAATCAAATTTTCTTCCATTCTCCTATTGAATATGTGATGTATAATTAAAGTTCATTAATTAGGTTTATTTCCTGGGAAACCCACTTCTAAGGAGACAGAACAAAAATTCCAGCTTATTCTTTCTTGCATAAGAATTAAGAAAATGATGTTCAGTAGACCTACAAACTCCCCACTACCTTTTCTAGGTTCTTTTCTTTGTATAATATTCCCTCGATTTGGAAAACCACAGTTTATTATTTCAAGCAATTTTTTTTTTTTTACTTAAGTTAACCTCATTCCATGTTTGTTACTTGAAACAAAAATACTTAAAGTAAGCAGCAATATAACTTTAAGGTATACTCTACAAAGCACTTACCAGTTTCTATTCGTATTTCCTGCAGATATTTCTAGGCTTGTTTAATAAATAGGCTCAGTCCTTCCAGTTTAAAAACTAGCCTTCTCAAAAAATGTGTCACTCCCTCATAATAAAATTGTATATTTTTAAAACTCCACTTGTCACTGAAAAGTGTTTTTTAAGTATAGTTTTAAATGTATTGCCATCACTGAAATACCTCGCATTCATTCTTCAGCACACTAGGTTGTGTGAGAATCCTGAAACAACTGGCCCAAAGTTGTCAGATTCAAAATTAAATGTCAAGTGACCGGTTGTTATGCATATTATTAATAGACTCTAACCTTCTGCAAAGCTGCCTGTTGTTCTAGACAAATATATAATTAAGGCATCACATCGTCTTTAAACTGCTATTACCTGCATATTAACATGATATATAGCTAATCTAAAATTCAATTTAAGGCCATGAACATCTTCTAAATCTTATCTGTATATCGCTAAATAGATTTCTCATGGAATTAATCAATGTCATGAAGAGTATGACTTCTTGAAAATCATTGCCTCAGGATTTGATCATGGTGACCAGATAGTAAAGTCCAAGGCAAGAAATTTTCCTTTCCTTGAGCAAACATTTTCAAGATACTAGTTGAGACACTTGATCTATAACAGTGAAAAAGGCTTGCTTATAGTGAAACATCATTGCTAGTGTGGTTCTTCTTGAGCCTACTAAACAATAAAAGCCATAAAAATTACCCAAAATATTTATAGTTTATAAAGAAAATGCAAAGCTCATTTTAGATTCATATTAACATGGATTTAATAAATCCAAGCTGATTTTGTCACATAATGTATTATTATCAAGTGAACTATTGTATAAATTTTGAGAATAATTTACTATTAAATAAGTATAAATATCACATTTATTTTTTGAAGGAAAGATATGTCCATGTATTTTTCTTTAAAATTTTTCTCATTTACTAGCCAGGCATGGTAGCACATGCCTGTAATCCCAGCTACTCGGGAGGCTGAGGCAGGAGAATCGCTTGAACCCGGGAGGTGGAGATTGCAGTAAGCCGAGTTCGTGCCATCCTATTCCAGCCTGGGCAAGAGCGAAACTCCACTGGGAAAAAAAAATCCATAGTTTAGGCCGGGCGCGGTGGCTCACGCCTGTAATCCCAGCACTTTGGGCGGCCGAGGCGGGCGGATCACGAGGTCAGTAGATTGAATTATCCTGGCTAACACGGTGAAAACCCGTCTCTACTAAAAATACAAGAAATTAGCCAGGCGTGGTGGCGGGTGCCTGTAGTCCCAGCTACTCCGGAGGCTGAGGCAGGAGAATGGCGTGAACCCGGGAGGCGGAGCTGGCAGTGAGCCGAGATCACGCCACTGCACTGTAGCTTGGACGACAGAGCGAGACTCCGTCTCAAAAAAAAAAAATTTTTTTTTTCTCATTTACAATCCACTAATAACTAGAAGTCATGAATTGATTGGGTTATTTGATCCTTTTAGATAATCAATTTGCTCCATTGGACTTTTTTCTTCACCTGATTTCACAACAAATCTTGGCACATAATAATAAATTGTAAGATTTTTCTGTTTAGGCATTATGGAAGAGAAAGTTTAAATAACATATTTGCCAGTGTATATAAAACTTGGCTACAGGCTCACGCTTGTAATTCCACCACTTTGGGAGGCCAAGGCGGGTGGATCACTTGAAGTCAGGAGTTCAAAGCCAGCCTGGCAAAAATGGTGAAACCCTGCCTTTACTAAAAATACCAAAAAAAATAGCTGGGCGTGGTGTTGGGGACCTGTAGTCCCAGCTATTCGAGAGGCTGAAGCAGGAGAATCACTTGAACCCCAGGCGGAGATAGCACCACTGCACTCCAGCAGGGGCAAGAGAGGGAGACTCTGTTTCAAAAAAATAAATAAATAAAAAACTTGGTTAATATTAGGATCATCAGTTATCTTCCATCTGAAATCAGTATTATTTTATCTACTATTTTGCATCTGTCTCTTAATCTAAAATAGTATTTCTCCTTTTTTGTATGATGGAATGGTGTATATTAAAAAGATGCCAGAAATTTTAACACTTTGGGCTTATAAAGTTTTGAACTACAGAAAGAAATTGGTTAGGTAAGATTAACTAAATTGAATTAACAAAATGCAGAAAGAATATATTGATAGAACAAAATAATAACTTTTAAAATATGTAAATAGCTTAAAGTATTTAAAATTTATTTTATACTAAAATTTAAAATTTATAATATTTAAAATTTACTGTCAATAATGTGTGTTGTTTTGGGATTTTTAAACTGCATCACATTTTATTTGGCATCCAAGATTTTTGCATTATTTAGCTATCATAGTCAAATATTTAAGAAGGTGTTATTTATAAAAAGGAAGTATAGTGAGAATCATCATCTATCATACTTAAGATAACAAACAGAAGTTGCACCTAATAGAAAGTGTATGTGAAAAAAAATTAACAAATTCAGACATAATGACTCTTAATCAATATTGTGCTCTCAAACATGGGTTAAGTGATGTCATTTCAAGATTCTCAAAACAATTATATAATCAATCATTATATGAATCACTAGAGAGATGTGTAAAATCTGCCAAAAAGAAAGGGAGAAAAATAACAAAATTACAAAGTTTACAAGCTTAAAAAATCTTTTGCTTATACTGTTCTGAAATATCCCACTAATCTATTCAGTCTTTCCTTCTTTATACACTGCCAAAAACAGTTCAACCCATCACCGTCTAGTCAAAACGCAGTAGTGATTCCAAAAGAGTGATTCTTCACTCAATTTGAAATCCCATATAATCTATTATTAATTAGTTTTAGTATGAAAGTATACAAACTGTAAATGTGAAATTTACTATTCTGTTAAAAAAAGGGCAATGAGATAACCTCCTAAATCAAGAAATACTGCACTGCTCTCTGTGACCTAAGGGATACCATTTTCTATGCAAATTTTTCCTACTAGAATTTTGTGATAGCTATTTTCTCTATATCTTTATTGTTTTTGTAACTATATTTTTTCCCTGGACAATATAATTTGCTCTTGCCTCTTGTGGTAGGCAAAATAATGGTCTCCCAAAGATGCCCATGTCCTAATCCCTGGAATCTGAAAATATGTGATCTTATATGGCAAGAAGTCTTTTCAAATGTCATTTAGCTAAAGACCTGAAAATGGAAAGATTATCCTGGATTATCTAGCTGTACCAAGTTTAATCACATGGTTCTTTAAATTAGAGGGATGTGAATATAGAAATATGACACAGAGAGAAGCAAAGTTTTGCCTTGAAAATGGAAAAAAAGAAACAACAGTCAAGGAATGTCTGCAGTATCTTATAGCTGAAACAGTCAAGAAAAGAGATTTTATTCCTAGGACCACCAGATTATAACACTGCCTTACCAATATCTTAATTTTAGCCCAGTGAAACCAGTGTTAAAGTCTAACCTACAGAACAAAAAAAAAATAACTTTGTGAGTTTTTTTAACCACTAAATTTATAGTAATTTACTACAGCGGCAACAGAAAATTAATATATCTCTTTTATTAATTTATATAAATGAATCAAACTAAATAATCTTGGTATTTTGCTCAATATTCATGTTTTCTTTAAAAATGTATTCATCTCAAATCTTACTGTTGTCACTCATTATCATTGTTGCTGTGTAATATTACATTAAAAATTATAGCAATTAATTATCCATCATTTAATAAACACAATGAAATTTTAGTTGTTTCCACCTGAGAAAATTAGTCAAAAATTTGTAATGAATATTTTTGTATATTTATCCAATGGAGTTTTCTAAGATAAATATTTAGGTGTGCTGTGTCATAGGATGTGTCTATCTTAAGATTTAGATAAATATTTAAATTTTTTTCTAATGAGGTTGTACCACACTCTCCAACCAGCAGAGTATGGGAGACCTTAATGAGGTCTACATCTATTTAGTTTTAGCCAATACGATAAGTACAGGGTCGGGTAGCATTGTAGTTTTAATTTGTAATTTCTCAATCAGTAATAGTTAAGACTTTTTTATGTTTATTAGCCATTTGGAGTTAATATTTATGAATTATGAATTCTAAACCATTCGTTGGTCATTTTTTTCAATTGGGTTATTTGTTGTCTTTTTCTTATTGACTTTATTTCTTTTGTGTCTTTTTAGCACTAGACCTTGGTGGTTATATGTATTGAATATATTTTCTCCCACTTGATGATTTGTATTTTTGTTCATTTTCCAGTGTCTTTTAATGAAGACAAATTCTTAATTTCAATGTAGTCAATTTATAACTTTTAAGTTATATGTGTTTATTTAAAAATATTTCTCTAAATATATCATGAAGATATTCTTATATATATTACCATTTAAAAACCGTATTTCCTTGCTATCACATTTAATTTTTAATACTTCTAGAAATTACTTTTATAAGACTTGAGTAAGGGGGAAAATCATGTTTTCATAGAAGAATACACAGTTGTTTTGCCATTACTTTAAGAGAATATTGTATCCAGATGGTTCTACAGTGGAACATATCTTACAATAAAATGGTTATAAAATTAATTATTTTTATAAGACACTTCAATGTTTCTGAACTTCTTTGTTTCTGATGAACAGTGGGCAATTAATCATAACATTCTTCCCTGTATGTGATGTTTCCTTTCTCACTGGTTCATTTTAAGATTTTCTTTTTCTTTGACTTTTAGCATTTTGTCTATAATGTGGTTAACATTTTTGTTGTGTTTAGTTTGAAGCTCCTTGGATCTCTAAGTCAATATTTTCCACAAAATTTGACAAGTTTTCAGTTATTATTTCTTCAAATATTTTGTTTCTCTTTCTGTTTCTCTTTCTGGCACTACAACTATAGACATGAACTTCTTGGCAAGGTATGTCAGTATATTTATGTACTGTTTGTCTTTCTGTTACTTAGATTGATCTGTTTTCATGGTAACTGGTTATTTTTTCTGTCATCTTCAGTCCTTCATTGAGTCTTTCTTTTAATTTATTGGACATTTTAGCTCTAAAATTCCATCTTTTGTCCTTTCCTTGTCCTATCAGAATTCCGTTCTCCGTTCACTCATTACTGCCATTTTTCTTTAAACTTTGGACATATCCACTCATTCTTTGAATATTGCTTAATAAGCTTCTGTGAAGTCCTTCTTGCTAAATCCAAAATTTGACATTACCTTGAATTTTTTATTCAGTATCTTTTTCTTTATTGTAAGTTATCACTTTCCTGTTTCTTTACATTCATGAAAAATTATAAATAACACACTGTAGGATATAGGGATTCTTAGAATTACTATCTTATTTTTGTCTGCTAAATAGTAACCTTGTTTGGACTTGAAATGCTAGCTTTATTTTCCAAGCATTAGGCATCAGCTAAAGTGTCTGCTCAATTTTTGTGCCTTCAAGATGCTGTTTTTAGGCTGGACTCTTAGAGATCTCTGAGAAACGGGTTCACTTGGACTGGTCACCGACTTGTCTGAGTCCAGTAAGACAGAACACCCATGCATCCATAAGTAATATGAAACGTTTTTATTACATGAAAATAGGTGGGAAGAAAAAACACAAGTCTAGAATTCATGTGAACCAGTCCGCCAAGGCTCAGAAAAGCTGCCAGGAATGGATGGAATCTTATTTGCATGTCTGCCACCTGCACTGCAGCTGAGGAAGCCTGGTAAACAGGCTGAGCTCGGTTTTATACCCCTGGGTTGTCAGAATTTTTCGGATAAAGTGGGGAAGGACATCCTGTTTTCAGGAGAGGGAGGGTGGACAGGTTGAAACAGAGTCCAGGCTTTCCAGCCAGTCCCTCCTTATTTTAGGATATTACATTCCCAACGTATTTTATAGTTATTCATGAGAGCTACAAGTAAAAATGGGGGGGAAACTGGGTTAGTTCAAGGCCACCTGGAGAATTGTCCCCCAGTATCCACGGTCTCTGCTTAATTTGTCTCTCAACATAAAAGAGACAGAGATTACCAGTTGACCCTCCTTATCTGTGGGGTTTTGCATCATGGATTCAACCAACCACATATCAAAAACATCAAAAAAATGCATTTGTATTGAATATATACTGACTTTTTTTGTCCTTATTCCCTAAACAATACAGCAGATCAGCTATTTACACAGCATTTATATCTTATTAGGTATTATAAGAGAACTACAGATTAGTTAAAGTCTGCAAGAGAATGTGTAGAGGTTATATGTAAATATTGCACCATTTTATATTAGGGACTTAAGCATCCATGGGTTTTGGTATCCACAGGGGTCCTGGAAACAACTCCCACAGATACAGAGAAATGACTGTACTCAAAATTAGAGGCAAAATCTTCCTGGCATTTCCTTGTTTCTGGGGATTTCTACTAATTTACAGCTGCTCCATAGATTTGTTTTCTTTCCTTTGAATCTCCAAGTCATTAAGCTTCAGCTTTTTGCTGTCCAAGTTGAATATGGTTGAGGAATGCCATCAATTAATTCAATTAATAAGAAAACAAGTACATGGAACTCACCTGGAAGAGCTTTATTTTATGAGAATACATACTTTTGTACTCTATGTTCTTTTAAATGGATATCTCTAATGCATATGTATAGTTTATCTTAGTGACCATTCAGAAATATAAGTTTGTGCTGAAATTATAGATCACACACTTTCTGTGATTCTTTCACTTCCAAAGTATCCCATCTTAAATTATTTAATCTTGAACTTCTTTTCTACCATATTGGGCTGGTAAGCCTGCAATGCATCAGTGTGATTTTTCATATTGAAAACATTTTTTCTCTGCTGTAGCAAAGTACATTGGAGGATCTCTTCAGGAAACAAAATGCTAATATTCTTATCCCTTACTGTTGAAGGACTCTCCTCTGACTTCAGCTTGTTTTGTATACTTACTCCTTCTTTTGAATCCTTTTTGAAATATTCATGCATTTTTATCTACATGTTATAATTTTTATCCCAAGAAAATTTTACATGACCATTTTACTCTCCCATCATTACCACAAGTAATGAATATTCATGTAGTTTTTAAGAAAATATACACTAAGCAGCCACTTTACGCTCAGAACTATTTTAGGAACTTGAGATATATTTCAGTGAATGAAATAGCCAAAAAGTATTGCCCTAATAAAGCTAAATAAAACTTGTGATAGAAACAGAATAATGCATAAACATAATATATAATCACATTATATGTATTTGAATAGTGTATTTGATTCCTGAGGAAAATAATTCATAGCAAGTAAAAATATGAAATATGGAGGTTAAAAAGGTATTAGTTTTAAATACTCCAATCATGGTAGGGATTATTGACAAGATAACATATCAGCAAATAATTGAGAAAGTTCAAATAATTAGCCGTATAAACCTGGAGAGCAAGGAATGTAAACAAAGGGAAGAATCAGTGCAAAGATCATCGAACAGTGTCATGCCTAGAAAGTTAGAAAGAAATCAAGAAGACAAGTGTAACTGGATAAGGATGAGCAAGTTAGAGTGTAATTAGTAATTACGTTGGGAAGACAATTAAAACTAAGTAAAATAGATCCTTACAATTTATCAAAAAGACTTTGGCTTTACTCTAGATAAAATAATGATAAGTGTTAAGAATTGACTGTGGAGACCAACAATGTGACCAAGCTGAACAGTTAAAACATTATTCCGTGAATAAAAGGACAAGACCTTATTAGACTGGACTTTGACAGTAGCAGTAGAGATATGCAAAAGTAGCCATACTTGAATTTGCATTTATAATGGCACAATATCATGTCCTAATTGAAATGTTTTTGCAGATGTATTTTTAGATTTTGTGTGTTTAACAGAAAGACAGGAAAGAAGGGTGATATGGTCAGGCTTTGTGTCCCCACCCAAATCTCATCTTGAATTATAATCCCTATAACCCCCATAATCCCCACCTGTCAAAGGAGAGACAAGGTGGAGGTAACTGAATCATGGGGGCAGTTCTCCCCATGCTGTTCTCAGGATAATGACTGAGTTCTCATGAGATCTGATGGTTTTATAAAGGGCTTTTACCCCCTTTGCTTGGCATTTCTCCTTCCTGTTGCCTTGGTTAGAAGGTTACTTGCTTCATCTTTGCCTTCTGCCATGATTGTAAGTTTTCTGAGGCCTCCTCACCCATACTGAACTGTGAGTCAATGAAATCTCTTTACAAATAACCTAGTCTCAAGCAGTTCTTTATAGAAGTATGAAAATGGACTAATACAGTAAATTGGTACTGCAGAGGGTGGGGTGATGCTAAAAAGATACCCAAAAATATGGAAGCAACTTTGGAACTAGACAACAGGCAGAGGTTGGAACAGTTTGGGGGGCTCAGGAGAAAACAGGCAGACATGGGAAAGTTTGGAACTTCCTAGAGACTTGTTGTATGGCTTTGACCAAAATGCTGACAGTAATATGGACAATGAAGTCCAGGCTAAGGTGGTCTCAGGTGGAGATGAGGAATGTGTTGGGAACTGAAATAAAAGGGACTCTTTCTACACCTTAGCAAAGGAACTGGTATTTTTGCCCCGGTTTTGGAGATGTGTGGAAATTTGAACTTGAGAGAGATGATTTAGGGTACCTGGCAGAAGAAATTTCTGAACAGAAAAGCGTTCAAGAGGTGATTTGGGTGCTCTTAAAAGCATTCAGTTTTATGCATTCACCAAGAGATGGTTTGGCATTGGAGCTTATGTTTAAAAGGGAAACAGAGCATAAAAGTTCAAAAAAATCTGTAGCCCAACAAGTGATAGAAAAGAAAAACCCATTTTCTGAGGGGAAATTCAAGCTGGCTGCAGAAATTTGCATAAGTAACCAGGAACTAAATGTTAATTGTCAAGACAATGGGCAAAATTGCTCCAGGGTATGTCAGAGATCTTGGCGACAGACTCTCCCATCATAGGCCCAGAGACCCTGGAGGAAAAAACGGTTTCCTGAGCTGGGCCCAGGGCCTTGCTGCTTCGTGCAGTCTCAGAACATGGTGCCCTGCATTCCAGCCATGGCTAAAAGTGGCCAATGCACAGCTCAGGCCATTGATTCAGAGGGTGCAAGCTTCAAGCCTTGGCTGCTCACACATGGTGATGGACCTGCAGGTGCACAGGAGTCAAAAATTGAGGTATGGGAACTACTGCCTAGATTTCAGATTATATGTAGACACATCTAGATGTCCAGGCAGACGTTTGTTGCAGGGGTAGAGCCTACATGGAGAACACCTGCTAGAACACTGCAAAAGGGAAATTTGGGTTCGGGGCCCCCACACAGATTCCCCATTGAGGTAATGCCTAGTGGAGTTGTGAGAAGATGGTCACCATCCTCAAGACTCCAGAATGGTAAATCCACTGACAGCTTGAACTGTACTGGAAAAGCCACAGACACTCAATGCCAGCTCATGAAAGCAGCCAGAAGTGGGGCTGTACCCTGCAAAGCCATGGGGCAGAGCTGTCCTAGGCCATCTGAGCCCACCTCTTGCATTGGGAAGACCAGGATGTGAGACATGAAGTCAAAGATCATTTTGGAGCTTAAGATTTGACTACTCTCTAGATTTCAGACTTGCATTTGTTTTGGCCAATTTCTCCCACTGGGAACAGTGTATTTGCCCAATGCCTACAACCTCATTATAACTAGGAAGTAACTAAATTGCTTTTGATTTTACAGGCTCATAGGTAGAAGGGACTTGCCTTGTTTCAAGTGAGACTTTGGACTGTGGACTTTTGGGTTAGTGTTGGAATGAGTTAAGACTTTGGGTGACTGTTAGGAAGGCATAATTGGTTTTGAAATGTGAAACGGACATGAGATTTGAGAGGGTCTAGGGGCAAAATGATATGGTTAGGCTTTATGTCCCCACCCAAATCTCATCTTGAATTGTAATCCCCATAATCCCCACATGTCAAGGGAGAGAACAGCTGGAGGTGATTGAATCATGGGGCAGTTTCACTCATGCTGTTCTCATGATAGTGAGTAATTTCTAATGAGATTTTATGGTTTTATAAGGGGCTCTTCCCTGCTTCACTTGGCACTTCTCTTTCCTGCTGCCTTGTTAAGAAGGTGACTTTCTTCCTCTTTGCCTTTTGCCATGATTGTAAGTTTCCTGAGGCCTCCCAGCCATGCTGAACTGTGAGTTAATGAGAGCTCTTTCCTTTATGAATTACCCAGTCCCATGCAGTGCTTTATAGTAGTATGAAAATGGAATAAGGAGGGGGAAAAAGAGAAAGAAGAGAGAGATGAGAGCGAGATGTCAACACATAGATGTCTATAGAAAAATTATTGCTATCCTCTATTCAGTCAGGACTACAGGTTCTTATGCAAGAGCTCTTCCATATTTATCATTGCTCTTATTACAATCTAGCATACTTAATTTTTTATTTTCCTAAATTATTTAATGGCCTATAATTGGCTGGTGTCTTTTTGAAGGTATTGTAGATATTCAATAATGAATTGTTGATTAAGTGATTTACTGAATAAATAACAGTTCAACTGAATAGCTCATTAAATAATACTAATAGCTGGACATGGTGGAACATGCCTGTAGTCCCAGCTACTCAAGAGGATGAGGTGGGAGTATCGCTTGAGCCTCGGAGGTGGAGGTTGCAGAGAGCTGAGATTGTGCCAGTGCACTCCAGCCTGGGAGAGAGAATGAGACTCCATCTCAAAAAATGAATGAATGAATGAATAAATAAATAAATACTGAGAAAACTGATCTCAAGTAAAAATAATGTTTACTAAAAACTGATTTGAAAATAATCACTTAAAAATATTTGCATGATCCTCTCTAATGATACACTGGAGTTTGGGAAAAGATCAAGTGAGGTAAGAATGGAGAAGTCATTGCACTTTTAAATGCCCACAGCCAAAGAGTATCATTAGGATACAACAATGAGTCAGCTCCCATGAAATTACAGCCATAAATCACACTAATGTAATGAAGATGAATTCTAGTCAAAAGGATTTGGGCCATTTGAAAACTTCTTAATCAAAATAGTTGCAGAAAATGCAATTGAATTTTGTATAAAAAATAAAAGTCTGTGACTCCTCAGTGACTCCTCATCACAAGGATAAAATCTGTGATTTTTTAATGGTTCAGAACAATAGGATCAAGATAAGGAAAATAGATTATGAATGTTATGGTGGGAGTGAAGGCTTAGTTGGGTTCAATTCCCAGCTTTTCCACTTACTAGCAACAAGACCAAAGACAATTTATTGTTGTGTATTTATATCTTTGTGCTTAAAGTGGTGAAAATAATAGCACACACCTTATAGATTTAGTTTTTAAATGAAATGAGTTAGATATTTTGGAAAACATATGCCAAATGTTAAACCCTGCATTTGTTTAATATCTCACAACACTGACTCAAAATCACTATTGAGATACAGAGATTTAAAGACTCTTCTTTTTTTCTTTCTTTTTTTCATTTTATAAAATAACTGGGATTATAACAAATAGGTTATCTTGAGAGAATCTCTACTTTTATATTTTACAATACAATGTGACTCTGAATATGCAAAAATAACATCTGGCTTGGAAAACATGTTAATAAGGAAGGAAGTTGGTAGGATAAAATTTAGTATAGTCTTTTTAAAATTTCTTTTGAGACTATGTGACAAATATGCTGTCATACATCTTGATATGTAGTAAGCTGCTGTATGGTCAATGTGGGTTACAACACCGAGCTCTGTTTAACTTACCATAGAAGAGTAAGGTTGTTGAACTGTTAGGGCCAATATTTTTTAAAACATATTATTTCAACTTTTGCTTAGACTTTTCACACCAAATTTCTACTTTGTCGAAGTTTAAGAGCTGTTTTTTGACATTTAAAAGGCAGATGCACTCCTGAGGGATTCACTGGTAAAAGCCATTAGTGAATTTGCTGATATAAAACTTGCATGATAGCCTAAATCTTTTATAGAGTGTCTTTTGAAAATGTGTGTGTGTGTTTGAGAGAGAGAGAGAGAAAGAGAGAGAGAGGTTAGATGGTAATGGTAAATTACATTACATGAGTCTTCACCATAAACCTTCCACTTTACACTTTTTGATGTTTAATAAAAGAGAATCACAAAAACTGTATCCTCAGAGCCCTTGTTATGTTATCATATGAATGAATATCCATGCCATAGGTTTTGAGAAGCCATATAGAAATAAGTTTGGTGAAATTTTATTTATGAAACTGATAAAGTGATTTTACTTTTCTGGAAACTCTGGGTGCCTATCAACTGTGGAGCCATAAGAATAACACTTCACATGAGTTCTATATATATCACAACTATAAAAGATTAAGGTAAAGGTGTTATATCCATATCTATATTTCTACTTTATTTCCATCATTTGATGTTTAGAAATAAAGCAGAGGGGAAGAGAAGTATACTGTTTGCAATAATAATTCTAACTTCTGTAGTTAAATGTATAATGTAGTATTTTTAGCAGAAAAGATCTTTTTGCAGCTAATTTTGAAACTTTAAAAAGTCAAAATTAGACTTCTGACTTTGGGAAAAGTTGATGTAGATTTATTTTTCTGGTTTCTACTATTACCTCCTCACCCACTTCTTCCACAAAGTACACCTAAATATCCTGAACATCATTTAACATATACAACCATGAAATGACTCTATCAGGTATCATAGAACAGAAACATGAAATAATTGAAATAAAAACCTTGCTAGATGAGTTTGATCGTAGAATGGAGATGATGGCAGAGAACAGAATTAGTGAACTAGAAGACTTATCAATAGTGTTTGCTCGATCTTAACAACACAGAGAAATCGACTTTAAAAATACACAGAGTGTAAATGATATGTAAAAGAGTAACAAAAGATTTAGCATCCATATCATTGCGGTCCCAGAAGGAGAGGGAAAAATGAAAGGGCAGGACAAACATTTGAAGAAATAATATCTGAAAACACCCAAACTTAAGACATGAACCCACATACTTAAGAAGCTGAGCAAACCCCAAAGATGATTAAAAACAAACAAATGAAACCTTTAACAAGACAGACAAAAATTATACTTATAAAAACTATAGGAAAAAAAAACCTTAAGAAAACCAGAGAGAAGCAACACATAATCTCTAGAGGAATGTAACTTCAAATGACAGCCCACTTCTCATCCAAAACCATTGAGACCAAAAGCAAATAGTGGAACACATTTTTAACCTTCAAATTAAGACAATTGCCAAAGTAAATCTTCTGTCAGGTGAAGCTATCCTTTAGAGGTCAAAAAAAGAAAGCCATTCTCAAAGAAAAACTAAGAAATTTTTCCACCATAGGATCTACCCTTAGGGCATGCAAAAAGAATTTTCCCAATGGAAATAAAGTGGTAACAAAAGAGTAGAAACTTCAGACAAGGATAAAACAATGTATAACAATGTGGGTAAACATATAGACTATCCTTCATTTCATGAGTTTCTTAATCAGATTTAATGGTGGAAACAGAATTTATAACTCAATTGATACGGGGCTCAATGTATGCAGAGAACATATTTAAGAAAACTGTGAATTTTGAAAATGGGAGATTAAATAGATCTAAATTAAAGTAAGTTTTCTATACATTGATGTCAATAGGCTACGATAAGTGCATGCATAGAAACACTAGAACAAGCATTAAGAAATCTATACAAACACTTAAACACATTAGCAAAGGTAAATCAAAACTAAAGTGATAGAAAAAGTTGTATCATCAAAATGTATCATAGGCTTAAGTGTAACATGTAAAGCTATACAAATTTTACTGAGTTTTGGTGAAATACTCCTCACAATGTTGAGTTGTCTTTCTGCTCTCAATTTTCTAATACACTCTTCTAACAATCACTAAACCATGCAATACATTTGTGTGATTAAAAGCCAGGATCCTGGCAGGAAAAGAGAATTCATCACAAAGACTTGCAACAGTGGAAGTTAATAACACCCAAAAGGGACAACAGGAGGAAAACAAGGACAAAATACTCCAGTCCTCTATACTCTTCTTCCCCTTTATCTTCTTTTGATGCCTCCTTTTTGTCAAACTTAACTTGAAGTCTGCTGAAAACTAAGCCTGAGAGATGCAATCTGCAGAGATTAGCATATGGACAGAAGGATGGAGCATGTATATGAGAGGCAGAGAAAGAAACAGAAGCAGAAAATCACTATATTTTTTCTGACAATGAAGAATTTTTGCTTTATCTAACTCATTACCCAAAGTAGAGTTCTTTTCCAGGAAGCTATTTAATTACACATATCAATAGTCCTCTTTGCCAGATATAATCCAAAACATGCAAACTAAAATAGAGGTACAATACGCAAGGTATAACAAAACAACGAAAATACCAAGTGAAAAGAACTATGACTGAGTCAAGGATTACAGAGAAATAAGAAAATACCACTTTAAGGAGTCAAGGGAAATTCATAAAGTATTGGAATCTTGAAGGATTATAGAGAGTTAGGTAAAGTATCACAGAGGGGGAGAGTGTGAGAAAGGATAATAATCTAAAAAATATAGATGGGTTTTAATAAGATTTAAATGTTGGTTATATGGAAGAAACTACGAAGAAAATGATAGCTCAGTTAAGCAAAAGGAAAGTCATGGATAACCATTTACACTGAGATAAAAAATTTTAATTTTACTTTACAGAAATTGAAATCATTGAATCAGGTGAGTGGCATGGTTAGCTTTCTATGACAGAAAGACTGCTCTGTAAGTTTGGAAAGAGGCAAACTGGAGGCTAAAAGCAGCCCAGGCATTAGCAATCTGGGAGAGCGATGTACGTATAAATCACAGATGTGAAAGTGAGCATGAAAAAGGAGGCCATATTTTATGTGGGACGAAGTTGAATCTGTACCTATTATTTCTCAGAGTAACTACTTTTACTTGTATTGACTAATATCTATAGAACACTTTGTTTTCCAAATATGTTGGTGAGTCTCTAAATAGATCTATAAAAATGTTGGCAGTGCTCATGTGAGTTTAGGGTGAGGATTCATTGGTGAGAGTATTTTTATTTGTGAGTATTTTTATCTATTGTTTTCAGTGACAACTTTTATGAATTGTTTACTGGGACAAAAATTATCTGAACTGTAAAAAAAAAATAGAGATTTTGTCTAACATCCGTCAGGGTTGTTACCAAGTGTATGTAAACTGTGGAAGCCCTTATCTTGGTGAATAGCTTAAAACAGGCACTTGATAGATGTTTCCTTCCACCGCACTTTCTTCCATTACTCTGAGTGGAATCTGCAAATGCCTAAGTCTGCTGAGTTATGCTGAAAGAAAATAATACTTGAATTGCAAAAGAAAATGTTCTGTATAAGTTAGAAAGCTATTTTGTTTAGTTTTCTGTATACACTCATATTTTTACATAATCAGTGGTTATCAACTTGCATCATGTTTTGTGATGTGTGGATATTAGATAGATAAAAATATAGGTACATATATGTACATATAGGTATACATATATTTACACACACATAGAGAGAGAGAGGAGCGAGCAATAATTTTCATCTTTTATGTAAAGATTGCAAGACAGTGTTATTTTAGTTGAATAAACTGAGGCATTTATATCTTCCTGTATATCAAAATAATACTCTATTGCCATATTGGCTTAGCACAAAACATAAAAACGTAAGATATCTTTTTCTGCCAACCTATTTCACAGAAGCTCATTTATCCATCTATTCCTTCACAGACTGAAATATTGAGAGACTTTACGCTAAAGCTACAAAGAAGCTTTTCTTTAGAAAAATGTATTTCAGCAATTGCTTAGTAATGTCGATCAAGCTATAAATATAACATGCTCACTAGAAATACTTTGTTTAAGGGGAAAACAAATATTGCATACCTTTTTGGGTTGTTCATTCAGAAAACCAAAGTAGCGTCTGTTTAGGGAGGGATAAATGGATTTTCTATTAAAGGGACTTTTCAACAAAAACAGTAGAAAAGGAGACCTTTCATTTGAAGAAGTCTTTATAACAAACAACACTTTGTTATCTTAGTAAGAAAGACTATTTTCTTCGCAGGAACCAATACCTAACAACTAAAAACGGAAGATAAAGACGTATTGTTCAGAGCAATTACGCCGGAAAGAAACATGAATAAAGACAGTGGCTTTGTGTCATTTTCAAACACATCTCTTGAGGAAGAAATCAGTTATGAGGCTTCAAAAATTGAAAGTAGGACATTTAAAAAAATATGTAAATCTACTCTTCTGTTCCATTTTTATCTTGAACCAAAAGATTAAGAATAAATAAAGCAACTTAAAATTATAAGTTCAATACACAAAATAAATATTTTAATTTTAAAAGTCAAAAAGCATGAAGTGAAATAATTACATAATAAAATTGAAATTTTTATGTTTCTCTAATTGCATAAAATAGACTATTCAATTGTATTTTTAAATTTTTCCATAACACTTGTTTCTTTCTATAATACTACATGAGATATTTGTTTCTTAAATCTGCTGTTGATTTTCTCTGTATCTCTACATCTCTATTCGTTATCCATCTAATCTTCATTTAGGCAGACATATTTTGTCTGCTTTTTTCTGACAATATTAGATGCTATATTAGTAGAACCTGGTGATTGATTCTGTGTTAGGCTTATGGTAATTAGAAGGAATCAATGGTGACATCTTAGCTTCTGGTGGTGTGTGTTGTCATTTAGCATAACTTAGAATGCCAAAGAAGGAGTAAGTTTTCTTGGTAAGACAATGACTTGAGTTTAGGAAGCTTGTATCTCTTGTTCTTGTGGCTCATGTAATTGTAAATGTCTAATACACAGTTTAAAAAAGTTTTCTGGGTTTCAGAAAAAAAAAAACAAAGTCTGAGCTGGGCAATATTGGATGAAGTAAAGTAAGTTCAGATATTGAGATCTGTGTGAAAATAAATTACTATATTTTAAAATAAACTGCAGTAATACATCAAAATATTTGCCTAGGCTTCATTAGTCTAAATATTTGATCCATACCATGAAGGAATTGGTTGTGTTTTGTTTACAATTGTTTCTCTATTTTTGTATATAGGAACAAAATTGATAAATGCATGCTGAATAAATAAATGTGTTAGGAAATGAGTATCAATGGTTAGGAGTTATTTTGTTACCATTCAATCTTTAAACATATTTTGTTTTTCTAGATAGGATAGGAGACCTAACTCAGGTTAGCACATTCTCATATTCATTCATTGGGCATTTTATATTAAAGCACTGTGGGGTTTTTTTGTTTTTTTGTTTTTTTTTGTGAAGGAGTCTCACTCTTGTCGCCCAGGCTGGAGTTCAATGGCACAATCTCGGCTCACTGCAAGCTCCACCTCCCAGGTTCACGCCATTCTCCTGCCTCAGCCTCCCAAGTAGCTCAGACTACAGGCACCCACCACCACACCTAGCTATTTTTTTGTATTTTTAGTAGAGACAGGGTTTTACCGTGTTAGACAGAATGGTCTCCATCGCCTGTCCTCGTGATCCGCCCGCCTTGGCCTCCCAAAGTGCTGGGATTACAGGTGTGAGCCACCGTGCCTGGCTATTAAAGCAATCTTTACAAACTCTGGTAATTTATACAGGTTCTGATATATGGCTACCCAATGCTAGTCCAACCCAGGGCCAGAATTCACTGGCTGCTGCTGCATGTACTTGCTGAAACCAGATAAACTGCCTTTTTATTGAAAGCATTATAGAAATCAATTTGGGTTTATTCTCACATATTTGAGGCTTTTTATCCGGGCCAAAGCAAAAAAAACAAAAACAAAAACAAAAAAAAATGGGGAAGGAAGCATGGACAAATGGTAAATTTAAAGATTAAGCAAAAGGTATTTGTTTTAGTTTATTATGAAGTCTTTCTGGACCTCAAATTAAAATAAAATTTAATGTAAAACATTCGTTATCATATTAACAGTTCCCAGGCACGGAAACATTAATATACACACAAATCACAAACTAACTCAGAGATTACTCACTTAACTTTCATTGTATATATTATAAAGCAAGGACTTCGCATGATCTTAGCCAAAAGGCTGAGAAGCAATAAAGCAAGGACTTAAAGTAATAAATACATAGTTAATTTTGTATCTACCAGCTATATTTGTCTCTTCAACCAAGAATGCTAAGAAGGTAGTCATGTCAATTGTGAAATCTACTGTGTGATCTGGCAATTTCCTCTTTAAGAATCGGACTTTAACAATCAATTTGTTTCAAAGAGGCCAGTAAAGATCCAGAGGTTCTAAACACAGAATATCGCACATACTAATTAAAATTTTCAAAGATTGCCTAATGCAATTGTCTTACATCTCGGTGAAGAGAACAGCAGTTTCCTTTGATTCAATTATCACCTGATATTATTAGTAGTGCTTTTCAGAATTGTTAACACTCTCTTCCTGATAGAGGAGGGCACATTTATTCATTTGAGGTATCTCTATGTAGGCCATTACAAGAGAAACAGAATTCAAATGGTTGCCTGAAATTATTTACAAAGAGACAAAATCAAATTCAATTAGGATAAGTGCACTTGAATCAAGACAAGGTATAAATAAAATACCTAAAATAATAATACCTAGACTCAAAATTTAAATCATGGCATCATGAGTAGGTAATACAGTTCTATGTTTAGCACATCAATAAGTTATTACCATATTTAAGAGCTCAGATGGGTGGAAAGATGTAACTGTGCTTAACTATCAATTTAGAATTCAAAGTTACATGTAATTAACGACATCCTTTAACTTTGGTAGCATTACTAAATTTCATAAACCATTTCTTAATATTTTAAAAATTGTATTAGTATCATATTAATAGGTAAACATGTAATACCCATCAATTTGTAGGTACCCTTATAGCACTTAATTTCATATGTCAAAATCTTGTAAACTTGGTTGTAATGACTGCAGTACAAAAGTAATTAAGTGTACCAGACAGCAACACCTATCAGGTAGTCAAAGCATTTCCCATTGTATAGTGAGATGAAGCAGAAAGAGTGTATCTTAAGACAGTGTGCAGAGTAGCCCCATATGCAGAGGAAGCAGTGAGGCGAATTTTTTTTCTTCTTTAGAGAAGTCCCAGGAAATGGAAATTAAGCAAGCTTCAGCCTATTATGTAGTGCATTTTCCATAAATAGAGAATAAAACCTGCCTTAAAATGCTTCAAGCCCCAGTGGAGACAGTGAAGTAAAATGATACAAGTTTTGCAGCAGATTTCAGGGTCCCAGGGAAGTGGAGTTGACTGTCAGTGACGAAGCTGTTTTATTTAAGTAGGAAAAATGAATCATTATCACCTTTGACTAGAAAAATAACATTATCACCCTCACACATGGAGCACTGAAAACCAACATTTCACAATTCCACTTGTAAGGGATTCACTAAATGTCTTTTGTGTCACATGAAGCTCACAGGTTTTAATTAAATCCTTGTAGTAGAAGGTACTATCACGGGTACTTGTTTTTTTGGACACACTCATGGAATTTTTTTTCTGTAGCTACAGAAAGCCTTCACTTATCCCATTTTCCAGCAAGATGAGGCCTTGCCTCACTTTCACCATTCAGTCCAGAGGTTTCTAATGAACACATTTTTAAATACAGATTGGACACTATTCAAAAGACTGACCTGCCTTCGAAACAGTGGCTTCCAGATCTCCCAGATATGTGACTGTTTATGAAGGTGTGTCAAGAACCTCCATGTTTCCCCACTTCTTCCTTGCAGTTCAGAGACATTTTATTCTCTATCCACTAATTATGCATATCTTAATTACCTTGTAGGCATTTTGTGAAATGAATAAAATCACCCCTGATTTTGTTAATCTAATCACTTTTTGTCTTTAGACAAAAGTTGTGTCCCAGTGAAGACATTTTATGCAGCTACCAAGTACTATATGCTGGAGGCTAAGTATAAAAACTCTCATTCTCTAATCTTGAGGAGCTAATGATCTTGTATCTGGGCATGGGTGAGTGACTAAAAGAATGAACGAAATTCTGAAAAATTGAGTAATGAAGTGTATACATCATGGACCCGAAGAAAGCACTAGTTTAATCTCCTTGATAGGATTGAGAAAGTTTTCATATATAAGGTAGAATTTTAGCTGGAGTTTGGAAGATTGGTCAAATTTAGTAAAAAAAGAAGAGGTAAATGGTTGTAATTTAATAAAATAGGATGAGCTAGATTTGTCTGTTGTTTTGGTATGCATAGATACAGTTTAAAATCGCATGAAAACCATGCTGATATAATGAAACTTTTTCTGTAGGCAATGTAAGATTATGTAGAAACATTTATTAGCTTTCTCATTCAATGCTAACAGGCTAGGGGTGACAGAGGAAAAGACAAACCAAAAGAGACAAAGGGGATTGTTATTCTCAAAGCAAAGTTCTTGTAATTGTAATTTTTGTACTTCTAACAATGTTTTCATGTCCTCTAAATTAAGAAACCTAATATGTTGTACAACTGCTACAAATTGTGTTCATTAGGAAAACCTACAATTCATTGTGGTTTAATGTGTTTTGTTTTATAATTGTTGCTAAAATAACTTTTTATATATAAAAGAAACTTTTTTATATTAAGAAATATCTGTCTAGTCATATTAGGAAGAATAACAAAATGGAAGATAGATTTTGGTTCAGGAAAACTGGGCACACTTGGGTTTCACTCTGAACTATTACTTCTACTTGCCATGTGACCATGTTCAAATTATTTAGGCATTTTAAGTCTTCTTTTTCTCAAGTCCAAAACTGGTTTAAAATTTTTATCTCAGATGTTGTTAAAAATTAAATGAGATAATGTATGTAAAATGTTTGGAGAAAATACTACTTATTAAACTTTGTTGCAATTCATGAGCTCATGAAAATGTCTTTAAGATGGAGGGTGACTATAATTCTCATATTTAGCATTTTATATATATTGCAATTGTATTTTCCGGCGTTAGGAGAAACTAAAGCAGACTAATATATATTGAATTTCATATATATATATGTGGAATATATAGATAGATTGATTTCCATATATGTGTGTATATATAGAGAAAGAGACAGAGAGCAAGAGAGACAATGACGGAGAGACAGAAAAACAAAAAGTCTATGACCTGAATTCTGTTATAATTGGTATAGAGTACAAAAGACTTAAGCAATTGTACATTACTATTTAATTACTTCCCCTAAGAAAAATTAAATAAAAAAATCATACTCACTTTAAGATCTTATACTTCAATTTTAACAATTTTTTTCCTTTACCTGAGGTTATCATCTTTGAAATTCAATATTGGGGCCCCTGTTGTCATATTTAAAACTTTGGCAACAGGCCCACAGACTTTTTCTCAACCTTAATTTATTTTATAATCTTCGTTGAAAACTTCTAGTGAATGATGCATCCAATACCATACCTCTGTTCTTGAACTTCTTGTTTCTCATAACTATTCCTCGCCATCATTTCAGATACCTATTCCAGGGACATATCTTTTTTATACCTATAATTATTTTAGCTGGAAAATCAATCATGCAAATATTCAATTCCTTAACTCCTTTACTTTCCACCTTACAGCTTATTTGTTCAAATACTCCTACTCTGATTTTATCAGAAGCCTGAATTTATTAAGCCATAGGTTATCCCCAATTTCAAAAATCCTCTTCTTAGTATGATTCTTTTTTCAGCTTATATTCCATGGCTCACAGTTCAATAAGATTTTTTACATTATTCTAAAGGCCCATGCCTTTTTTTCTTTCCATTATGCTAATCTGAAGAAAAAGCTATCTGATTTCTGTCTACATAAAATATCAGGACACATTATTCCAACTACAAAATGATCATCCCAAAATTGAAATAATCCCTCATCACTTCAATTATAGGCAAGATATCTGGTCAACTAATCTTCATTCTATTTCAAATCTTTCAAAGATTGTTCATACCCTTCAAAATCTATTTCTATCTTTTCTATTAGACATGTAGTCATTTTCTCTGAATATCAAATTTATATACATACTTTTACATTTGGATGCAATCTGTTCTGCTATAATAAAGTAGCTGTTTCTTCTGCTATCTGATCTTTGTATTGAATTACATATTTTCTTGTCTCTCAAGAAAATGATTCTCTCAATTCTCTCGTCTCTCTCTGTCCTTCTTTCCACCCTATTTATTTTCTTCCTTTGAAGCTTCCTGAGACATACAATCCTGTTTTACCTTCTATTTCCCCAGCATATAATAATGCTTATCAGTTACAAGTAATATACGCTTTTATTTAGTAATAAATGCCAATATAAATAATTTCAAAGAAGATACTACACTGCTATGAAGTAGGAAAGTTTAATTGAATGTTAATTCTGCCTTTCAAGAGACTCATGTATGTGTTCATTAAGCATCAATTATTGTGAACATTACATAGATTTAGGATTTCTTTAAGAATTCTATTTTAAAATTGTTATTGTGGTTAAATACATATAAAATAAAATTTTCTATTTTACCTTCTTCTCAATGCATAATTCAGAAGCATGAGTTGCATTCACAATGTTGTGAAACCATAATCATTACCTATTTTTATAACTTGTTCATCACCCAAATAGAACTTCATAACAAACAATAACTTTCCATTCTCTCTTCCCTCAGCCCCTGAGAACCTCTAATCTCTTTCTCTATAATTTTACTTGTTCTAGATATTTTATACAAGTGTGTCAGAAAATATTTGCCCTTTTATGTCTGGCTTTCTTCATTTGGTATAATGTTTTCTAGGTTATACCTGTTATGGCAATACATCAGAACTTCATTCCATTTTCTGGCTGAATAATATTCTACTATATGTATACATCACCTTTTGTCCATTCATTCATTTGTTGATGAACACCTGGATTGTTTTCATCTTTTGGCTCTGTGAATAATGCCACAATAAGCAGTGACATACAGGTATGTGAAACTTTGTTTCCAGTTTTGGGGGGTATATAACAAAGTCTAAAATTGTTTGGGTTATGTGGTAATTCTATGTGTAGCTTTCTGAGAGACCATAAAACTCTTTTCAACAGTGACTGTACCATTTTACATTTCTGCCAGCAAGGTGCAATTGTTCTAATTCCTCCACATCCTTGCCAACACGCGTTATTTTCTTTTATTTTATTATAGCTATCCTAGTAGGTATAAAGTAGTATCTTATGGTTTAGATTTCCCTAAACACTAATAATATTGGACATGTTTGCATGTGCTTATTTGTATATCTTCTTTGTATAGATGTTTATCAAGTCCTTAGGTCATTTAATAAATTGGCTCATATGTTATTTTGTTGAGTTTTAGGAGTTCTTTATATCTTAGGTATTTAGTTTCCATAAGATATGTGTTTTACAGATATTTTATCCCAATCTGTAGCTTTACTTTTTCACTTTCTTGATCATATCCTTTAATAAATAAAATATTTTAATTTTGTAAAATCAAATATATATATTTGACTTTCAAATGTATATACATACTTCTACATTTGGATGCAATCTGTCCTGTTATACATTGCTTTTGTATTATACATTGCTGCTGTATTATGCATGCTCGTGTATTATCCATTGAGAAGAAGGTAAAATAGGAAATTTTATTTTATACATATTTAACCACAATAACAATTTAAAAAATAGAATTCCTTTTTTTTTTTTTTTTTTTGAGACGGAGTCTCACTCTGTCCCGCAGGCTGGGGTGCAGTGGTGCGATCTGATCTCGGCTCGCTGCAAGCTCTGCCTCCCGCGTTCACGCCATTCCCCTGCCTCAGCCTCCCAAGTAGCTGGGACTACAGGCGCCTGCCAGCAGGCCGGGCGAATTTTTTGTGTTTTTAGTAGAGACGGGGTTTCACCGTGTTAGCTAGGATGGTCTCCATCTCCTGACCTCGTGATCCGCCCGCCTCGGCCTCCCAAAGTGCTGGGATTACAGGCTTGAGCCACCGCGCCCGGCTAAAAAATAGAATTCTTAAAGAAATCCTAAATCTGTGTAATGTTCACAATAATTGATGCTTAATGAACAGGTACATGAGTCTCTTGAAAGTCAAATATACATATATATTTAATTATATATACATATATATATATATATAGTTATTCATGCTTTGGTGTCATATGTAAAAATCCATTGACAAATCTAAGGCCCAGAATATTTATGCCTATGTCTTGTCTTCTAAAAGGTTTTTGATGTTAACTCTTACATCTACATCATTGATTCATTTTGAGTTAATGTTTTATATGGTGTGAAGTAGGGGACCAGCTTCATTCTTCTCAATGTGGAAGTCCCGTTGGCCCAACACATTTTGATGAAGATGCTGCTTTTCTATTATAGACTTGTCACCCTTTTCAGAAATCGGCTGCTAATAGACACATAAATTTATTTCTGACTCAAATATTGAATTGATCTATACAACTATCCTTATACAAATCCCAAATGGTTTTTATTAGGGCTTCTTTGGAATAATTTTTAAAATTTAGAAATTGTGAGTCCTCTAAATTTGTTCTTTCTCAAAATTGTTTTGACCATTTGGATCCCCTTGCAATTTCACATAACTTAAGGATCAGCTTTCTGCATTTCTGCAAAAAAATAAAAGGCTGTTGCAATTTTGATATGGATTAGCTTGAATTTGTAGGTAACTGTATGTGGTACTGATGTCTTAAAATATTAAGTCTTCGACCCCATGAACATGGGCTGCCTTTCCATTTAAATAAGTGTTCAGTTTTTTTCATCAGTGCTTTATATTTTTCAGTGTATATTAAAATATTTGTTAATCTAACTTTCTTGGTTAAATTTGTTCTAAAGTATTTTAATATTTTGAATGATATTGTAAAGTGAATTACTATTTAAATTTCCTTTGCAAATTGTTCATTGCAAATGTGTAGAAATACATTCAATTTTTGTATGTTGATTTTGCACCTGGCAATTGGGCTGAATTTGTTTCTTAGTAACTTTCTTGTGGATTTTGAGAGATTTTTCTACATATAAGAACATGTCATATGTGAATAGATATATCTTTATCTTTTCCTTTTAAATTGGGGGACCTTTTATTTATTGTCCTTGCCCACTTGCTCTGTCTAGAACTTCCAATATAATGTTGAATAGCAATGATGAAAGTGGGCATCTTTGTCTTGTTTCTATCTTAGTGGGAGGCTTTCATTTTGACTTTGGGTACAATATACGGAGGGAAAAAAACAGGAAAAACTGTGCTTCTTAAAATCTCTTAAAACAAATTTGCTAAATATTTTATTACTGATTTATTTTTAAATGATGTTTTATATCCTAAAAATTCAGGAACCACCTATTAAAATATTTAAAATGTTAAAATATTAGAACAGTTGCCTAGGACCAAATTTACCCAACATCAAAAGCTTATAAAAGCTCTTTATTTTATAACTTTCAGGGGGATCTCATATATCTGAGTGGAAACACTTACATTAATTGTAACACAACGTTAGTTGTAAGTATTTTCAAGTGCTTAGCAATTTTTGCTGTTAGTAGATCTTAACAAATATTTCAAATTTTTTTGCTTTATTGCTGAGCGAATAATCATGTATAAAGTTATCCTCACTTCATTGTTAAAGATTAAATTATCTAGGCGTTTATAAAGCACATTAAGATTGCATGCAATGCACTAAATTAACAAATATTATTTTTAATAAATAAAAATAGCTAAAATGATGATGTAATAAGGATTTCTTAGAGAGTCAGTTGCTTTTATACAAACAATAATGAGCATAGCTGAATGTGCTGATTCTCTGAATCCATGATAAAAATAATAGATTTTTATCTTATCCGTGGATAACAATCCATGATTCTCTGAATTCACAATGAAAAAACATTTTATTAACCTTTAAACTACAAAATAAATAAGAAAAAAGTGAAAACGTTAGAGATTTCAGATAATTAAAATAATTGAAGGCTCAAATTCACCAAGCAGTCTTAGGCATTAAAAAAACAATGGCATGATGCTTTCAAGTAGATCAACAAAAGTAAACAAATAACATGGGGTTTGGGGATTCACTTGTGGTTGTAATGGATAAATTAAAATATCAAAGCTAGTTTCTTCTCATTCAGAGTTGCAAACATTAAAACAACCAAAACATTATAATAACCAATGTTAATTAAATATATCTGTCATTATATAAAACTTGTTTCTGTTTGAAAATATTGCTGAAAGTGCATGCGTTATTTGTCAACAATTTATTTCCCAAATTAGAATAGTTGTATTACATTCTGAATTTATATGCTTTATATGTATATATGCTTTATATGCTTTATATGCTTTACATGCAATAAGCAACTTTGGAATTTCACATAGAGGCAATTTTGAAAATTAAACCACAATTAGATTATTTACATTTAAAGCATATAAATTGTATATGCATATACAATATGTATATACATATAAAGTATATATATATGTATATACATATACAATTTATATGCTTTAAATGTAAATAATCTAATTGTGGTTTAATTTTCAAAATTGCCTCTATGTGAAATTCCAAAGTTGCTTATTTTCTCCTTCAGTAAAATGATGTAAAGTTATTAGTTCACTTAATATAATGAAAGTAAAGAGCATTGTTCACAAGTTGATTGTAGAAGAAAAACACATAGGCAGCTCTCCATGTCATTGGTCAATACCATATTTTCTTAGAAGATCAGAGTCTGGAAGTACAGATGTAAAGTTGATTTCAATACATCTTGTCTTAAAATCCAGGCTATCTTAGTCACCCACTGGAACTTTCCACCTGGGACATGTATATAAATGGATCAGAGTTCCGTTGGCTGATGTAATTTAATCAAATTCTGCACATTTGCAACTGGCTTTATACTAAGCTGTTTGATTTGTCCTTCTTGAATATATTATAGATTATATTATTATTATTATAGAATATATTATAGATTATATTATTAAATCTTTTTAACATCTTATCTAATGTCAACAAGTTTTATAAATAATTCTGTATCACTTTACTCATCGAATCTAAATGTTCCTCCCATTACAAACTTAAATAAAAATACTCCAGTGTGCAGCTTTACTAGAAACTTCATCAAGTATCTGACCTTCACAGATAAAAAGCTGCACTGGCAACAACATAGATTTTATTCCTTATAACAGATAGAAGATCCTTGAGAATAAAAATTTTATAAGAGAATAATTTAACATATCTCATATTATTACCATAACAAGGCAACCCCTTATTAAGGTTCAAAGAATGTCAAAGGAAGCGGGATTCTTTCATTTACATTATATTGCTTAATAATTCTACAAAATAAGAGAACATTGTATGGTCCCAGAGGTACAGTAAGAGATTTGAATATACACTTAGGCAAACCTTCTAGCTACAGGTAAATTTATTTAATTCTCATAAAATTACCAACGAAGAACTAATCCATTACATGACTCACTGAAATCTTTATAAATTAACATTTTTGGTATGTGAGTGTTATTTCATTTGCCAAAAAATATCCTTTACAATTAATGGCACTGTTTAATACGGTAATTTCAAAAATTGATTCTCACTTATTACAATTATATTAATAACACTCATGGTAATTCTATGATCATAATCATGGTAAAATACTAATTGAGAACTGTTAAGTTCTAGGCACTGTATTACATACTTTACAAATTTTCTCATATGATTCTTAAAAAAACTTAAGTGGTAACTATTATTATGAGCATGTTTTACGTATAATCACATAGGCTAAGGTTGTTAAGTATACTTTTTAAGGTAACAAAGCTACTAAGTGTTGGAACAGAGACTCAAACATCAGTCTGACCCAATAAATTGCATAAGAAATACAAGTGACAAGGAACTAATATCAATATGTTTTTCAAAATGCAAGCCACAATCTACTAATAGTTCATGAACTCAACTAAGGTTCATCATCAGTATTATTTAAAATAAAATTTAATAAGTTATAAATATTAGACCGTATCATAATAGTAACAATATAATTGATTCATGAATTTATTTTCAGATATATTCTATTGATGAATTAACACAAAACCAGAGTTAAACATTTTTACAATGCTGAGTTCTATTAACTCCATGAAAGAGCACATGCACCATTTAAAAAATTACCAAGTCATCTGCAGAAGGCAAAAAGTCAGTTTTTAAGTGCTAGAAAGTGAGAGTTCATGAACGCTGTGCTTATTAAGCATTAAAAATTAGTATCCTGGAGAGGACAGAAATCAAATGACCTGCATATAGTTGGATAAAATGAATTTTACTCTTCATTGATCAGGAAAAAGTCTTCACTTTGTGTCCAGTAAGGGTTTGTAATCTTGGGGATATGCAATAGTCATGGTCCTTTACAAGCTTTGATTGATTAATGACAGCAGTGATAAACACAATAATCATTTTTGATATTTCATAGGGAATTGCCACTATAGGCTGTATGTTCAAAGTAAGCAACAATTTTCTTATGGTCCTTTCCTTAATCTCTATTGTAGAGTAATGATACAAGGAACGATATATGGTCAGATATTTTTGGTCAATACTTAGATCTTGGGTTTCAATTTTTAGTGGATATGTTTTGTTTATCCATATAGCTTCAATTTCACTTTAATGCACTATCCATAAAATAGTTACTCTACTAAAACTGTTAATAATACCCTGATCACAGCAACAATTAATTATATTCTTTTATTTGTACAAGGCTGAATCATTAAAAAAAATCCTGTGGGCAGGTGTGTCATATTTTGGAAAATCAATTGGCTTCCTTATTAATTTTACATAGAGTCTTCTTAACCTACAATCAAGGATTTCAAAGGGTTAAATATTTAATCTACTTACAAGTTAACAAGTTAGCTTGCCACAATTTCATGGACAATGGGAGAAGATAAAATATTTCTAGGTGAGAGACAAAGGACATTATTACTGATAATGCTGCAAAAGCAGTAAAAGCATATGTACATTCCTGTCACTTTCCCTTGCCCCAGAGTCCAATGGGGAGATACATATGGGTTACTTTCCCTTGCCCCAGAGTCCGGTGGGAAGAAACACATGGGCTCAGGTAGAAGCCAGCACACACAGTGAGTTGTGTTCAGAGAGAAGCTGAGCTTTAGGGAATGTGGATCTCTTATAATGGGTAGGAAGCATATCTACCCTTCACTCTGGAAGGAGACATCCCTTCTATTTTCTAAGGCTCTTAATATGAGACAAACAGCAACATGCAACATACGTGAAAATTTTTCTCTCAACACTTACCTTGGAGCATTTATCCAAATAAAAACAGGAGACTAAATAGTATAGAAAATATTGTGATAAGTAAATTCTGTTTTGGAATTGTGAATAAAGTGATTCTGTTGTTCAGTACTCTTGCAAGAAAAAATGTGCAAGAAATTTTGTTGAACCTGTATCTCAGGGACAACATATGGCTTCCTTTGCTATGATTGCTTCTGTCATAGAGCTTCAATGCAGCATTCAAATATAGGAGTATCAAGGCCAATAAAGAAAACTTGTCAGGAATCAGTGGATACAAATATCTCTGATACAGCCTGAAAGTTTTATACTTCAACAGGCATGTACGTAGATCATGTGAAATACTACCATTATAGACTTACAAAAATTTCAACAGAGCATATAAACTCTTTTAAGATAGTAGACTTATTTATCTCCACAATCAATATTGTGATACAATATATCTCGGTGCATACATATGCAAGTCATAAAGAGCACAATCTATAGTTTTTGTAGTTATCTGAGGAAATTGAGAGTTGTTTTAACCAAATAATTTGAAATTCACAGCAGGACAAGTGTAACTAGTTCAAACAGTTCAAGGACGTTTTTTTCTTAATTAGTTGAGTGCAAACATGTTGTTAGTGATTTCCTGTGATATGGAACAACTGTCAATATTTTAAGCTATCTGGCTTTATAGAAAGAATATTATATTTTATAACTATGATATTCATGTCATATAAGAAATAAGGTAATAACAGTCATATGCTATAAAATGATGCTTATTTTAACTAAAGATTTTTTTAGCTAAAAAAATTGGTTGCTGGAAGGTTTGAGCCTGAAGAAGTAATTACCAATTTTGCTAATATTGGGCTGATGGGAAAATAAACTTCTCTGGATGAACCTTATGAAAACTGTAGTTGTAATAATTTTAGCAGAATATTACAATAATAGAAAAAGTATGACAAACTCAACAGCTTAACTTGTGTAGCAAATTATACCTGCGTTGAATCAAACAAATTATTTGTTTTTTTAAACACCTTTATTGAGGTGTAACTGATATACAAAAGCCTTCACATATTCAGTGTATACAATTTGATGAGTCTGAAAATACGCATACATCTGTGAAACCATCAGCACAATCAAAGTAATCTCTGAGAGGTAGCTGCTCTCCCATGTATACTACAGCATTATTTACAATGGTCAAAATATAGAAACAACCTAAATGTCCACTGACAAAAAAGAAGATAAAGAAGATGTGATATGTCACCGAACAATGGAATATTGTTCAGTATTTAAAAAGATGAAAATGTTATCTTTTGTGAAAACAAGGAGGAAAGTAGAGGACATTATGAAAAGTGAAATAAGCCAGTCAGAAAAAGACATATGTTGCATGATTCCGTCTACACAGGATATCTAAAATAGTCAAACTCATAGAAGCAGAGAGTAGAATGGTGGCTGCCAGGGAATGGGTGAATACGGAAATGGAGACTTGTTGCTCAATTGATATAAAGTTTTGGTTACCCAAGATGAAAAAGTTTTAGAGATCTGCTGTACAGTATTATATTTATAGTTAACAATATAACATTTAGCACTCCAAAGTTGAAGAGGATAGATTTCATTTTATGTGCTTTCACCACGCCCACACACTCACTCAGATGTGTGAGCATGCAGCATGCAAACACAAAAGACAGTAATTCATCAAAATGTATACATTAAAATGTCCAGTTATTTTTATATCAATTATATCTCAATAAAGCCTTAAAAAGAACAAGATAACATATTAGATACCAGAAATTGTAAGAAAAAAATGTCTTTTTTACAATATTTCTTTAGCCTTATCCAATTTGCAGCAAATTTGAAGTGACAATTATTTCATAAAAAATATTTAATTTTTTAAGATTTACTTTGATTAGTTATATTTATAGAAATTTAATACCTTTTTACAAATATAGAACAATTTTTAGTCACCGAATGACTTGCCTTTTTTATTCTCTCTTAACTAAGAGATAAGTAACCGAAGTGTTAACCTTTAATGCAGCTAAAGTTTCCTTTTTTTAAAAAGAAAAAAAAGATATTGTTCCCATAATAAAAGACACAACCAGGCAGTTATTCTTAGAAGAAGCCAGCTAGACATTTTAAGCATTAGTAATTAATTTTAAAAAATCCTTGTGAACTTTGTGCTATTTTAAAATTATTTATTTATAAGTTTCAGTAAACCAATTAGCATTAGAGTTACCATGAAATTTAAGAGACTTTGTAATCAGTTTCATTGTTTTTTTTCTACTTAGTTTTATGTGGACCTGGGCTAGATATTCCTGGACTATGCATATATAATGACAGACTTTAAAAGCAATTTAAAAGTCCGACTGTTGTCAAATTAAAAAGTCCCCACAGGAGAGTGAGGGTACAGGGTAATAACGGTTTGACACTGTAGTTCCTATATTAACCACATAACAGACCGAAACGTTATCTATGACAGCTACAAGACAGACTTAGGAAAGCACCAGAAAAGAGAGCAACCGATTCTCTTTTCCCAAGCAATCACCGAAAAATAAGAAACAAAATAAGACTGAAAGCTCAGTGACAGATGACTGATGGTCAAAACCATATTGGCCGGGCACGGTGGCTCAGGCCTGTAATCCCAGCACTTCGGGAGGCCGAGGCAGGCAGATCACAAGATCAGGAGATGGAGACCATCCTGGCCAACATGGTGAAACTCTGCCTCTACTAAAATACAAAAAATTAGCCAGGTGTGGTGGCGGGCGCCTGTAGTCCCAGCCACTCGGGAGGCTGAGGCAGGGGAATCCCTTGAACCTGGGAGGCGGAGGTTGCAGTGAGCTGAAATCGCGCCACTGCACTCCAGCCTGGCAACAGAGCAAGACTCTGACTCAAAAAAAAAATCATATATAAGTCATGAGCTGTGGTAACTCAGAGCTACAGCTCCTCAAACCGTCCCAGTAAATGTAATAAATTTAAGGGGGTCTCCAAGAACAATCAAATCTTAGTTAGTCACCACTGCAATTGTACCTGAAGACCAAAACAGAGGACCAAAAGGCACAGGTAAGAATGTTGTTTCCGGTCTTAAGGCTGGCAACACCAGCACCACTAAGTGAGGCCGACAAGGCAATTTTGGTGGATCTCCTAAAATGTCTGATAAAATAAGACCAGGGCTAAGTACTACTATGACTACGACTACGACTACGACTATGACTACGACTAATCATACTATTACCTGTAATAATAATTACAAAGCTGCTGAGTCTATTAACTTGCCAGGCAAGGGAACACTCAACAGTTAAGAAATTTACAAAGTCTCTGCAGCATACGATCAGGGTTCCCTAAGTGATTAAAAAAAAGGGAATTCATAATAGTTATGCTAATTAACAGCCGAAACTAGAACACCAAATTAAGTGAAATGAGTTTATACGTCTGCACTGTCCATTCATCAGGAAAGACTCCTTAGTTTGTTGTAATAAATAAATGTTCATTCAGGTCACTCAAATTCATGACATCTTATCAGCTTTAACTGGTTAGAGCCAGTTATCACGAAATGAAACAACCAGTTTTGCTATATTCTAGGGAAGTGTTATTGTAGATATGTTTATGTGTGAACTAGATTGGTATGTAAACTGCATTTCTTAGTATGAGTTTCTGCCAAAAAAATTGAGTACCACTAGTTTAGATGTTGGGCAAAATTAATTATTTGTCATATATATTTTGACTCTTCTCTAGATCCTAAATGCTCAGAAAGTTAGTTATTTTAAAATCACAGTTTTTTAAAGCTAAAATAAGAAACATGCTGATAGTCTTTATGAGGAATTTTTGGCTAAAATTAGGTTAGAATATATGCTATGTTTCCTTTCCTTTGCTGATCTGTTTGTAGTAGAGATATATAAGTAAATGAACTTCTCATAATTTTTTAAATGCACCAAATAAAGGAGAATGGACAAAAGCTATCAGTGCTGCACATTGTTAAAAGAAAAGATGTCCAAGGTGTTTATCAGCAAATTGAATTACAAATGCAAAGCCAAGCAAAAGTTTTACAATGCAAAGCTGAAATCAGGATTAGATCATTTTGAGGCATCTGGGTTCCTTTTTCATGGGTATATACATAAGCTTGATTAGACAGAAGTAAAATGGAAATCATGAATTCATAGGCAGGGGTACATATATTTAAAATAATGACATTGGTCTGCACGGAGTAGCTTAGCTAGCAGATTGTCACAGCAAGATATCTCATTAGGATATTTCCTTGAAGCTTGTTAGTGTAAACAAGGCAGAAATATCCAGGTGATAGTGGCTAGACACAGGTATTCATCTTCAAATTTAACTGTTCTTTGAAGAATTATATGGTCCACAGAAATCGTGATATACTGTGAATATCATTCACAATAAGTATTATCACAAACTTTAAATAAGCACAGTGTGCACCAGTTTACTTAAAACTGAAAGTTTATGAGACTAATTGTCTTCCCTTACATACAGATATTTGAATAAGCCATGTCCAAAGTATATTTTACTTCTGAAATTTATTTTTGCTTAAATTGGAGCTAATGTCTGATCTGGCTTTGCAGTTAAGAGATAGTCATTATCAATATCCAGTGTCATATTTAAACCCAGATTTTAAAATTCTTTATGGTTTTGACTATTTCAGCTGCTTTATATGTTTTGGAAATACAACAGAATTCAAAAACTCAGATTTTTTGGCTGCAAAATTGCATTTCCTAATATTAGGACTCATATATGTCATATGAAATCTAGAGAAAGTTTTTGCAACTCACGTCAATTTTTCAAGAATTTGAGTTTGTTTCATGCATTAATATGTTTGAAAATGTTTACATTTTAATGAATTAAAATCTCATGTTAAATAATATAGTTTACCTCTATTGATGTAAATCCTTTATCTCTTCCTTTATATACATTTTAGAGTTTACATGCTCTAAAAGTTACATGCTATTGTCTCTAGCAAACTCCAAGTGGGTTGTTCACTGTTCAAAGTCTTTTGAAATATATTTTTTCCTTCATAAAATATTTTATTAAGTAAAATATTTAGGTCAAACCCATGTTTATGCCTTCATAAAGTTATATTTGCAGAATGCATGATGATGAAAGAGCTACTTTTCCTTTTTTAGATTTTGAATAAAAGACTGTGCTTTGGGAAAGAAAATAAGGATGTAAAAGTGAGCAAGATTAGCTACGGTAGCTATAAATGAGTGTCCTTCAGTAATAGTCCAACTTCTAGTCTAAATATTAGTGAGATAAGAGCCCAGGCAGTGTTTCTATTCAATTAATCATGGCTACCTTTCTTATACAATTCTTATTTCATCATTAATTTTTAAAATATTCTTTTACTCCTTAATTTTAAGAATACAAATTATAAATCTTTTCTGAGTACAAATAACAACAGCATATATGCAAGCAATAATACTTAGTAAAATGGATAATATCAACCTGTCAGTAATTCAATAAATGCAGTATTACTTATACCATTGAAGTATTACTTATACCTTTATGCTCATCATAGAGGCAATACCCCTGCCGCCCTTTTAGAGTTGACCACTGAGCTAATTTGTGTGTTTCTACTGCTTTTCATTATAACGAAAATACACACCAATACACCCACACATGTTCTTATGTATGTTCTTATAATTTAATACATATTAATCTGTCAGCTGTAAATATTCTCGAAAAATGTTTGCTAGTTGTACCAGTAAATAATGCAAAAACATTTATCACAGTTTGATGTATTAGCTAATTTGAACTAATCATTATTTTCTGTCTCTCACTTATAATTTGTCATTATTTGCTATTGTATGTCTTACATTACAAACTCCAGGAAAGCACATATCTGTTTTGGCTATCTTGTTTTGTTGCGGGAATGAAGGACTGAAGAGACCACAGGGTGAGACAGGAGAATTTTATTGAGTGCAGTCAGGCCCAGCAGATTAACATCCAAAAACTGAGCCAAGAACAAAGACAAGTCTTGGCTTTTATACACACTTCAAAAAGCGGGTTGGCTAGTTTGAAGCAAGCTTACACTGGCATGAAGCGTAGTGGCGCAAAAGCCAAGTGCGCAGAACGAAGCAGAACAAAGACAGTTAATCAAATTGTGACAGGTGCATAACTCAGGATTACATATGACATCCTGCTATGCGGCTCAGATGGCTGTTACCTAGGTTTTACTTAAGTGCCTTGCACGGGCTTATCTCATAACATTCGCTATGGTGCCCAGGTGGCTGTAGTTCAGGCCTGCGCAGGCTTCTCATGACCTTCATTGTGCCGCCTAGATTAAACAGAATACTTGAAGGTACTAGTTACAGAGAACAGAAATCCATAAACTCGTAGGTTTACTCACATCATAAGAGAAGGGAAAATTTGTTTTTTCTTCTCCCTATGTTGAGGGAGTGCTGGGAGAGTCTCCAGAGCACATTTCTTTGAGCCCTGGTTTCATAGATAACATTATTGGAACTTTTGCCTGGGTCTGGGTTTTGCCTGTCACTGCCTTTGGGATTATCAGCGTAACACAGAAATCTTATTTCTTTCTCTTTTTAATTTTATTTTTCTTTCTTTCTCTAATTTCTGCCTCAGTTTAATGCTCAAATTCCCCAAATTAGCATATATCGTTAGGAAAGAAACAAAATGCTCACAACCCTTTTCTCTTTTTTCATTTACAGCAATATTTATGCAAAACATAAAGTTTATCTGCATCTAATTTTTCATATATGACTTCATTGAATCCACTCCCACCATTTTTTTGCTGCTACTACCCCAGAGAAACTGCTCTTGTCCTGGTCTCCAATTATCTTCATGTTTCTACCTTCAGATTTTCCTTCTACTTTATTTCTAATTCTACTCCTCTCTGTAACATCTTAAAAAGTGTCCCAAGTTTCAAACTCTTCTATTTATAGTCACTTTGGTGATGTTACTACATGTTTCTTTTTTTTTTATACTTTTGAGTAAAATCTGTACACTTAGAACTCCAAAATTTATAAATTCAGCTTTGCAATCTCCTTTGAGTTACAGACTCTCAGGCACAGGTGCCTATTCAATGTCACTTCTCAGATGCCTACTAGGCATACGAAATGCCAATATGATTCTTCTATTCACCCCTAAAATGTGTGCTTCTTATACTCTTTCTCATTTCAGTTAGTGACACATCCATTCTGTTACTTAGGCCAAACTCTTTGAGTCATCCATAGTGTTTAACATCTTCTCACATTACAATTTAATTCCTAATTCCTCAAAAAAAGTGGGTTCTTTCTAACAACGTATCTGAAATTTGACCAATTCTCTCTATCTCTGCACTGTTTTCATCATGATAAACTCTGTATTGTTCCTTTCCTGAATTATAGTGAGTTTCTCCTAATTGATTTTTTTTGTATCACACTTGACTCCAAGAACGTACTCTCAATTCAAGGGCTAAAGTGTATTTCAAATTATGTTACATCGTGTTACTACTATGTCCAACACTTCCTGATGACTTCCCAACTCATCCACAGTGAAATACAAAATCATCACAATGGCTTACCAGGCCTAAGAGATGCATTCTCACCACATCCTCATTATTTATCTAATCACATTTCTTGTTTCTCATTCATTCACAGACCTAATTCTTTGAAGCTAATAGTCAACTTGTGATTATTCTGTTGTGTTCTACCTATTGTGTTGCTGAATTAAAATGCTCTTCCTCACAATATGAAAATGGCTTATTCCCTCAACACATTCCATTTTTTAGTCAGCAGCATTTTTATGAAGGTATTTCCTTACCACCCTATTTAAAATTGAAGCCCTTAACACTCCTAATTATCTGTTCCTGTTTTTTGTTCCTCACAAAAAACATGACACCTACTTTTAAAATTTCAATTGTTTCTCTTTCAATGTGAAAATGTATGTACTATGAGGTTAGGGAAATATTGTGTATTTTGCCATCCCAAGCAAGACATGGTATTTAATAAGCATTTGTTGAATAAATAAACAAATATTTGTTGAACAAATAAATGACTGACTGATTTCACTGTTCCTAACCACTAGGTCCATCTCGATCAATGTGAAGATATGAAAAACATCAGAAAGGGAAGAATGTTGTCAAGTGTTGCCAGAGCACCGTAAAAGGCAAACACTACACCACATTCTGCCCCCACGTAGAATTAACACAAAATAATTTTGTAGAAAGGAGAGACACCTTAACTAACAAGGTTAAATTTGAAATTGGTGAAAAAAAGAAAAGCACATACATATATGATCTAGAGACAGAACCCACGTTTACAAGGGAGAATAAAAAGTTACATTTATTGTATGCCTGAATTTCATGGTTTCACTGTATCATATTGGCTGTATATGGGACTAATTTCTGATTACAAAAAAGTCTTATGCCATTTGCATAGAGATTTGAAAACACAAGGCTAAAACTAAAGGGTTATCATCATAAATGCATGTCTGTAAATGTTTTCTAGAATTGTGACCCCTTGGTGCTATTGCTGGGCAGAGAAGTTACTTTCAGAATTTATTGCCTTTTTTATGAAACATAGATTCTGGTAACACTAGCTCTAAATGTCTAGTTACTCTAGACTGTTCTAAATTTTATGTCAAGATAGGTTGCAAAAGGAGACAAAGGAATAGAATACCATTTTTGGAGGGTATTGATGAGCCTAAATTTGAGGCTCAATAGAACATCTATAAACAGAGGCACATTTCTAGTTACTAAAAGGCCAAATTTTGAATTAGATCTTTTTTTGAATTTGAACTTTTATCCCAAATGAGCAGTGTCAAAGGAAATATTTCACTAGACAAAGTTAAACAGCAGGGAATACTTTATCCAAGGGTATTGCAATTGTGGGGAGAGGCCAGCATTCAATCTGGGCTCTACTCTACATAAAGAACTGAAGCATTTTTAAGATGTAAGGTAAGAGGATCATAGGCCACATGTGTTTGCTAATTGGCTTTACTGAAAGGAAAAATGGACATTTTAATATTTTTATGACAGGAAGTAGTTTCACAACTTGGCTCAAGGCACCAGTACTAATGTAGGTTTTACCCTCCCATAGAAACTGGTAGATAGGGGTACTCAACTTGATGATTACATTTAAAGGGGATGGGGCTCAGGTCCTTGAGAAAATACCCCTGGGTTGTTAAACTGGTAAGAGGCTGCAAAAGTATTTACATCTCAAAGGGACAGACAAAGAATTTACAGTTTCAAGTGTTCTAAATCAAATGGTATACAAAAAGGAAGGTCAGTGGCCTAAAGCAGGAACAAGCCTGTTTAAAGTTTTGTGAAGCTGAGGGGAATAAATACGAACGTCCTCTTGGTCATGACTACTATGTACATCTGCATCAGCTCATCCCTAAAGGCAGATCAACACTGCCAGCCTAGCAAACCAGCATGCCTTTAACATCTTGTGGTTTGTAATTGACTGAGAACCACATGCTATAAATATTTTCTTTTGTTTTTTCACAGCACTGACTTCTCAAGATGACAACTTTTAGATTCTCAACATTTGTAGATAGTCTTTGTTGATTTTTTTCCCACATGACACACTTTTTAGTAACTCTATGGGATATGAAACTAATAACTGAATTGCAATGGTGATGACCCCAACCTATTAACTTCAGCCTTCAGTAACAGCGAGGATATGCCAGGATATAGAGAAGAAAAATGTAATTGTCCTCAGTATTTTTTTTTTTCACTAAGCATAGTCCTTGTTGGAAAGGACATAGTCAAAATAATCTTTATAATTTATCTTAAGAAATTTTCTGTGGTAGTTCTAATTTTATTAGCATGAACCTTTGTTTAAAAATATTATTGTATATATATATATAAGATGTAAATAATGATGATTTTGATACACATATAGATAGTAAAAAGGATTTTTTTTAGATAAAACCCTGAAGACAGTATAACATTATTGAGTTTTCTACGGAATTTTTTTTGTATTTCTGCTTTTTAATTATAGTTTTAGTTGACATGCAATAATTACACATATTTTTGGGGTACATAACAATATTTTGATACATGTATACAAGGACCTTAGTATTTTTCATTCTCACTAATTATAATCTTTAACGGGGGGATGTCATTAAGAGTATCTTCATAATTTATTTCAAGAAATTGTCTCTAGCGGTTCTACATTTTATTAGTTTGAACCTATTTTATATCCAGACAGCTTTCCTCAGTGTAGTTGGCTCTGTGCCTCATTGTCAGAGCTGATAGTAATTCCAACCACCATCTAAGTTTGTCATTTGTTTACAGCATTTATTTCTCACAAGAGAATAAAGCCAAAAATTTTTAATCAAGTTAGAAGACATCATTTGATAATTACATTGGTTTTTAATGTGTATGAATCTTAGCACCTTGAATTAGGAAAGATTGTCAATGACTGAATTAAACTGATAATACCTAAAAAAAAAAAATCCTGACAATTTTATAGTACTTATTATGTATTATACATTAATTAACTCATTTATTCTTCACAATATTACTAAAGACAATATAAATATTATTGTTATTTTCAAAATAAGGAAACTGTGGCACAAAATGTTAAGTAATTTGCCTAAAATCATAAATTAGTACTTGATAAGTTTTGATCCCAAGCTGTCTGAAATTAATTTTATAATCAAAAATTCATAAACTGTCCTGCATCTCCTAAAACTTCTAAGAGAACCATATATAAAATTTAATTTTAAATATAACTTGAAACATGTCATTTTCCTGAGTGTCTGTCTTATCTAATACATAATATCAGAATCAAATGTTGATACTACTTAATAATTTTATTTTATGTAACAAAATATAAGACTATTAGCACAGATTGTGTGCATTTCATCATGCCAATATTGTATCACTAACATACTTATTTCACTTATAATGCAATTAGACATTGTGTAAGTTTTGTTTCAAATACAATTATGCAAAAATTCTATCTAACACAAATTCATTTTAATTTTACATGTTTTGTCTCAGCTGATTTAATTTTGCGGAGGGGGCCAATAATTTACAAACAATAAAACAGAAATGCCTAACTCCAGTTAATACTCTAAATCAACATTTGAAAATACCAATATTTTATTTTAAAAATATTCTAAGATATATATCTATCTATATCTATATCTATCTATGCTACTTAGCTTGTGATAACCACTTCACAATGTATACCTACATAAGTCCTCACATTTTCAGCCTTAAATATGTACAAGTTTTATTTTTCAATTCTACCTCAATAAAGCTGAATGTACATAAATTCATTATTTATAGCTGTATATAAAATAAAATATATATGACATATATATTTTATAATATATATTATAAAAAAGCTAAAATGTATATATATTTGGGGAATCAAAAAGAAAAAACATACAAAAATGCATTTGTACAAATATATTTTACTTTAAAAATCAATGAGGAAACCACATTTTAAAAGGTGTATAATTTATGAAAATAATTTTTCTATTCTTTAATTGAGTTGACATATACCCATGCATCTTTGAAAATATAATTCTACAGGCCGGGCGCGGTGCTCACTCCTGTAATCCCAGCACTTTGGGAGGCCGAGGTGGGTGGATCACCAGGTCAGGAGATCGACACCACGGTGAAACCCCATCTCTACTAAAAATACAAAAAATTAGCTGGGCGCGGTGGCGGGTGCTTGTAGTCCCAGCTACTCCAGAGGCTGAAGCAGGAGAATGGCATGAACCTGGGAAGCGGAGCTTGCAGTGACCCGAGATCCCGCCACTGCACTCCAGCCTGGGCAACAGAGCAAGACTCCATCTCAAAAAAAAAAAAAAAAGAAGAAAACATAATTCTACATATTGTAAAACATTTTATTTTAAAAAGCAGCATGTGCTTTGCTTTTTTTTCCCCCTAGTAATTTTGCATCTGATGCGCAATACTAGATGCTCCATTTATTGGCATATCCTGTGTATGCGTCTGCATGTATAAAGGTGGCACATTTCTTCTTTATTTTAGGACTTCTGGATTAATGGGAAACCAACTAGACTTAAACTGAAGGGTCAGAGGTTTCTGGTGTCTTTCTTAACATTGCCTAGCGGGATTCTTCTCACTGCAGAAATTTCACATTCAATCACAGTATACCCTGGGGTCATTTGTCATGGTCTTGGCAGGTTAGATAAATAGTTATTAAAAATAAGGACAAGTCTGAGGTAGCTAAATTAAAAGCAAAATACCAGTTATAGTGTTACTTGTAGTGGAATGACTAGTTAAGTTCAAATAACTTACTAGTTATTTGTCAGATTATAGATTTACAAAAGCATATTTTGACTCTATGGTAATAGGCAATTTAAATCAAAAATCTATTTTTGTACAAGGTTATTCTCAGGACCTGTGAGAACCTGTTATCTTCCTATCACATATATGATTTGTTGAGCAGGATTGATTAAAAAAATGCATTAAGTCAGAATAAAAAACAAATTGGAAGGAAAATTAGAGGAGTGCATGATAAATGAAAAGTAATGAGTCAATTCAAAGTGACTTTTTATTAATTTATGAGTACAGAAGTGTTAGTTCCTTTATTTCTGACTAGAAACTTTTAGCAACAAGTAGAATCTAACTAATGATCCATTTTGCATTATTAAATATGTATTAACCACTGTGCTAAGATTATGTCATAGTTCCTACAGTCACAAAGTATAATCTAATTAAGTCATTCATTAATTGGAAAAAAAATCATTGTTTTCTTATAAAATACTATCATAGAGAAAACTGGGAGACCAACTTTTAATAAATATACAAATAAATGAATACATTTATTAATATAGTGTTACATATTTTGAAGAAAATTTAGAGATATTACTTATGGGGTCTGGTGGGATGGGCAGCATTGTATATAGTGCTTAGAGAAGGTCTTTCTGAAGAGCTAATGTTATTTATGAGATTTAAATGGTGAGAAAGAGACAGACGTTAGAAGACAAGAGATTTAGACAAAGATTATCTAGGGCAGAGGCTCTAAAGCAAGGACGAATGACAAGAATGTTTAAAGGAAAGATCAAAGAGCAATGTGGAAATGATAGTGTATAAGTTATCAGCAAAGGTGTTAAGCACTCTACAGAGCCTCACTGGCTTGTACCTAAGTAGAAGATAGGTAAAACTTTTCTACTCAAGAACACTTGAGTTGATAATTTATGACAAACAGTCAATGACAAAGCAGGGTGCAAACTATTTTGGTAAAATATCAGATAGTAAAAGTTTTAGGCTTCATTGGCCAAAAGGCAAAATTGAGGATATCATATGTCTGCTTATATATCAAACAAGAAGACACATTTCCATATTTTTGTTGACCAAAATAAAAAAATAATAATTAGACTTATGAATCTACTGATAAAAACAATTGAATTCTTTACTGGGAAACAGCATTTTGCTTAATTGAGATTCAGGGTTTATTTTACCTATCATCAAAATTGATTGCAAATGCTTATCTGTTAATACTCATCTATAATGAAATTTTACATATTTTATCTTTGAATTTTTTTTTTTTTTTTTTACATGGAGTCTGACTCTGTTGCCCAGGCTGGAGTACCGTGGCGCAATTTCAGCTCACTACAGCCTCTGCCTCCCGGGTTCCAGTAATTCTCCTGCCTCAGCTTCCAGAGCAGCTGAGATTACAGGCATGCACCACTAAGCCCAGGTAATTTTAGTGTTTTTAGTAGAGACGGGGCTACACCATGCTGGCCAGGCTGGTGTCGAACTCCTGACCTCAGGTGATCCACCTACCTTGGCCTCCCAAAGTGCTAGGATTACAGGAATGAGCCACTGTGCCCAGCCTGATACTGTTTTTAACAGAGAGATACCGCCAAATATTGATATCAGTTCATAAGCATATTATTTTAATTGAACACACAAAACATTTGGAAGGCATTCTACCAGATTCTTCCCTTGATATTTGCCTTTTAGCATATCATTATATTATTATATTGCAAGAGTTGTCACTTCCAGTTAAAGGTGAGGTAGGAGTTTCTCAATTGTATAATTACATTCACTTTGAAATATTAAACTTTCTTTTATAGCTACATCAATTTTCAAGTACCAGTCCTGAAATTGTAGTTTGAACTCAGAGAAAATACATTTTACTGCAAATTTGCATGGGAATGAAGAACTACCTTTTTGTTATAGCTTATGAAAGCACAGAGAGAATGTATAGCAGATTGGCATTTTGCTAAATGATTTATTGTTTAGTTGTTGAAATTACATTATAGTAGTCAACAATTTTCATATAAGCACTATTTTGCTTTGTAATTTTTGAATTAATTTTGATAAATACCTACAAATGTTTACACTAAAAGCTAATTTCAAAGCCTTTCAATGAAGTGATTGGGGTGATTCTTCTTTAGAAAAATTTCAATCATGTCGATCTGTCCAAATAATTAGTATAAAATGTTACCACTGCTAAATGATCTAATTATTATGCAGGTAGGTTAGGATTCTTCAATTTTCCATAAAAATATTTATAGAATTGACAATGGTTACACAGACAAGAATGAATGAAGTTCACGTGATTAGGAGATTCAGACTTTTTTTCAACTATATGCTGGTAATAGGGAATGACAAAAGATTTTATATACCTTGCATTTTCACATACTATAAATTTTTCCAATTATGTACTTTTTGATGCACATACATTTTTACCACCAATATTTGTAAACCATCTTAGCAGATTCCATTTCCGGATGTACGAAATTAGTTTTAACTTGACATATTTGAAAAAATTCAAGTGAGAATATTTTCACTTGAATTTTTTCCTTGTAGACTACAAAGAGAAATTAATTCTTCAAATACTTCAAACTGGTCATTAACCTACTGAAAAATCGATCACAGTTGAAGAGTGTTAATAATACCTCTCAACTCAACAAGTACCATGGGCCACCACCCTAAGTCATATCCTTTACTTTTATTTAAAATAATTATATAATATTCTGCTCTAAATTTCATCTTGAATGAATTCGATAGCTATTCTTGTATACTTGGCATATGTCATGCTCCTTTGTTTTTCAACATTGAAATTTCATTTATATCTCGAAAATAAGACTTACCTATGAGGTTAAGGGACTTATATATTGTTAGTTAAGAAAGTCATTTTTAGAAAAATTCCACTGGGCTCGGTGGCTCATGCCTGTAATCCCAGCACTTTGGGAGGCAGAGGCGGGTGGATTATGAGGTCAGGAGTTCAAGACTAGCATGGACAAAATGGTGAAACCCCATCTCTTCTAAAAATACAAAAATTAGCCAGGCGTGGTGGCAGGCACCTCTAATCCCAGCTACTTGAGAGGCTGAGGCAGAGAATTGTGTCAACCTGGGAGGCAGAGGTTTCAGTGAGCCAAGACTGTGCCACTGCATTCCAGCCTGGGTGACAGAGTGAGACTCCATCTCAAAAAAAAAAAAAAAAAAAAAAAAAAAAATCCACATTCTTAAAATCCAGGGCAAGTTCCTCTGCTTTAAATTTGGCCATTTGATTCTTTCATATGGGACTTTGTAGCTGGGGCAAGTGATTCAGTGGTTTAGAAATAGTTTGAATTTTATTAATGAGTATAGACATTGTATATAGGATTTTTTTTTTTTTTTTTTGATGCAGAGTCTTGCTCTTACAACCCAGGCTGGAGTGTAGTTGCGCCATCTCAGCTCACTGCAACCTCCTCCTCTCGGGTTCAAGCAATTCTCCTGCCTCAGCCTCCCAAGTAGCTTGGAGTACAGGGCGCGCCACCACTCCCAGATAATTTTTTTGTATTTTTAGTGGAGACAAGGTTTCACCACATTGGACAGGATGGTCTCCATCTCCTGACTTCATGATCTGCCCACCTCAGCCTCCCAAAGTGCTGGGATTACAGGAGTGAGCCACCGCGCCTGGCCTGTATATCAAATTTTTGAAGGAATCTCTATTCTTTTTTAGATATTTTCGAGAAACAGCCTTTGGTACTAATGTAAGTATCATGGAACCCATGTAACCAGAATATTTATTTCTCTCAGTCAGTATGACATTATCTGATCCACAAAGTATAAAGACAGGCATTACTAGTAGCCCTTCATCATCAAGTCCACTTAGAGAACCCTATCATAGTCTCTTAAAATTGACTATAATTGTTTTAAGGGAAAGAGAAAAAAGTTCTAGCAGGGCTTCTGTTTTATTCTGCAGAGTGTGTTTATTCCAAAAAGGGATGTTACTAAAGTAGGATAAGAATATAAATGTTTCCCATGGAGAGATTTTGTATAGAACATCTTCACTGCTCACTTTGGTATAGAGGAGTAAGTCACAAGGTTAGGACCTATACCAATAAATAAACAATGGCAAATAAATGCACTTGATTCATGTGACATTCACAGATAATAGCCTAAGTTGCATTTTTGTCTTCTGTAAAATAACCATAATTATTGTAAAGAAAACCATCTTCCAGCTTTAAAAAATGTGTCTCTCAGGGCCCATTGTAGCCAAGAATGCTAGGAGACATAGTTATACCAATGAAATATAAACAAAAAGCGCTGGATAAGCATTTTTAGAATACTCTTTTAAATATACCTAATTGACTGGCATGTACTATTTTTCCCAGGTCTAGAAAATAGGTGCAATATTTAAGTGGAAGAGCCTTTCTCAGACTATGAAGCAACAAACTGCAGTCAAATGGTGGTTGAATATAATTTTATGGAGAGTGTAAGGGTTTTATACTCATGGAACTGTTCTAAATATACTGGCATACTTTCACTTAAGAAAAATAAAATGTCAAATTCATTTAAACCATGTTTTATTTAGATTTAATTTTACTTACAGCTCTTTTATCATATGGACAGTAGGATAGATCTGACTTAATATGACACATAGAATAATTTGGATTTATTTTCTTCACCGTTTTTTTTTTTTTTTGAGACGGAGTCTCACTCTGTCGCCAGGCTGGAGTGCAGTGGCACTATATCGGCTCACTGCAACCTCTGACTCCCCGGTTCAAGTGATTCTCCTGCCTCAGCCTCCCAAGTTTCTGGGATTACAGGCACGCGCCACCACACCCAGTTAATTTTTCTATTTTTAGTAGAGACGGGGATTCACCATTTTGGCCAGGATGATCTCGATCTCCTGACCTTGTGATCCACCCACCTCAGCCTCACAAAGTGCTGGGATTACAGGTGTGAGCCACCACACCCAGCTTTCTTCACCCTTTTGCTTTCTGCCATGGCATTATGCATCAAGAAGGCCCTTAAAAGTTTTACCAGCCCTTTCACCTTGGATTTCCTGGTCTGTAGACTGGTGAGAAATAAATTTATGTGCTTTATAATTTACATAGTCTCAGGTATTCCGTTATAGCAGCACAAAATGAATACATGCATAGACAATGATAAATAATAACAAATGTTTTGAAAGCTGTTTATTTTTTGGAGGGGGATCAGCTACTGTACCTATGACATCACAAAAATAATTACAGATTGATTACAAAACAGTTGTGGAACATTACTTCAGAGGTCATAAACCTTAGAATTGTATGGGTAATTAAAACTAGTCTGATTTTCCAAATTAGGATATTTTAATGGCTTTTAGTATATTAATTAACTTTTGAAAAGGCTATGTTTTAATATTATATAAAAAGATTACAATTGGAAAAATGCTCAACAGGATAAAATGCTACCATGTTTTTCAAATAATCATCTGTTTCTTTCCAGGGCCATACAGCTCCATCATAGTAATCCCCAGCCCAAAATAAGTAGCCAGTGAGTCACTAAGAAAAACTGGAGTACTAAGGCTGCCTATTGGGAGATGATCAATCTATCAACAAGAACTTCTTATCTTGTTGAAAGTCATTGACATTTAATGAGATATGACATAATGATATTCCACCAAATACAGTAAAATTTGACAGATTAATCTGGGGAATTTGACATCTTAGTAATGATGATTTTTTTCATCCCATCTGTTATAATTAATTACCATATATTGTGTAATACAAATTTATATGTACTGCTTTATCTGCCTTTTACAAGTTTCAAGAAGTAATATTTACATACTGAGTTCTAAGGAATTTTATTTATATTAGTATTTTCGTATGTGCTCATTAAATTTTTATGTCCAAAGCGTCTTTTATGTTATTTTACTGTTGTTACTAATGTCTATAGTGATAAGAATATGGCTGAATAATAAGGCCTATGATACTAATTTTTTAATAAGATATGACCAGCACATGATTACTTATCCAAATATATCATGGGTTTTTGAAACAATATATATACTTTAGTTTGGAAGGGCTGTGATACGGTTTGGCTCTGTGTCCCCACCCAAATCTCATCTCGAATTGTATCCCCATGTGTTGAGGGAGGGACCACGTGGAAGGTGATTGGACCATGGGGGGAGATTTGCCCTTTGCTGTTCTCCTGATAGTGAGTGAGTTCTCAGGAGATCTGATGGTTTAGAAGTGTGGCACGTCCCCCTTCGCTCTTTCTCTTTCTCCTGCCTCTGTGGGAAGATGTGCCTTGCTTCCCCTTTGCCTTGCACCATGATTGTAGGTTTCCTGAGGCCTCCCCAGCCATGCAAAACTGTGAGTCAATTAAACCTCTTTTCTTCATAAATTACCCAATCTCAGATAGTTCTTTGTAGTATTGTGAAAACAGACTAATACAGGCTGCATTCTATGTATTCTATTCAGCTTAAACGTATTAATTTTGTTGTTTAAATTTTTATACATATATTGAACTATATATGCATTTAGTCTATCATTGACTTATAGCTATCCTTGTTCCATCATTTTTGCTTTGTATATTTTTAAGCTCTTTTATTACTGTAAATTTAAAACAAATATAATCTAATATGTACTAAAACTTTTTGAGTCTGTATTGGTCTTGATCTTGAGTTACAGGTTTTGTTTTTGTTTGTTCTCATTGTTTTACCTTGAAGTTTATTCTACTGGTAATAGCCTACGTAGAGTAAGATTCTTGTGATTAGTACTCACCTGAGATATTTCTCAGTTATTTTACTTTTGATCATCTTTAAGCATTAGAAAGTTTTTTTAAATAGCGTAAATTTGGATTTTTTTTTATTTAGTCTGATAATTTTTTTGTTTGTTTTAGAGACAGGGTCTTGCTAGATTGCCAACGTTGGGCATAACCTTCTGGGCTCAGGCAATTCTCTTACCTTAGCCTGTCTCATAGTCTTCAGCCATGAAACTGTCTTTAGGCTTGAAACTCAACTGGCAATTTTTTTTTTCTTAGAGGGAATTTTTTAAGGCATTTTACCATTAATATTTTAAAAATAGTTAATATTTTCATCTATTTCTATAATTTTATGTTTTGCTTTCTTTTACATCGATTTTCATATTGTTTATTTTTTAAATTTTGACTTATTTTAGAATGATATTTATAGGTTGCTTTTTAATTTATTTGGCCACTGCCCCAAATCTGAGAATTGGCATTTTTCAACAATTCTGAGAAACAATCATTCTGATGTGGGCTATGACTTCATTTACATAGGGTGTACACCAAGTAACCAATGGGAAACCTCTAGAGGGTTTCCTCAGAAAACTCTGTAATCAGGCTCTTGAGCACCTTCTCTCAGGCCAGCTCCTACCCTGTAGAGTGTACTTTCATTTTCAGTAAATCTCTGCTTTTGTTGCTTCATTTTTCCTAGCTTTGTTTGTGCATTTTGTCCAGTTCTTTGTTCAAAATACCAAGGATCCAGACACACTCCACCGGTAACAATTAGATTGTGTCTCTGGAAACTTAGTGGAGACTTTTAGCTTTTATTTTCAATTTCTACTCAATATTATTGTCAACATGGGCAAATACATTATCTTTTGTTTTTGTTAACAAGTGGGCACTTTTGTGCACTCAGGAGATCATTCCCTGTGGGGGTCTCATCTCTAAACTAACTTTTCACCCTTTATGGGTTCCAGGTTTGGTAGTTTATCTCTCAATCTGTGCAAAAAAAAGAAAAGAAAAGAAAAAAATATATATATATATCCACTAAGATTCAGTTCTAGGCCAAAAGTATTCAACAGATGTTCTCAGTGTTAATACCAGTCACAGTACTATCTTACTTCTCTGCATTTGTGTTTGTTTATTATTATGATGATTTATGGCCTTTATCTATTCAGCTAAGTGTTTTGGTTTCCTTGAGCCCTATGTCTCTAATATTTGTTTAGACTTTAAATATGTCGTATCTTTTTGCATATAGACATTCAAAAATATGACAAGTTCTTGTTTTGTAAGGTAGATATTTACCATGTCTTTTTATATGTTTGTTTGGAATTTTCATGATATCCTTCTCCTATGTATGCAATGCCCATATACACAAACATAGGAGGGCCAACATAATAATGCATTGTTAACATTTCAACAAATCTCCCCTAGAAATTATTTTTCCCATAATAGTTATTGAGATGAAAGCATAAAAACTAGTTTAAGATTAACCAGTTATTAAGTGGCAGAAACTGCATGCTGAACTCTGTACATAAACAAATAGTGGACTCATCCAACTACACCATAAAAAGACATGTCAAAATATTATAAAATTGTAAAGAGCTATATATTGGGAAATACTCTAAAGAAGGAGGTAATGAAATGTGAACTGGGTGTACTGAGATCTCATTTATAATTTTGAGAAAATGGCTTCGTGTTACAATGACAAAATTTTGTTAATTACCCAATATAAATGTTGTCAAATAAATGGGATACTTGCTTTAAAATTTATCAATTTATTTATAATTTACGATTATTTATAATTTATCAATTATTATTTAAATTTACAGTTTAGGAACTAGTTATACTAAAAATGAATTATAAATTGTTTCCACAATTTCAGGATTCAAAATTATGTTTTTATAGTACAACCATTATATTTGTTTTTGGAAGCCGGTAGTTTAATATACATTTTATATGTACTTCATTTATATCAAAAGGCAATCTTCTTGAAACATTCTATGGATATCAAGCTTTATATATCAAACAGTATTAATCGAAGCATATATTTGAAAAAAGGAGATAACAAATTTTTCTCTTATAAAGTAACAAATTATTTCATTTATGTATCAAAAATTTCTGTAAATAAAGTGAAATCATGCATATTAAAAAATAAAAAGGTCTCCTTAGTGTTGAATAAAATCTAAACATTAGATGTTTGATTTATAATTTTAAGGAGTTTTCTCTTCTTGTACATCTTCCATCTTTATAAAGTTGAAATACTGTTTTGACTTGAAAGTTATGGTATTATTTTGTGTTTTTTATATAATCTGATCTCAGATTCAATTTGATATAGAGTAAATTTAATGAGAAAGTTATACCTTGTTTACAGATTCTGCCACTTAATAGCTTGAAGGCACTGAAACTTAAAATTCACTATATGTTTTTATTAATGATAAAATGTCACATCTAATTTACATAATTGCATAAAGCTTTGGAATATTTAAACTTATGCAATCATACATTCTATGTGGTGGCACAAAGTGTTAAATATTATTGCATGAATCATTTTAATTATATTTATTAAAACTTTTCATCTCCCAATATTTTTTTATTGTGACACCTCAGTAAAAATATTAAAATGATAAAAATGACATTTTGATGTTATAATTCAAAATTTCCATTGTCTTGAATGTATCAGATTGACTAAAAGGAATATTAGCACATTACTGCAATATAGAATTTACTGATTTTTAAATATATCAGAAATAGCTATCTGTCATTCATCATGTTTTATTCCTGATTAAAAACTGAAAACAATGTATGAAAATATATACTTTTAATTTTTGGGTCATGTACTAATGAAAGACACACAATCATAAGAAATTTCTTTATCCAACCTGCCTGAAATAATATTCACATGGTCTTGATTTTCTCAAGAGTTTATTCACTTTTTACATAATCATGTTTAATTTTTAATAAGATAGTAGTATGTAATTAAAATTTATAAGTGCATTATCGATTCCAATTAATTTTCAGATTATTTTATATATGATTGTGTCATTTTAAAAGACATTGCTTCCAAATGTAAATAAAGTGAGCATTCCAGATATATTGTAAAGATTATATTCATAACCGGATTATCTATCTTCAAGGATAAGGAAAAAGTTTTAAACACAAAACATTAAACATAAGGTGAGGGTGTAATATTGACTTATTTGTAATTAGAAAACTAGATCAAAACGTTCTCTTAGCAAAAATAGGTGAACCATTCTGGAGCAAATTACTAATATAAATTATTTGGAGGTAAACATCAGTTTTGCACTTAACGCACACTTATTCATATTTCTTTATAATAAATGATTACTAGAAATTCATATACTATGCATAAGTAAGCATTTCCATAGGCTGCCAACCTAAATATGCATATGCAAAATATTAGGGCTGTAAACACATATTGTTTTAAAATAAGAGTTGACTTCCATAAATTTTGAGATTTTATTACAGAAGATAAAAATGCTTTATTGTTTCTGGTTTTATACAAATAACATTTATCATTTCACACCATTTATAACTGATAATCTATCTGTACTTAAAATTTTCAAGCTTCCTTGTTATTTTAAATATCGTTATTCTTCCATGAAGAAATCTATCATTGTATCATTTTAGAGATAATCTTGGTAAACTTTTTAAAAGTTTGTACTACAAAAGAATTTTCTTTAGGTTTTCACATCAACCACTATAATAGGTAATAACTGGTGCCTGAATTTTTTTCTCAAGCATTGGGAAATGAACATAGTTATTGACTCACATAAAATATTTATCCTGTATCTCATATTTTAAGTTGACTGTGTTAAACATGACAATTAATGTCAATATTTGAGTCTAATGTATTTGCAGAAAGTGTGTAAGCTATAAATATAAACACAACACTAAAAAATGACAAAGGAAGTTCCTGTTATGTCAAAATTGAAACCTAATTCACTTTCAAATCCACAATTTTTTTGCACTATATTCATTACTTTTTTAAAAAAAAACTCTTTTATTTAAAGGTGAATATTTAACTTGGTTAAGATGTACAAATATGTTTATCTAATTGAGATAAAAGTTAAACAATTCATTGTCTTAAATCTATTTTACTTTTTTTCCATGTGAGTATATATCTATTTTTGAGCCAGTGTTTCCTTAACCTTAAATGCAGTGCATATGTTCTCAGAGTAAAACACTCATGCCCAGTATTTCTCCGTATTTATTAAAAAGAATTATCTAGACAACATACAATTTACTACTAAATTGGAAAATGCATTTACTTAGGAAAATGTGCCTTACTCTTCCTGTGAAGCTTGACATATTTTCTTCTTTACCTCACCCATTTCTCTTTTCAAAAGATCTCAGAGAGGTCCTTTCGGATAATTCCATCTGAAATATCCCTGTCCCAACTCTACTTCCCTAACACACATTATCTTTTACTGTTAGAAGTTTGTTGTATATTTATTTGTTTCTAGATAGTTATTTTTGTGCTGATAAGAATGCCAGCTCTGTAAGGACTCTGTGTCATTTCTGCACCTTATATTCCTACTAAGATAATTACCTGGCACACAAAAAATCAATTAGCATATGTAGTTGTAATACATGGAGAAACCACAAAAATACTTCCTCATAAAATTCTCCTAATCCAATATCAGTAGTTTTAACTTTTCTTAGCATTTTTATTACAACTTTCTTAGAAGAAATTAATGAACTGAATTTTAGGCATGTTAAATATCAGCGTCCTGTACAACATCTGATTGTCAAGATCTATTATTGCTTGGGTGTGTACGAATAAAAAGATGCCATATGTGCTAGTAAGGAAGATTTAGGAGTTACTATTAATATAATAGTGGGGTCAATTAAATTAAAGTTGATACAATTGCCCAGTGAAGTGTAAAATATAGAAGAAAAGAGAATATAGCCAAACACTGAAGAACACTAGTATTTATGGTGCGGACAGAGGAAAGGAAATGGAAGAAGTTGGTCCAGGCTGTCCAAAAGATTTTGTGTAGGGTGGGAGGTCATTACACTTTTTTCTACCAGCAACTAAGAAACCAAACAATTCAGGTACTCTGCCTTTTTTTTTTTCTGTCTCATCTACTATCAAATCCAGAATCTCAACGGCTTCTTCTGCCAATAAAAAGTAATAACAAAGGAGAAAAACTAGTGGTGATCAGTATTATGGAAATCAAGAAGAGAGCAATTTTCAAGAAGAATAGGTTATCAAATATTGAAATCAGAAAAGTCAGAAAAGTATCTATTAATTTGTTCAATACTAATTTTTTAAAAACTTAAGGCACGGATCAATTTTCACTTACTTCAATTTTCCCCGAGGTTTGCTCTACTGAAAAGATTTTATCTGCTGTATACTTCTTTTTTGCCTATCTTCTCTGAAGGACTCTACTTAACAATGAGCTTCCCGATATGTGTCCTGCTGATCACACTAAGACATCGTGACTCTCTTGTGCTCTAATTTTTATGATAATTTCAGTCACTAAGATTTGAGAGGTTTAGATATCTTACCAAAATTTTGAGGGATGCCAAGAGGTGTTACATTAAGTACAGGCCAGAGTATCTCTATTTTTCTAATTCAGTTTGACTAAAACTTTTAAATTCGTTCCTTTTTATATTCTCAATGTAACAAAGCCTGCAAGCCTGCCATCATAAGACTTTCTCCTTTGTAGATACGAAGTTCAAATCTCCTTCTGCCCTGGGAGTTATTCTTTCTATGAAATTCCAACTGCTTCACTGTTGCATACACTGAACAGATCAACCCCTTTCCCCCACGCCCCTTTAGTTGATCCTGTTGATTAAAGAGTGTATTTTCATTTGATATCATCTAATGCTTCTTTGAGAGTATAACTTCGTTGGATTCTTGAAGGACATGATGTGGATACAACAGAAATGACTGAATCTATACCATATTATCCAGAATACAGTGGCATTTGATTAATGTTTGTTGAGTTCTTAAAAACATATTTTTCTCTTAACAGTACTGGCACAATTTCGGTATTGTGAAAAGTGGAGATCTGCTTTTTCTTTCTTCTTTTCATTAATCTCTATTTGGAGAAACACTGGTCTTGGAAATGAATTGAAAAGTAACATGACCTTAGACAAATCAATTAAGTTTCTTGACCCCAGACTTTTTTTTTCATCTGTATAATGCTATTTTTACTAAGGATTTATTAATGTCCTTCCAGCTCTGATATTTTCTTATTGATTCTAATTACATTTCAGCTTTATTCATTTTCTTTTTGATACAAATTCCTTTGATGGGAATCTCTTTAAACAAAAGTTTTGAGATTTTAAAAAATTGTAATCTTTGATAACTTCTACATTTATCATCCTCTTTAAATTTATTTTATCTTGTTTACCGCTAGCTAATCTTCAAGTCTTGAAGTCAGCTCAGATTGGAAAACATATGAAGGCCCAGTTCCTGTTTCTTTCCTATTTGCATTTGCTTTTTATAGAAATCTGGAAAAATTAACAAATTGTAAAATGGTTTGTAATAATTATTTCAAATATCTTTTCTAGGGTTTCTAATTGCTTTTCATTGGAGATGACAGTTCCAAATATATTCACCTTTGTAAATGAAGAGGATAGAATTTCAATCGGAAGAATGAGAAAATAAAAGTGCTATGATTAGAAAAACTTGAGGATTATTCTAACCAGCAAGTGAAGATCTCTTAAAAAGTTCAGAGGAATTGCAGAATTAAAAAAATATATATATGTGGCAAGAACTCAATTGGATAAATACAGGTAATAGATATCTTTGAGGTAAAATAGAACCTCAATTTAAATAGATTAATGTAAGAATTTTAAAAATGCTGATGAACTTGATACATTACAATAATCCTTTCTGGGCTGAAGGAAATAGAAATAAATAGGAGCAAGCCACAGTGGAAAAAACATACAATCTGTTTCACTGAGTGAGAGGGTTGTCCTGAAAACATCTGATGTCTGGAATGCCCTTGTCTCCAAGTATGCAAGTCCTCCAAATATCCTGAGGCTAATATAATGCCATCAAGTAAATGGACTTTGTTTATATACATGGGAACTTTTTAAGAGATCTAAACGATTAAAATTCTCGAAAGCAGTATGACTGATCAATAACTAAATCTATCCATAACTGAGAATTTGCACAACCTGTGCAACAAGCATTTCCAGGAATAAATTGCTATTCATCCATAGTGTGTAAATGACTCTTCCAAAACAATTTTAAGAGATGTCACCATTTTATCTTATTTTTTTCTTCCTGTTCCATCTTCCACTGTCTCAAACTCTCTTTACTTCGTTCCTCAGGAACAGCTTTCATCTGCTCTTATTTCCTTTAAATATGTGATAATCTCTGCTCATTGACTCTATTTTCCTAAGATACAGTTGTTCTAATTAATTTTACCTCAGCTGACATTAGGAGCATTGTAAAAATTAATAACAATCTTACACAAGAATCTTTCTTAATACTATGAAATTTAATCAGGTTTACCATTTTTATAAATGTCTTTGTTTAGAATAAAACAGGTGATGATATGGCTTTATCATCAAGGGATTCACCTCAATGCTAACCTAAAAAGAGAGGAAATTAGTTCTGATATAGGATCCAAACACAATTAAGCATTTTAACTCATGCATGTAACAATCTCTTTATCTCAATCAACTGCTACTCTTCTGTTATACAATGAATTTCCTTCTTTCAATTATTTTCTAAGGAGCATTCTATTTTTGGCATAAAATATTGATTTCCGTAAACAAAAATTCATGAAGTGTAGTACAGCATAAGCGTGAAGACTTTAGATTTATGTATGATTTCTGAGCAGGGGCTGTTAATTTTGGTTGACTTTGAGAGAACATTTGAATTGATTAGTATTAACTATTTTTAAATCAGTAGAGACTGAGTTATCATATACATATAGATGTGTATATGCATATATATGTATGTATTTTTCTTTTTTTAAATAATAGAAGTAATGGGGCAAGATAAACTTGCATAAAGAAAATAAACTCGTATAGACTAAAGAAAATAAGTTGGCGTATTTGAATTGTAGTATACAAAAGTACAACCTATTATAAATATACGTATGTATTAAGTATGATGAGTAACTACTCCTGTAATAACTATGTCTCCGAAAATCCTTCCTGGAAAATTGTTTTCTCCTAAATGTGCTGCTGCAGTTAACTTGTATTTTCCTATTGAAACACTATTGCAATATGCTATGTTGCTTGCTTGCTTGAGTACACGTTACTTGAGTAAACTTTGTGACAGCAAGGAGGGACCACACCTCTCTTTTTCTCATTCTTTTTTCTCCAACACCTTGTCTAATATATGAACTGAGTTTTGGCTTCACAAATACCCACTGAAATAAATGAGAGGCATATTTTAGGCCCTGGTCATTCCTGCAAAGTCATGCTCAACCTCAATGCCAGTAATCTGGTATGTTATTTTTGTTATCTTTTTTTCTAACAGTGGAATAAGTATTGCAGTGATTTTATATTATTATGTCCTATGTTATTGACCCTGACACTTCCATTGGATACCTTAACACCATCTATTCTATGCATCACTGCAGAGAAAGGTTGATGAAAGATTGATACCTGTCATCTTAGGAAGTCATTTGTGCACTAGTTAAAGCAATTATAGGTGGGATGATAGTCTCTGAAAAATGTCCATTTTCCTTTTGTAAAGCAATTCTGTTGTTTATGTCATGTCTCCATTGATGAGCCCACTGTCTCTCAAACTGTTCACTTGCCACTTTCTAATTTTATAATCTCCACACCTTTGGAATTTGCCAACACAACACAGCATTAGACAATTTTCTTGGACTTCATGCTTGATCTGCTTCAATCTATACTATTTGTTATAAACCTTCATGACTGACAGATCAGACCTATCATCTTGGATCCTCTGTAGTGGCATAATTTTGTCTTTGACAGATTATGACTTAAAATGGCTGAGAATACTTTGTCAACTTTAAAATATATCTGTAATATTTACAAGTATATCTTTTTGTCTTAAGTACTACAAAATACCTTTCCCTTATGAGAGTCAGTTAACTATTTTTAACTGGTTGCATTAAAAAGTGAAAACTATTTTTCATTTCTAAATATGCTATTATCTTCTAAGTAAATTAGGATAAAATACTTTCTATTGAAAATCAAAATTATAAATCTGTTATCTTCAAACTTACTATGTACTTGTGAGTTTTTTATGTTAGTGAGTGCTTGAGTATAATGGGAGATCAATATAAAACCTCGTTTAAAAAACACTTTTGCATCTAAAATCATACCTAATAGAAAGCTGAGGCAGTAGAAGTGGTGAACATTCCTGATAAAGTTCTTCTTTATGAGTTAAAAAAATTCAAGACAAATGTATTATGAATCTGATTTTTTCATATTTATACCAAAATAAAGAATGTTACATTATGAAATCATGGCTTGTTTTTACTGAGAGTGTTAAATTATGGAGAACTAGTTATTATCTCATAAGGCTTTTTGTCTGTGGTTACTGTTCAGTTATAATTGATGTCCTTAATGGCAGCGGAAACATCCATATCCACCATATCAGTCACATTCCAAGTAGCTGACTGTTGAATGCTTGGTGCATTAAGTAAGAGGCATCGGCCAAGAACGTTGAGAAAATTAAAGGGTTGTTAGAATAGAAAGAAAAAAGTTGAAAAAATATGGTTAGTGAGAAATGCTGTACAGTATCATCCTTTAAATTTGACAGAAAAGTTGATTTCACTGAGAGTAGAAGAGTGGTTACAGTGTCATTTTTAACATAAGTTGAATACGTACTTTTTAGAAGAAATGGTATATTCTCTGAATTTGTAGTTATTTTTATTTAATCAGTTTCTACAGCCTTTCACCTTTCTTATGATCCACTTTATTATGACTATCTATAAATGTTTATCATTTATTATCTTGTATATCTTCTTTTAAATTTTCTTACATGGATCTTTTGGAGTGAAGCGACCAGATGGTAGACACTTTTTATGAGTGGCTGTGACGTGGGAGTGCTGGGAAGGGAAGGTCATGGTCCCTTTAAATGATACAGAAGTGGGGAAGGGAAGAGCTGGATAAAGGAGGGCATGGTCCCTGGCTAGGGCTTCACCTGCCTTCTGCCCAAATGTTGCATTTCCTAAGACCACCCTCGGCCGCTATGCCCCATCCTGTGTCTATAAAAATCCCTGAGATCCTAGCAGGCAGACACACAAGCAGCTAGACGTAAAGAGGATGTCAAGAGGAGCACGCAGGTGGAAGATACCGGCAGGCCAGCAGGCCATCCGCCAGCAGAATGATGCAGAATTTGGCCAGAGCAGTTGGAGAAGCTCCACGGCCCCACATCAGGGAAAAACCATCTCCCTTCTGGCTCCCCCATCTGCTGAGAGAGACTGCCACTAAATAAAACCTTGTACTAATTCTCCAAGCCCAGGTGTGAGCCAATTCTTCCAGTACATCAAGGTAAGAACCTGGGGTACAGAAAGCCCTCTGTCCTTGCAACAAGGTAGAGGGTGTAATTGAGGTGGTTAACACAATCCTATAGACGGCAAAACTAAAAGAGCACCCTATAACACTTGCCCACTGGGGCTTCAGGAGCTGTAAACATTCACTCCTGGACGCTGCCCTGGGGTCGGAGCCCCACAGCCTGCCCATCTGTATCCTCCCGGAGAGGTTTGAGCAGCAGGGCACTGAAGAAGCAAGCCACTTCCCCTGTCACATGCCCTGCAAGGTGGACAAGGAAACCTTTCCCCTTTCAGGTGCTATCACATTACCTGTATAAGTAGTCATTCCACAAATATTTCTTGAGCTAAATTTAATAGATTTATTACCGAGATTAATTGGAATAAAAAAATGCTTCAAGTATAATAATTTCTTTTCATCTGTTATCTAGGACATAACCAAAATTTAGAAGTTTTATATTAAAAAGATGATTCTCACACAAACCTAGGATAAACATATTTTAAGATTATACACAACTCATTAATGAGGGAACCAAAAAGAAGGTAAAACTGGTTTAAAATACATTTTGTGGAACTGGCATATAAAGATAATGTGGGGAGAAATGTTAAAATAAGACTGCTGGATAAAATACAGCACTTGTTAACGGCCTATAAAGCAATATATTAATCTTTCATGTTTTCTTCTCTACAAAGAGAAATCTACAAGTTGGCATGTAAATTCATACAGTGAAAGTTACATACATATAATAATTGTTTTGTTGGTGTGTTTGAAAGCCAATGTTCGAGCTTTAATGTTCAAGTTTCAATGTTTAATGTTCAGCATTGAAAGTTCCTTCCACACCGTTTGTTTTTTTTTTTTTGAAGTTTTTAATGATTTGTTAAACAGAATCAATAAACTCTTAAATAGGGCCTAATAAATATGTCTGCTTTTCCCCCAACTGTTTATATGGAAGAAATCTTAACTCCATTATCCAAAAGAAAACAACTGCTATCTATCATGTTTGTGTCTATCATGTTTGTCTCTCTAGGCTGTGAATGGTAGACTTGAATCCCAAAATCTAAGGGCCAAACATAAACTGCAACCAGAATGTAAGACTTAATGAAATCATTTTCTCAAGAATTTTGCAGAAGAGTCTCCATAGAAGAATTAACAAGAAATTAGTCACTACAATATACAGACATTGGTGAATAAAGAGTAATAGATTAGACCTATATAAGGAGTCTGGAGAACAAAAACAGAAATTTCTTTACCAGAGCCTTGGGGTGCTGGGAGGGGAGAGGGACACAAGGAGAAGCGTATCAATACACAGCCATACTTGGATTGTTTTAATCTCATTCCAGTAGAATTGAATGACTGGTTTGCAAGAACATTGCTAAAGGTCAAAAGTATAGGCTGCTCCAAAGTAACCTCTGAATATCTAAAAGATGCTGTGTAAATCAAGCCTCCAACATGACTGTATTCATAAATATGCTTAAATGCATATGCACAGGCAAACACATGTCATCTCATTTGTTAATTACTTCAAGGCCTTAGGTCTTGGGTTCGCTCAACTTTAAAACTTGGTATTTTTATATATTACTGAATCCTAAAAGAAAAGCAAAAAATATGACAAAGCAAAATCAAATATTTTCTAATATAAAGTGAAAGAAGGGCATTCTTTCAAATTTGGTGTATTGTGATACTAACATGTCACATCTAGTTTAGTCAGATGTCCTGTTAGGCTTCATTGCCTGCATGCTACCATAATTAGAGGTGACAGTTTACAACATTTTATGTGTTAAAAGACATAATAGAAGTAAATTCTTTACAATATCAGGCAGGGAATTCTAAGTCAATTGGTCTGGGGTATCAAATACAAGTGAAAAAATTTCTAAGTGCACTAGAAAAATGAAAAGCTTAGCTTCAAAAGTTGTGCTAGTGGGGTACTTTAATTATGCTATCAAATTATATTTGAAAGAGGACTGATTATTTCAATGCTGAAACATACACACATAAGGGCAAAAGATCATTTTTAAACACAGCAGGCTCCTCTACATCCTGCTACAGGATCCTACTTAAAATGGCAAATGCAGATTTTATTGTGATGTTGATACTCTGTTCCTTCCCCCAAGGCTTGCTTTTCAACTTTTCTTGCTTGCAAATTTTCAGCCCCAAGGCTTGCTTTTCAACTTTTCTTGCTTGCAAATTTTCATCCTATTGCGTCAAGCAAGCATTTAGAGGATTTCACTTGGGATAACTCACTCTTACAGTCAGAATCAGTTATGTGTGCAACAATGGCCTATCTATTCTGACATTATCGGAAATGAAGAAATGTTTTTTTTTCTTTCAGCAGACGATAAGCCTTGTAAAATCTTTGTTTCAAACACCTTAAGAGTCCCTATGTATTTCCTAGCTACTTTTAGCTTAAAGTCTTGTACTGTTTGGTGACATGTTCAGCGTAAAAAGTATTTACATCCTACAGATTCAAATAAAAAATTGCTATAAATCATACGCAAAAATTAGTGGTTAGATCATCTGTTAGAATATCTGCCATTGACAAGGTTATTTCAATATCTAGATTGATTTTGTATGTTGAAAATAGAATGCTACAACCCTTTTCTCTGGAGGGCAAATTTAAAAATAAATTTAACCTATTTATAGGGCATTAATTTAAAAATCAGTTACTTGTTTTACAAATGAGATGTGTAAGAACTACAGAATGTTAGAATTTAAGTTTTTTTTTTAAAGTATTGAGTCTACTATATCATTTTATTTATGTATTTTATATTGGGATGAATATACAGTTAAACAGGGACAAGTAATTTTTCTAAAATATAAATTGAAAAGATAAAAGTGAGAATCTCCAATGGGTAGACATAATTTGAGCACACTGGTATCACAAGTTTTAATACTTAGCCTTATAATTTCTAAATAATGTATTATTAAAAGAAATAAAGAAAATTATTACTTAAAAGATAGAGTAACTTTGCTCCCCCAGGCTCACTTCCAATGTCCTTGATTTTTTTTATACTTCCTATTTTAGATAATTTCATCTTCTTATTTTCTGTTCACAATATCTTCTGCTTCTATGTTGCTAGCCATATTTCATCTATGTTAATAAATATCTAAAGATATCCAGTGACCTTTAGATTACTTCATTTTCATTGATAAGATCCTAATTCCCAGCCCCAAGTTTTTCCTTCAGACAATGTTGGGTCTCATTTTAAGAATTTGAGAGAGTAGAAGAATAAGAAAAAGACTTGGTGATCGGGACAAGGGATACGTGTTATAGTGACACAGTTGAGAGTATCAGAAAGTGTATAGAACTAAATTGGCCCCACAATAGTGGAGGGCCCTAATGTTTAACAGCAATGACCCCTACATAGTAGAATTTCAGGTGACAATTTTATTTTCAGATTAATTGATTAGTTGGCTTGCCTTTATTGGATAATTTTACTATTCTGGACTTGTATTACCTATAAAATATTGGCAAATTCATTTTTAAAAAAGACACTAAGAGATGACTGGGATTCCATATGATATTTGGAGTAGCAGAAAAATCCCCAATTAAACAATGACTACAAACTATTGGAAGCAAATCTAATGAAGTTTACTGTATCTACCTGGAATATATGGATTTGGGAAGAAAAGCTTATTCAAGCCATATAGACCTAAAATAAACAAAAATAAAGGCATTTGCAACTTTTTCTTTCAATAAGTTTTTTTCTATTAATTTTTCATGTGTCCCCAGCTTCAGCTTATTACTTGCCACTCTAGTCTTCTCTTTCTTTTTTCATTATTCAAACTTAGTCAATCACGTTTTTGTCTAATCAACTTACTATTTATTGATCTCCTAAAGAAGACATTCTTCATACATTAGAACCATGTTCTACTGTTTTTATCCTAGATTGACAGCACCTCTCACTTATTTTCATGTTCTAGGCAATGGGTAGCTTTGTTGTGCAGCTGAAATATTCTATGACGCTATGATCAAAAGGGCCATGAACAAAAGTGAATGGACTTTTAATGATGAGAATGTGGGGTTCACTAAGTGTGTTGCATTCTATATGTAAAATGTAAGTTTTGGAGTCAAGATTGGAATACAGATTTTAACACAGATTACAATCTACTATTACAAACTAAAAGTCATCTGCCATTGCTTTTAGTGGCAAAACCACAATTGCTTTTGCACCATCCTAATACTTTCCATATATGATCTTAAATAGAAAGACATAACTAGAGACTTACTCATATTTAAAATGAAGATAAATAATATTAATGATAAAGTTGTCTTATTTGATCTAATGAGATAATATGTAAAAGTTTTTAGCAGTGTTTGAAATATACTAAATTTTCAATAAACATATTCTCATTATTAGTATTTTATACTGTAGGTGTATATTTTTGGAAAGAGTATGCAATAATTGTTTAGCAGTTCTTTTCGCCAATTTTCTTTGATGGAATAATGTTTTTAAGTTTGAATCAATGAGGTTTAGGTGAACCTGATAAATCTGCAAATTCTAGAAGTTGTCCATGACCCAGTTCTGACTAGTGTATTCTAACTGGATGGTTGTAATTAATTCGTCCAGATATGAACATGTGACCCAATCTAGATGTAAAATTAAATCTTAGCTATTCCCTTAGATGAGAGAATTAAAATTCTGACCACATCATTTTATTTTCTGACTAAAACTAGCTATAATTCTAGACTTTTTAGTTATACACAATTGTGTTTGAGAGCTATCTCATATCAACTTATGAGATCCAACTATTAAATTCTTAGAAATATTTTGAGGTCATTTTTAGACACAGAAATTATTAAAAATAAACATTTTAATTTATAATTAAATTATATTAAAAATAAGGAAAATAAATTACTTAAATTCATCACTTCCTAAGTATTTCGCTATATTTTGCTGTGATTTATGCTACCGAAAATATTTACATAGATGATGTTTGTATCATGGCAACACTATATAATGGCAAGCCAATGTGCATCTCTCCAACTTCCTATTAATGGTCTCAGGTTGTAGCTTGTAATTCAGTCATGAAGAGAGTAGTTACAGCATGAAAATTAACACCACATATCAGGGTTCAATTTAATATTTTGTTGATTGTGTAGAACAAAAGTAATTAATAAAAGTAAAAATAAAGAATGAATAAAAGTATGTTAATAATGCAGATTATTTTTTAAATTATGTCTGTAACCATTACATTGTGAACCACCCTAACATACACGGACATATTATCCTTGTATTAAAAAATTATGATTCTCAGAAGAGTGCATCATTGGTGAACAAGTAAAGGTTTTAATTTTACTTTTATCTTACCACTAATGTATATAAAAGTAGTAACCAATATTCATATTGAAACTCTACTTATTTGCTAACTGCAGTCAGTTATCTATGGATTTAAGAGTTTGACAAAAATTAACAAAAACTCCCCCTGAAAAGGGAACTAATAATGTATTACTTGTGCGTTATATGCTATGCATCTTTATATTAGTAAAACATTTATTTAAAAAAGTTGCATATAAAACTTTTTTGAGAGATAATTTTTTTTTTTTTTTTTTTTTTTTCTGAGACAGAGTCTCGCTCTGTTGCCCAGGCTTGAGTGCAGTGGTGCAGTCTCGGCTCACTGCAAGCTCCGCCTCCCAGGTTCACACCATTCTCCTGCCCCAGCCTCCTGAGTAGCTGGGACTGCAGGCACCTACCACCATGTCTGGCTAATTTTTTTGTGTGTTTTTAGTAGAGACGGGGTTTCACCGTGTTAGCCAGGATGGTCTCGATCTGACCTCGTGATCCACCTGCCTCGGCCTCCCAAAATGCTGGGATTACAGGCGTGAGTCATCACGCCCGGTCAGATTCTGAAATTTTAGAGAAGCTACAAGCCTAGTCAAAAAAAGGCTATTATTGCTCAACCTCTAAGGCAAATTCTGTGATGTGAATCTCAAGTTGTTACTTACTAAAGTATGACATTTATCAGAAAGACAACTTTTCTCAATACTTTTCTAAAATATGATCAACATTAAAACAAATAAAAACCAAGACCCATCTATCTGATGTCTTCAAGAGACCCATCTCACATGTAATGGCATCCATAAGCTCTAAGCAAAGGGTTGGAGAAAGATCTACCACACACATGGAAAATATAAAAGTGCAGGAGTCACTATTTCTACATCAGAAAAAACAGACTTCAAACCAGTAACAGTAAAAAAGAGCAAAGAAAGGCATTATGTAATGATAAAGGGTTCAATTCAACAGGAAGACTAAGCTATCTTAATTATATTTGCACCCAATATTGGAGCACCCATATTCATAAAACACATACTTTTAGATCTACAAGGAGCCCTAGACAGCCCACACAGTAATTGTGGGGAACTTCAACAACTCACCAACAGTATTAAACAAATCATCAAGGCAGAAAACTAACAAAGAAATTCTGGACTTAAGCTTGACATTTGGTCAGCTGGACCTAATAGACATCTACAGAATTGTCCATTCATCAACGACAAAATACACATTTTTCTCATCTGTATATAGAACGTATTTCAAGATGGACCACATGCTCAGCCATAAAGCAAATCTCAATAAATTAAAAAAAATAGAAGTCATACCAACCACATTCTCGGAACACAGAGGAAAAAATATAAATCAATGCCAAGAAGATATCTTAAAATCACAAAATTGAAAGGAAATTAAACAACTTGCTCCTGAATAACTTTCAGGCAAACAACAAAATATAGGCAGAAGTGAAAAATATTCTTTGAAATAAGTGAAGAGAGACAAACCATATTAAAATTTCTGGGATATGGTGAAAGCAGTGTGAAGAGGAAAGTTTATAGCTAAACACCTACCTCAAAAATTTAGGAAGATTGCAAACTAATGATCTAACATCACATCTAGAGGAACTAGAAAAAGAATAACAAGCTAACTCCAAAGCTAGCAGAAGAGAAGTAGTAACTAAAATCATTGTGGAGCTGAATGAAATGGAGACCCCAAAACCCATACAAAGAATTAACAAAACCAAAAGTTTATTTTTTGAAAATATAAACAGGATTTTTAGACCACTAGCTAGATTAACAGAACAGAGGGAAGGTCTAATTATGCACAAACAGAAATGAGAAGTGACATTACAACCAATCACACAGAAATACAAAATATCCTCAGAGACTGTTATAAGCACCTCTATGCACACAAACTAGAAAATCTAGAAGAAATAAATTCCTGAGAACATGCAATCTTCCAAGATTGAATGGGAAAGAGATTGAAACACTGAACAAACCAATATTGAGTTCTGAAATTGAATCAGTGATTAAAAAAAAACCTACTAATCAAAACAACTCTGGACCAACTGGATTCACAGCCAAATTCTACCAGATGTATGCAGAAGAGTTGTTACAAATTCTACTGAAACTATTTCAAAAAATTAAGAAGACAGGACTCCCCCACAAGTCATTTTACAAAGCCAGCATCACCCTAATATCAATACCTGGTAAAGACACAACAACAAAGAAAACTACAGGCCAGTATCTCTGATTAATAGAGATGCAAAAATCTTCAACAAATTACTAGGAAACCAAATTCAATAAGCACATCAGTTAATTCACCAAGATCAAGTAGGCTTCATTACTGGGATACAAGGTTGGTTCAACACGTGGGATTTAATAAATGTGATTCACCACATAAACAGAATTTAAAACAAAAAAAAAATATGACCATCTCAAGAGATGCAGAAAAATATTTCAATAAAATCCAACATCTGTTCATGATAAACATTCTCAAGACACTAGATATTAAAGGAACATGCTCCCTAATAACAGCCATCTATGACAAACCCATGGCTGACATCATACTGAACAGGCAAAAACTGGAAGCATTCCCTTAAGAGCTGGAACAAAATATGGATGGCCACTCTCACCACTCCTATTCAACATAGTTCTGAAAGTGCTAGCCAGAGGAATCAGCAAGAGAAAAAAAAAAGGGCATCCAAACAGAAAAAGAAGTCAAACTCTCTCTCTTCACCTGATATTATTCCACACCTAAAGACAACAAAAGGCTCCTGAACTGATAAATTATTTCAGGAAAGCTTCAGGATGCAAAACCAATGTACAAAAATCAGTCACATTTGTGTACCCCAATAACGTTCAAGCTAAGATTGAAAACAAGAACATAATCTCATTTAAAATATTTACAAAAATTAAAATACCTAGAAATACATCTAACCAAGGAGGCAAAAGATCTCTAAGAAGAAAACTATCAAACACTGGTAAAAGAACTCATAGATGACACAAATGCAAAATTATTCCATGCTCATGAATTGGAAGAATCAATACTGTTAAAATGACCATACTGTCCAAAGCAATCTATAGATTCAATGCTATCCCTACGAAACTATGAATACCATTTTTCACAGAACTAGAAAAAAAACTATTCTAAAATTCATTTGGAGCCCCTAAAAGCCTGAGCAGTCAAAGCAGTTCTATGAAGAAAGAACAAAAAATAAATATCTAATATCCAAATTGTAGTTGTAGGTAAGCCATGGCATTTTGCCTATGCCCTTTCCTTTTCACTCCATAGTAGGTTTTACAATTGCAAATGTCTCACGTGTGTGCATACATATCTGTGTGTGTGTGTGCATGAGTGTGTGTCAACTAAGAAAGCCCTTTTAGTCCACATTACCTGGGAGCAATTAATAGTCATATGATACATAAAAATAAGTATAAAAAAATAAAAATTACCTTTACAGAAGCTAAAAATCAACAGAGTAAAAATCAACACTCTTAATATTCATAGAAATGTGGAGACACACCCTCTATTTCCGTAAGATGTTCAATGTTTGAGTTAAGCTTCTCGAATTCTCAATAGTTTACACAGATGTCAGTTCATAAGCAGTACACATAGAACACGGAGACCAGTATAATTCCTGAAGGGTTAATTACAAGTGGATGGATTAGGGTTTGGGTAGAGATACCACAAAGGATAGCAAAGTAACCTGTCACTTCCTAGCAGCCATTTCCTTACCACAAGCACATCTGAAGGAGAAGGTGCATTACTCAAAATCAGAAGTAAAACATCCTGTACAGTCTATGCTTTGTTTGAATCAGTCGTTAAAGATGTAGCTACTTACAGGGAAGAAGCAAGATGAATTAGTATGCTGGTCTAACTCTTCATCCTTCGCAGCTCCTGTTAAGGGTTCACCATGAGCTGAGGCCATTTAGAAGTCAGAGGACCCAGAAGACATAATGTATGTTAAAAAAGGTAATGGGAAAAAGTGGCACATGAATTTAAAGGAGCAAATAAGCTATCTTTCACAGTTCAGAAACATTAGCTTTCATAGGGATAACTTTTTCAAACACATACATGAAATAGTGTCTCTAAAATGCTTAGGACAATGTCTGGCTTGCACGAAAGAGGTTCTAAAAAATTATTAGGTTCGGCCGGGCGCAGTGGCTCCCGCCTGTAATCCCAGCACTTTGGGAGGCCGAGGCTGGCGGATCACCTGGGGTCCGGAGCTTGAGACTAGCCTGACCAACATGGAGAAACCCCGTCTCCACTAGAAATACAAAATGAGTCGGGAGTGGTGGCGCATACCTATAATCCCAGCTACTCGGGAGGCTGAGGCAGGAAAATCGCTTGAACCCAGGAGGCAGAGGTTGCAGTGAGCCAATATCGTGCCATTGCACTCCAGGCTGGGCAAGAAGAGCAAAACTCCGTCAAAAAAAAAAAAAAAAAGAAAAGAAAATTACTAGATTCATTCTTCTTCCTATATTTGCAAAATTTTCTAGCAAGAATGAGTAAATAGAAGAATCAAGGCCCCTTTTCTCTCAGAAGAAAGCATTTACTATGTTAAAGGAACACAAGCTGCATGTTGATAATACATCATTACATAAATATTTGACAATATTTGCTCCTTTATGAAGTAATTGGCATCAAGATTTAAGCTATCAAATACATTTACTATGTGCCATTTTGTATAAAACATATTTATATTGCTTTGAAATGAGCAGATATTTGCAATGATACTGTCCTTGAGTGGAGATGTTGAGTTCATATTAATTTGGTCTGATAATTGTGAGTAGCAAAATCTAATGGTTGTGGGACACAAACTCTGTTAACATTGCTAACTGAGGTATGCATTCAACTATTTTTGTATATACTTAATAGTTTTTGATGCTTCCTGGTGTACCTCTTGCTGTGGATTTCAAGCCAGCGTCAAAGATCTTGTTTGTATATACATATATTGAGGAGATATAGCAAAGTAAATAGTTTCTACAGGAATCCATGTCATTGATTTCACACCCTGATAGGCAGCAGTTGTTCCAGGATCTCTGCTAAAACTCCTCATATCTAATAGCACTGCAAATAAGAGAATGGACTTTACTCATGCCAAAGTCAAACAGAATCCTCTAAAAATTTAAGGGAATAATGGTTTTAATGCAAATATTTCTTTTTTGATTTCTAAAATATAGCTTTAGAAATTTACTTGAAAAAATCTATATGGTCTACTCTTGATACCTTGAAGAAAAATCTGTCCTGAATTCTGGTACTTTTTTTTCTCTAGACAAATGAAAAAGGATTTTAGAAGACTACTTTACCAGAACTCTTAACATCTAGCATCTTTCAGTTGTATGTGATTTGGGGAAAGAGATAAGGTATTAGATACATTTCTGCCAATGACAGTAGACAAAATTAAAATAACATGGACAAGGACAATTTCATTGCAAATATCTGTTCAGCTCAAAGCAATATAAATCTATTTTATACAAAGTTATACAGCAAATATATTCAATAGCTTCGATCTTGATGACAATTACTTCATAAAGGAAAAATATTTCAAACATTTATGCAATGATATATTGTCAACATGCAACATGCCCATGCTAAATATGTACTTCATTATTTTCATTGTCAACAATAATTCTTTAAATCTCCTCTTGTTCTAGCTGCCACTTAATTTGTCAGAATTTTCTAGAAAGGTGTTAGAGATCAAGAATGTTTTTTAAAATGCTGACAATAGAGGAAAAGGACATTATTAGGAAAGAACAGAGAGACAGTGGTAATAACCAATTTTAACATTTTTTCAGAATACAAAAGTAAAAATAAAAAAAGATAGTAGATTCATGTTATGACATGTAAAAAAAAGTATGCTTAAGAAGTGTTTCTATTTTTTGTTTTGTCTATCTACTGGCAACCTCCTTTATCCGCTGTAAAATGCTGCTAGGAAAAGATGCTGTAGAGAACTTACAGATATTTGTATAATTTTATATCTCATTTTAAAAAGTATGCCAATGACCAATAGATGTATGCTAATTAAGGTAATCTGCATGGATCAAATTGAGCACCCCAGATTTCAAAAGATATTCAAAATAATTTACCTATGTGTATCTTGATTCTGGTAAAGGCTGTCTGTAGACTTGGTGGTCAGTGAGTAATTACATCATAGTAAAAATCATGTGGCTTCAATTAAATAAAATATTATTTCCTTAGGAATATAACAGTATGCCTCAAATATGTGTGAAATATATTTCTACTCTGATATGTAAAAACCCAATTTTCTAATATATTGTGTACAAGAAGCATGACGGTTTGATGTTGCAAACCATAGTTGGGTGGTCTGTTAGATTTTATAAGAAACGTAACTGCTCTGTAGGATCATAGAGGAATGTGTGGGAATCAGATAAGAGTGATGAAGTGAATATATTGGCAACCTGGAGGTTTGAAAAAGACACCTGAGCAATTCTTGTAATTTTTTATATTTCCACACTATACAGCAAAGGCAGAACTAAGCACAGAAAAAAAATGGTAATAAGGCAAAAAGGAGAAAACACGATATCCTTTCATTGTCTAACATGATTTTTTGCATGATCCATGGAATAAAAATATAAAAAACTTTCATAAGCAATATAATCTAATTTGCTTATAAACAAAAAAAGCTGTCTTGGTCATTAATATATTTAATCTAAAATAATTTTCATTTAGGGAATTTTATAGATGCTTTGAAGTATCAAAATATATCTGTACATAATTATAGCACTGATTATACGAGTTGCAGAGGTAAATTCTGCTTGAGCAAACATAAGAAAAGAGCATATGTTTTCTTTTTTTTTTTGCTTCATAGACATTTTTTCTTTTTAGAATAAAGCTCTCTTCAACCAGAAAAATATATTTCAGTATCGTTTTTAATTTAAAAATAAGTCATGTGGTCTTTCATGATTAGTCCCTGATTTGAAAGCTTAGTCATTTGGGAAAAAATAAATATTGTTCGATCAACACAGTATTTTCTTCTTTAAACCTTTTATTCACGTCTTTGAGGCTTTAAAAATTTCGCATCTTTAATATTTTTTTAAATTAATGCCCCTTTTAACACCTAGAACTCATTGCCTAGTGAATTCCTTAATGTAGTCTCCAATGCATAATACATAGCTAAGCTTCCTTTGGACAGGTAATACCTCCTTTTTGATTGATTAAAAGGAAGTAATAAAGTATTAAGTAAAACACTAATTGAAATATAAATATTTTAGATTATTAGATAACCATCATAAAAACTATTCATACAGGAAATTGAAACCATTTCATTGCACGTATTTTACTAATTACATAATTTGTAATGCATGTTCTACCCTGTGAAGAATAAAAATACTATCTTTCCAGAGTATCAAGTATGTCATTGAGAATTTTATTGTTAAACATTAGCAAAGACAAATAACAGCTTGTGCCAATGCAAATTGCCTGGAAGTTTGTTGATACAGATGAAGATGGACAGATGGTTTTCTGTAAGCAGTATCATCATTGGTTTTCTACTTAACAGAAATGAAGGACCTCATATTTATGATGACATATTAGAAATCATGAGAATGAAGTTGCTCATTTTTCTTCTATTACTTTGCTCTATCAAGTAGAGACACTACTAGGAGAGTGCCTAGTGAGTACTTACACAGAGTGTAAAGTTATCCATTCTGTTTAGGTGATCTTGCCCATAATCATGGTCCAATATAGTATACCACTCTTGCAGTAAAGAGTGGTTAGCCATCGATTTTAAAAGTTCTAAGTCTATATCCTTATCGGAAGATGCAGACAGAAGAGGGAATTGTTTGAAGTTTATGAGTGTAGAGTAGGGAGAAGTAGCACATGCTTGCATCTTACTTAGAGTTGTCTGAGTGGTCATAAAATCAAACCACCTGTTTAGAAATAAGAAGTACTTAGTGGTAACAGAAACCAGTAAGACAGAACACATCTTCAATGACCTCAGAAGAAGATGCATAAAGAGCTATCACAAAAGGTTAAAACTAAAGGAGAGAAGAGGGATCAGTGAAACAGGAAGATGTGTACAGTGATAGTTCTGAGAAAGGTTCTTTTACCCTAAAATGGCTTTTGTTTTTATTTTTTTGAGACGGAGTCTGGCTCTGTCGCCCAGGCTGGACTGCAAGCTCTGCCTCCCGGGTTCATGCCATTCTCCTGACTCAGCCTCCCGAGTAGCTGGGACAACAGGCGCCCGCCACTATGCCAGGCTAATTTTTTGTATTTTTAGTAGGGACGGAGTTTCACCGTGTTAGCCAGGATGGTCTTGATATCCTGACCTGGTGATCCGCCCGCCTTGGCCTCCCAAACTGCTGGGATTACAGGCGTGAGCCACCGCGCCCAGCCCCTAAAATGGCTTTTAAGTGTTTTCTTGAATGAAAACACCAGATATATTCAACAGCAATACTAACACAAAAAGACTTGGCAGCTGGGTGCAGTGGCACACGCCTGTAATCCCAGCACTTTGGGAGGCTGAGGCAGATGGATTCATTGAGGTCAGGAGTTCAAGATTAGCCTGACCAACATAGTGAAACACCATCTCTACTAAAAATACAAAATTAGCTGGGCATGATGGCGGTTGCCTGTAATCCCAGCTACTCAGGGAGCTGAGGTGGCATAATTGCTTGAACCCGGGAGGCAGAGGTTACGGTTAGCCGAGATCACGCCACTGCACTCAAGTCTGGGTGACAGAGCAAGATTCCGTCTCAAAAGAACAAAACAAAACAAAACAAAAAGACTTGGCAAACAAACCATTGTCATTCTTTGGCTAACACTGTTTTAACCATTTCCAATTTAAGGTCCAAGTGTCCAGACCCCCACGTCTGTAAGAGAACATTGCTAGTCACAAACGTTCAGGAAAACAATCCTAGATTGTACTTCCTAATAACTAATTAGAAGTGTCTCTGCTGCAATTTGATTGAATCATCTCCAAGGAAAAACACTGTTGTAAAAAATATATAAATAAATATATATAATTATGTATATATGGGCATAATTTTAAATACATTTCATTACATTGATGTGCTCTCAAAAATACTAAACATGCAAACTAAACTCCTGTTGCTTAGACAATACTATAGATACATGTAGTCAATAACCTTTCTCCTGAACTGTAATCTCAATGAAATAAACTGGTCTTTAACCCAAAGAAATGTGAAGATCATCAGTATGGGATTATGTTTCCTTTATAATGGCTTTAATCAAGTGTCACTATACTGCTGAGTATAACTACAATTGCATTAAATTGCAATTTACTTAAGAATATTCAAGAGTCCTTAAATTTTCAAAATATAAATAAAACCTAACTTAATATTAAAACTGATTTTCAACAGAAAATGTTTTTACCTTGTATTAAAATTATTAGACACACTACAATTACCCAACTTAAACCTGGTTCCAGTTACATATTTTTCTGAATCCAGATGCTAGTAACATATAATATCTCTGTACATAACATCTTTACAAGATAGTTTAAAATATGACATATTTACAATCACTTAAATTTTGTTTTTGCTACCAATTGACTAGTGAAAATTCATACAATATCCTCATTTTTCAAGTAATAAGCTATTTTATAGTAGTTAGCATTGAGATTGCTCCACAATCCATTTTCCTCAGACTATATTTTCTTCCTCTGAAATCCAAATTAATCATAGATGGTAATATCTTTTGTGGAAGTAGAACTAAGGAGGAAATTTAATGGGCAATTAGTGGACAATTATCTTAGTTCTTTTTGAAAAATTAGAAGACTTAATTTTTAAAACAAATTCAAAACCTTTTTTATATTTGAATATCTTATCAACAGCTTGGATATGAAAACTTATATTTTTTTATGTTTCTACACTCTAGTTTTGAGTCACCTTTGTACCACAATCTATTATGGACAAAAAATAAAAATACTTATAGAGCACAAAATTTGAGAAAGAATGAAACATAACCCTTACCCCTTCACCCTTCCTGTAAAAGATTATAACAACAAGAATGATAACAAAAATGCATATGTAGCATAAGAACTATTTTCAAATCCTGATTCTATAGCTGATAATAAAGATATGGTATCTCTTTAAAAAGAAGATAACTGTGGCATTTTTAAAATATAGCTACGAATACTTTGAATGTCCTCACATCAAAGGGTAGACATCATGTTTCTTCCCCGTGAGACAGGCTGTGATTGCTTAAACCAACTGAGCATTAAAGTAATTCTATGTGACTTCTGAGGCAAGATTATTAAAGGCAATACATTGACCCATTAACTGAAACACTCAGGCAAACTACCTGTATGATTCCATGCTGTGAGGAAGCCCAAGTTACATGAAGAAGCAATATTCAGACACTCTGGTTAAGAGATTATTTTGAGCCCAGCCTTTAAGTCATAACAATGCAGGAGCCAAACATGTAAATGAAGAGGCTTTCAGAAGATTTCATTGTCCAACGTTTAATTCATTCCTAGACATCTAGGACTTCTCAGAGGCCCCAAATACTGTAGACCACAGAAATGTCACCCCACTTTGCATTTTCAACCCCCTGACCCCAGAATATATGATGACAAAATGGTTATTGCATCATGCCACTGAATTTGAGTAGTTTGTTTTGCAGAAATAACTAGCAGAAACAATCACAAATAGAAATGTTTTCTTTCTCCACAATTTGGAAGATCATCACAAAAAGGAAAGAAGAGAAAATGCGGCATAGCACAAAGCTGAGTCTTCCACTTGATAGCTGTACATTTTGGCAGTTGGTATTTAAATCATGAATGATATTCTGGGTATTTATGAAAAGTTAAATTAGACAGCATAATTAAAGTATCAGACACAACTGTGCTTTCGACCAAAAATGCATAGTTATTTTATCCCTCCCCTTAGTATTAAATAAATTTTAATAGGTCTTTTTATAGGTGAAACATTATTGCCAGAAAAGAATTTCAAACTATATAAACGAGAAAAAAATAATGTTTGGATTTTTTGAAATTAAAGAAAATTTCATAGTGCAAGAGGTATTGGTAATGCAGTCTATAGACACAAAAATTTCATTCATTTTTATAAATACATGACTGTCTCACAGGAAGAATACAAAGTTTGAGATACACAGGTAAATAAAAGTGTTGCATTTCCAGTCCTCATGGAATTCAGAATCTAGCAAGTAAATAAATGGGAATCACAAACAATTTTTAGCCCGATGAGTTTTTAATAAAGAGAAGACCACAATACTATGGGAATATAGAGCAGCAAAATTTGCCCTTGTCTCCTCGAAAATAAACCATTAAGCTGATTCAAGATAATAGACAGTAGCTAGTAAATATCAGATAAGTATGCCTTGAAGAAGCAGCAACAGACATAAAAGCTGTGAGAAGAATGCAAAACATCTTAGTGAAATTGAGAGACGACTAGTGTGTTTGGGTCATAGACACCAGTAAGGGCACGTGACTGGAGAGAGACGTCAGGGCTATATGAAACGGACCTTTAGTAGATTACCAAATTTCTCTTAAGGGCAATAATATATATTATTCAAAGGGGTTAAGCAAGTGATTTCAGATATTTGTTTTAAAATGTTAGCTAAAGAACACACAATCTATATGACTCTCCAGAGTAAAACTCTCACGGATTTTCATACTTTTTTTCCCCTTTTGATGCTCATGACATACCCTCATTCAAAAAAGGTTTGGGCATTATTCTTCTATAATTATACAACAGACATAAGAATACTTGATTTATGATTTGTACTGCCATGCCCTGATTTAGGAATCAGAAATATAAAGCCTTTTTATCACATACATGATTCAACTGGCAAAACTATTTAAATTTATCACTATGTTGTTTCATGATTTAAAAAAAAAAATCCTACAAAATGAGTTTACACTCAACTGTATCCCAAGTATAGCAAGAAATTTCATAGAAATATATTTAAAGAGAATTAGTTAAGTTTTGAAAAACTAGTATGTAGCTATATATAATTACTAAACAAGAAAATATATTATGATAAACCTCATTATTTTTGTCACAGTATCAAATGTCTGTATGTTTGCTTCACATTTAACTATTGACGCTTGTTTGAAAGCCTTAGTCTTTCTTGCTGTCTAATGGATGTTTGCTTAATAGGCCTTGATACTATTGTGGGCTTGAATTTATATAAATTCATATAATTTATATAATTTATAAAAATTCATATAATTTATGTAAATTCATATAATTTATATAAATTCATAAATTTCATAAAATTATATAAATTATATAAATCTTACCTCCAGAACACACAATATAATAACTACCTATCCTATACAGAGGGTCCAGATATTCTACCTACGTCTTTCTGGTCTCATTCATAGAACTTACTTCTACTACTAGTACACTCTTCTCATGAGAAAGCAAATAAGACACAAAAACAAAAAGAAGTCTACTTCCTCTTCACTCTCTTGCTTCTGCTCCCTGTCTCGTGAATTCAATTTGCTGGTTCTTTGCTCATGGAAACATTGCTTGGATCCAGAATGTGACTTTGCTTTCTGTGGTGCTGGCTCTTCTGCTAGCTTCTTTCCTTTTATCCTTTTATTAAAAATTATTCTAACATATTTTATTTGCAGCATATTTTCTACCAACATTCATCAGAATTAGGAATCTCTGATTAAAGTTAAGCACTATGTCTATGTAAGTTAAATGAAAGTTAAGTATATTCAACATATATAAATATTGGCATATAGCATAGCATCCAAGGACATAGTCTTAAAAGATAATTAAAACACTCAACTTTGATATGTGAGCTTGGTATGAAAATGAAACTCTGCACCCACACACAAACGTAACATTTACCAGAAAATTTTCAAGTTATTTTTTTCAAAGGAATGTCACCTACTGTGATCACAAAAGTTGGATGTCAGGAGTAATTAATTATCTCATACTTTTAGCCACAATGCTTAGACAGTAGGAATTAAAGTTTAAAATTGGGACATAAATCTGGAAAAAGTTGGCTCTGTGGGATCTTACGTATAACTAAGAATGCTTGTATTTTTCATCAAACTCTTCTCTTTTAAAGGTTTGCTTTATAGCCAATTAGTTTTGCTGTATTCCGAGTCATATATTTAATAATGAGAAAAAAATACGTTTTCTATATGTTGTCTTAGAAGAGATGGAAAAGCACTTCAGAATTTTGTCAGAAAAAAAGAAATACGTATCAAAGTAATTTTTCACTTTGTTACAAATTCGAGTGTCAACATCTACTCTATATATTTAAGTCTATTCAACACATGCATAAATAATGGAATTAATAATATAAAATATAAATGACTGCAAATAAGTTGACAAATTGTTGAAAGTTATTTGCTAGAACATGAAAGTTAAATAATAAAAGTTGGGGAATACCAAAATATCATGTGCTTTTTTATCTGCCTAGGGAGATTGATTACTTAATCCACTTCTTTTTAAAGCTTTATGAGCACTCAAATATATTTTAACTCTTTCTGAATGAAAAGATAATATTCATACAATGAATGTGAGGGTTTCATGTTGATCTTCCTATTGTCTTTTGTTTAACAACAAAACAACCTTTCAAACATAACAATATAAAACAAAAATTATTTGAGTATCTAGCAGACTTCTCTTGGAGAAAGAAATACACTGAGACCCAATTTGCTGTAGAGAGTGAGATTCCAAAGTATATTTCAGAAGAATTTCCTTGCATAAGAAATAAATGCAGAAGTTCCACCTCTAGAAAGGCAATGTGAAGAGTTCCATGGATCTTTTATAAAATTGTTGAAAATTATAAAACAACCATCACCTATGTCACTTGAAAAGTCATAATGGTACATAGAAAATGATGAAGTATTTATTCAAGAAAATCTACTGAAACTCACTAAGAACAGTGAGAGTTTTTTTGCATTTGATCCACAACCCATTCTTACCTCTCTTTCTCACAGCCTATCTTGATATAAACTCTACTCAAGGCAATGTAGCCAAAAACACAGGATTTTTACTAGACCCCATTGGGGGGATATAGTATCTTTCTGGGAGTAACAGTACATCAGAATTTTTCATTTCAACCCCCACCTGCTGCCACTACCTTTTCTTGAGGTTAAGCTTTTGTTGAATGTGGCCAAGAAGTAGGATGTCACTTCTTCCTACCAGCTCTAATTCATGGAATGAGGACTGTTTAGGTGCAACACACTGAGAACACTGAGCCCTGATTGCCTTCTTTCTGGTTTGTCTGTAAGGCAAAGTTCTCATTCCAGGAGTGGCAAGCTGAGATTACCAAAGGCTACTTCTCATCCCAGTGACCCAGTCTCGAAGTAGGGCTGTCACTCCGAGAGGAGAATGCTGCTCTCTTTGCTGCAATCACCAGAGCCAAAGCTCAGAAGTTTTGCCCAAAGGAAGGGGCAGAACATACAGCAGAGAGTGTAAAGCTTTTCCCAAAAGAAGAGTTTGGGGAAATTCAACCATAAGGGTACTTCGAAAAACAATGAAGTGATGGTAAAAAGCAAATAAGAGAGACTGGCACTTTATTAGAGACATATGCTTTGAAACAAAGGTCAGCTAGTTTACCAGGAATAACCCAGGAAAAAGACAGCTAAGAAGAGCCCTTCTGGTGTCAGGAAGAAGTTTCAAATGCTGAACAAATGAAAAGACCTGAAATAATAAATAAGACTGCTAATATAACAAAAGCCGTAAATACATAGTACGTTTCTTTTTATCTTTTTAAGACATAAAATTATGTCAAGTGTGTTAGTCTGTTCATGCTGATACATATATATATACCAGAGACTGAGAAATTTGTAAAGAAATTTATTTCTCATAGTTCTGCAGGCTGGAATTTAAAGATCAATTTGCTGGCAGGTTTGGTGTCTGCTGAGGTGCCTTGAATACTCCATCCTCCAGAGGGGGTGAATGCTGTATATTCATACAGTGAAAAGGATGAAAAGGCAAAGGGTCCTAATGTCCTAATTCCCTCCAGCCCTTCTGTAACACACTCATATCATCCATGAGGACAGAGCCCTAATACCCTAATCATATCCTCAAGGTTCCAGCTCTTAATGCTGTCACATTGAAATTAAGTTTCAACATGAACTTTGGAGAGGACGAAACAAACCATATCAAGTAACAGTTATAACAATAAATTATTGGGTACATAGCATATATAGATGTAATGTGTACAACCATAATAGCACAAAAAGGAGAGCCAAAGTACACAAAAGTGAACAAAAGTAAAATTTATATATACATATATGCCACTAGAATTGTTATGCACCTAAAATTGATTGTGTTAAGATGTCTACAGTAAACCCTAAAGTAACAATTAAGGGAAACATTGAAAAAATATAGATAAAATATTATTAAATTTAAATTAAATGTTTTATAAAAAATACCTAATTCAAAAGAAAGCAGTAAAGGAGGAATAGAGGAATGAAAAGACATAAGGTATACAGAAAACTGAAGTAAAATGATGGATGTAAATCTATACTAGTAACCTCAAGTGAAAATGAATTTAAATATTCAAATAAAAGATTGTCAGACTGGAGGTAAAACAAATTAAATAAACAAGATCCATCTACATGTTGTCTGCAGAAGACACACTTCAGATCCAAAGATGAAAATTCATAGAAAAAAAACGATAGAAAAGTTATACGATGCAGGCAGTAACCACAAGAAAGCTGGAATTGTTACATTAATATCAGAAAAAAATACACTTTAAAACAAAAGGGGTTACAGAGGTAAAGAGAGATATTTCATAAAAATAAAAGGGCCAATATCTCAAAAATAAATAATTACAAGCATACATATGTGTGATGAAAAGACTTCAAAATCCATTGACATAGAAACCTCCAAAAATGAACTTTAGACAATTTAACATACTTCTTGCAGCCTTTAATACTTTCACAAATGGATAAAATGACTAGGCAAAAGATCAACAAAGAAATAGAACACTTGAACAATACTATAAAATAACTAGAGTGATTAGACATTTAAAGAACACTGTAACAACAGTAGATTCTCAAGTGCACACGCAACATTATCCAGGAATACCATATCCCAGGCCATAAAATAGACCTCAATGAATTTAAACATTGGAATAATACAAAGTATATTTTCAGACAATAATTGAGTAAAATAATAAATCAGCAATAGGAAAATTTGGGAAACTCAGAATTATGTGGAAATTAAACAACATGCTATTAAATAACCAATGGGTCCAAAAAGAATAAGATAAATTAGAAAATACTTTAAAAAAAGATAAAATACTTTAAGAATGCATAATATCTCTTATGTGATGCAATAAAAGTAGTTCTCATACTCAAAAATAACATTCTCTAACCTGCCACCATAAGGCACTGAAAAAAGAAGAGCAAATTAAAACTACAGCAACCACAAGAAAGTATTAGGGATATACAAATTAGTGAAATACAAAATAGAAAAACAATTGAGAACCTCAACAAAGCCAAAAATTGTTTCTTTGAACACATCAACAGTGGCCACAATTTAGACAGACCGACCAACAAGAAAGAGAAACTATTCAAGTATTAATGAAAATTTTAAAAGGACACTAAACTTAAATAAAAAATTATTATAAAAGTACCTATGAACAATTATATCTAAAATTTAGATATTTTTTAAGAACCGGACAAATTTTAAGGAAAGGTTCAAATTAGCAAAAATGAGTCAAGGAGAAATATAAAATCTTATCAAGTAAAGAGATAAAGTTAGTAATCAAAACCACCAGCTCAGGAAACAATGACAACAGCAACAAATTCTAGCCAAGAATGCCTCTACCAAACTTTCAAAGTTGAATTAATACAATTATTTACAAACTCTTGAAAAAAAAGAAAGAGAATACACTTCCCAGTTTATTCTGTGAAGCTAGTATTACCCTAGTAACAAAACCAGACAATAGCATCAAAAAAAAAAAACAAAAAAAAAACACAGAACAATATCTTTAACAAAAATAGATGGAAAAAATCCTCAGCAAAATGCTAATGATCAAAATTCAGCAATACATAAAACATATAATATACTATAACCAGGCAGGACTTATCTCAGGAAGGCAAGAAAAATGTAAAATAAATGCATCATTACATTAACTAGAGTCAATTATATTTTCATTTTCCCTATTGATTACCTACTAAGTTGCTTCCAGTTTTACAGCATTTCGTACTGCCATTCCTAGACTCATTATCTGGACTGTTTCACAGTATCTACTTTAGAGAATATAGAGGGATAATCTTGGAAACAGAGAAACAATATTGTTCATTGATTTTAAAATCATAAATATATATATATATATATACACACACACAGTCAAAAAGTCATTTTAGCCAAAATGAATTCCATGTCAATGAAAATGAAATAACGAAATGATACCATCAATCAAAAAGAGATGAGAAAATGGAGGAAATGAATATTGGAAAATAGAGTCACTGCCTTAATTGTTGGATTTCTAGTGAAGCAGGTAAACAAATTAAATTCTCTTCTGTAGAGTTATCCTATCTAGGGCCACATGTCTTTAACCTGGCACCAACAAAGTACTAAAACCATATAACAAAACATTCTTTTATTAATTCCATATTCATCAAATGATTTTCTGGTATACATTTGGGTCCTCATGTAACTTTATCTAGAAAGAACACTTTTGTTAATTTAAAAGGAATATTTCAGTTCCTACAGCATTTCTTTACATTAACTGGTTTAAACACCAATCTCCGTTAGTTAATGTTAGTATACCCCTAACAAAAACTGGATTAATAATCAGGTATCTGGGCAGGAAATGCTGTGCATCAGGGTCTACTAGCAGTGAGTGAGTAAGGAAATGATTCTTTGTGTCTTTCTGCAGTAAGGCATTCATAGCTTCTGTTTTACAAAGCATAATTATAGCTACCAATATTTTGGAGCCATAGATCATCAGTAAAAGGCTATATTTGTGTGCAGAACATTTGATATAAAAAGTTAAGGCTTCCAGTCTTATTTTGTTATAACTTTTCTAATTATATGGTATTGTATTTTCAGATATGAGTACACACAATGAAAACAACTAAAAAAACAAAATTACCATTCACAGTTCGCCTTCTTTCCATCAAATTGGTCTCATGTCATATAAACCATAGTTAATTTTAGAGATGCAGTGTTCCTTTCTATTCATAGCATCAACACTCAAGATGGTAATTATTATGGTGAACACTTGGGTCATTACACTGGCTTATCCTTTAACAGACTGCTATGAAATTGGATCTTATCCTTAAGCTCCAATGTCTGTATGGCCCTGATAATGTTGAAAATGCAGTCCTCATTGTACCTAACCTTAGGAAATGAATAAATGGCTATTTGGAGTCCTGGCTCCCTTTGTGCTTTTATATTCCTGAGAGCGTGGTTTTATAATACTTCACAGAATAAGACTAATTGTGAAATATTTGGATGTAAGTTGATTTGGATGTCCCTGATTACACAACATCTGCATGTAAGACAATACACTATTTTCAATTATGATTTTGTCAAGTTCTCAAAATACAGGATTGACTTTTAACAGAAACTGTTTCTATGTGCTGGCATAATACCATTTGTGCTATTTTCTTATATTTATTCTATATATTAAAAAGGGATATTAATTAAAAGGGTTTTTGTGCTTACTTTAGACAATAAAGAAATTATGAAAGTTTACTCATAAATATGGTGGACAGTCATTTCATAACAAAGTATGACATTCTTTTATGTATGTCTCCCCAAGGGTAAAGATCATTCAAGCAAAACTATCTCCTGTATTGGTATTTATTCACCTAGACTGTTTTGGTTACAATTTTAATGAAAAGTCATGCTTATATTACTATATAATTTTGTATATGCATGGATATTTATCTGTTCAAAGTAGAGATGTAGTTGACATGAAGGGATGTCTGCCTAGTTCACAAAAGTATGACCATGAAAATATCATTTCTATGATACTCCCTCATTAGGGAGCTATCCCTTTCTCACTCCAGCCTTGAAACTGTAATGTCAGAGATCATAGTATCTACTTCCCTGTGCAGTACTTTTTGATCCAAGTAATAGATCCATGATCTGAGAATAGTCAAAGTGCATCTCAGATTTTTCAAGAGTTGGAGAGTGTGAAGGTTTCACTTCTGATGGTATATGTTGTAAGAATGAGTCTGTATCTGTCAGTGCCAAATTAAGTAAGATGGAATAAGAATAAAGCTGATGCTCAGAGAAAGGGGAATGAGAGTTAGAGGTAGTATTGACTATTTAAAATGCGTCTTGAGGTCAGACCCACAAATGCATTTTGTTATTTTATTTCAATACTGATAAAAGCTTCTTTTCATGGTTATAGTTAGTTCAAAATAGTTTTTTTCAATTTCAGTTGAAATAACAGGTGTAAAAAACCACAAAAGTACCCCATTTCCCCTTGCAAATGTATTGTTCTGAAGCTAGACTGATGTTGAAATACTCGAGGTCAACCTAAAATGATACTGTTTTACTGATGCCTTCACTTTTAGTATATTTTCCTTAGATTTTACAAGAGGTAAAAACATCTACTATAGATGTGTTACACCTTTTGAGGATGCTTGTAGTCTTCATATCTGGTGTGTGTGTGTGTGTGTGGCTGGGACAGTGGAACACGATGCAAAGACTGAAAATGATACAATTCCAAAAAGCTGTTTTTACAGTGTGAAGCCTAGCCTCCGAGTAAAATCCCAATACTATCACGCAAAAAATTACTAGGTTTGCACCAAGTATGAATAGGTTGGAAAACTAAAAAGGCCTATGAGGCCCTATAAGAACCACCTTATTAGTGTTTAATAAAGGTAAATGTAAAGTACAACAGAAATAAAATGCAGGAAATCATTGAAAGTCTGTCTTTCAGGAACAGAGCCTTTCTCCCTAAAGATCCTTTCTCAGTCTCACGGACACATTTTGTCTGTATATTATGAACCTTCAAGATTTGAGCTTACTATAATAATTAAAGGGAAGTGCAGAAAAGTCTTTACAGCAGGCTCCCTCATACATTGTTGGTTATATACTTCCTAAGCCAAGTTGTGTAAACTATCAAACTAAACATTCTCAACGATGTAGACCAGTTGGCACTAAACTTAAAGCAACACATTATGAATCACTAACTAGCACATGCCATTTTCATCTTGCTCACGGGTCAGTGTTATGCTTCCGATGCATCTCTAGATATAAATATCAAGCTGTTCCAAGTCCAACTGTAAGAGAGCCCTCTCTTATGTAGCCATACATTAACATATATGAGAATATAAGATGTGCTGAGGAAAAAGTATCAAAGGATTGAGAAATCTACGTAAATTTTAAAAAGAATTAACAGAAGACCAGGCTATATTTAATGTCATCAAAGACAATTCTAGTGCATTGGCATTATTTTTTCACGTGCCTTTTCTTTCTTTTCCCCTTGACTGATTCTCTTCTAACTAGTTTTAATCAATTTTATAGAATAATCTGCGTATAAGGCACACATTTTAGTCCAGTTCAGTTTTACAAATTTATAAAGCTAATCACCTACACAATCAAATATAGAATATTCCCTTCACCTACACATTTATTGCACGACCTTTGCCAATGAATTCCCCACTTCAACCCCAGAAAAGTTCAATGCATTCTGTCTTTATATAATTTCAAATTTTATTTACGTGGAAGCATACAATATTTATTATTTAGTATCTGCCTTCTTTCCTCTAGTATATGATAAAAATTCACTTTTTTTTTTTTGTACAAAGGAATGACAATCCTTCAATTGTAAAAACTAAACAACATGCCACCCAACTAATCACATGACTTAGGGTATATTTCTGAAATATAAGATACATTTTTAAAAGCAACTTTATTAAAACTCAGGGCTATTAAAGTATATATACAAATACTACACTAAAAAATAAAGTTAGGTTTCCAGGCCGGTCTCAGTGGCTCACGCCTGTAATCCCAGCACTTTTTGAGGCCGAGGCGGGCGGATCACGAGTTCACGAGATTGAGACCATCCTGGCTAACACGGTGAAACCCCGTCTCCACTAAAAATACAAAAAATTAGCCGGGCTTGGTAGCCTGCGCCTGCAGTCCCAGCTATTCGGGAGGCTGAGGCAGGAGAATGGCGTGAACCCGGGAGTCGGAGCTTACAGTGAGCTGAGACCATGCCACTGCATTCCAGCCTGGGCGACAGAGCAAGACTCCGTCTCAAAAAAAAAAAAAAAAAAAAAGCTTCTGCAAAGCAGAGGAAGCAATCAGTAGAATGAAAAAACAGGCCGGGCGCGGTGGCTCACGCCTGTACACCCAGCACTTTGGGAGGCTGAGGCGCGCCGATCATGAGGCCAGGAGATCAAGACCATCCTGGAAAACATGGTGAAACCCCGTCTCTACTAAAAATACAAAAAAAGTGTCCTGGCGTGGTGGCAGGCGCCTGTAGTCCCAGCTACTCGGGAGGCCAAGGCAGGAAAATGGCGTGAACCCAGGAGGCAGAGCTTGCAGTGAGCAGAGATCGTGCCACTGCACTCCAACCTGGGCGACAGACCGAGACTCTGCCTAAAAAAAATTAAACTGAATTAAAATTTAATAAAAATGAAACCACCCAGATAATGGAAGCAAGTATTTGCAAACCATGCATCAGGCAAGGGGTTCATACACAAAATACATAAAGAACTCAAACTACTGAAAAGCAAACATACAAATGATCTTATCAAAAAAACTACCCCAAACCTTTGTCCCCCACCATTATTTCCCTACCTTCTTTTCCAAACGGCCTTTGGCCCCCTCCCTCTCACCACCCTTTTTCTTTCACCATCTGCCCCCAAACTTCTTCATCATTTTTTGCCCACCCTCATTTCACAAAGCCGCCTCTACTCTCCTGCTCAACACCCTTTTCCCCATCCATCTACCCAAACCCTTTCCCCAGTTTCTTCCCACCCTCTTTTCCCCTTACCCCTGGCCACCCTCTTTTTCCCCGTCCCGCTCTCATCACCCTCTTTTGCTCCTTTATCTAAGCAAAAACATTTTCCCCCGTCTTTTCCCAAAACCTTCTCTCCACTCCTGCTGCTCACTACCCTCTTTCCCTGCTTCATCCAACCAAAAACTGTTTTCTTCATCGTCTTTCCCCGTTCCTCCTTGCCATTCTCTTTCGCTTCTCCATCTACCCAAAAACATTTCCCTCCGTCTTTTCACAAAGCCTTCTCCCCACGGCTATTCACCTCCCTCTTTCCCCCTCCATCTACACCCCAAAACTTTCCCCACCATCTTTTCAAAGTCTCCCCCCTTTACCACTAGTGCTTTTTTCCCCTATCCTGCTTGCCACCCTTTTTCCCCTCCCTCTACCCCAAACTATTTTTCCGTTGTTTTCCCAACCCCCATCCCTGCTACCTGTCGCCACCCTCTTTCCTCCTCATTATCCTCTTTCCCCCCTCCATCTATCAAAACACTTTTCACCCCCGTCTTTTCTTTCTTCACCGTCTTTCTTTTCTGCCACTGTCTTTTCACAAAACCTTGTCTTCCTCCTGCTGGCTACCCTCTTTTTCCTTCTCCCACTTGCTACCCTCTTTTGCTCAACCCAAAAACTTTCCCCCCTCACTGTATGTTCTCCCCACTATCTTTTCACAAAACCTTCTCTGCCTACTGCTCGCCCCGTTTTCCCCCATCACCTCCCTCTCTTTCCTCCGCCCACCTGCCACCCTCTTTTCCCCCTCCATCTACCCTTAAACTTTTTACCTACCGTCTTTCTGCAAAACCTTCCTTCCCTCCCGCTCCCCACCCTGTTTTTTACACCTCCATCTACCCAAAAACTTTTTTCCCCACCATCTTTTCGCTGCCATCTTTTTGCAATGCCTTCTCCGGCTAAGCTATCCTTTTTTCCCTTTGGCCCTAACTACCCTCTTTACTCCCCTCTATCTATCCCAAAACTGTTTTCCTTCGCCTACCCGCTCCAGCCGCGCTACTCTCTCTCCCTCACTGCCAACAACCGCAGCGAGGCGAGCTGCACTCCCGCGGCTCCAGCCTCCAGCATACGGCCACCGACTCCTGATTCCTAGTCCTCTACGTTGGGCAGCTAGCAACTCGACATGAAGATACAGGAACTTGAAAAAACGTGTTGCCGCTTCAGCATCATTTATATACTGCGGGGGAAGTGGGAGACAGGGCACTGTGGGTGGAGGTGTCAGGAATGGGAATGATCATGTTCTGATTGGATGAGAGCAAGTCTTAACACAACCAATCACAGCATGAAAATAAAGTCCAATCAGAGTAGGCCTAGAGGTTTTTTTTCTCATCCAATCAGAACATGTAGTCCAGGAACTGCGTTTGCATAACCTCATATATAAAGCATGCTGAGGTGGTGTCAGGTCGTTTCAGGCTCTTCTGTGTCGAGCGGAGGAGCAACTCTGTGTCCAGCTTAGAGGACTGGAAGAGGCCGCAACCTTCCGCCTGCTGGAGGATGGAGGATGGATGGAGCTTGGAGCCTAGGTCACTACCTCGCTGAGGTTGGTGGTAGCGATAGAGCAGTAGGAGAGCGGTCAGCAGCAGCAGGAGGACTAGAAGGAAGAGGCACTGCCACATGCTGGAGGCTGGAACCTGTGCCACCATGGCTCGCCTCGCTGTGGTTGGTGGTGACGTCGGAGACTGCAGCTCAACCACAGTGGTAGAAATGTGATGGGGTAGGTGAGATTTCTGGGCCTGCCCTGTGTGCCTCGGGGGGCAAGGGTTGGGTGTCCTATTGGGGTTCACTGCTAGAGGCTACCCTGCCTGTGGCAGTGGTCTGGTTTGGGGCACTCTCTGGGGTTGCACTGCTGGTGGTGGGGCAGGTTGCCTGGCTATCTGGGGCTATACTGCCCGTGGTGGCAGGGTGGGTGGGGGGAGGCAGATTGTGTACACTAGCTTGTATTGCTGGTGGCTGGGGAAGGATTAGGGGCGCTATCTTCTGCTGCACTGCCCGCGGCAAGGAGTGGGTTGGGTGGAGTTATCCGGGGCTACAGTGCTGGCAGTGGGGGGTGGTTTAGGGGCGTTATTGGGTGCTGCACTGTCTGTGACTGGGGGGTGCACCATTAGGAGCTGAACTGCCCGTGGCTGGGTCAGATTGTGGGCACTATTGGGTGGTATGCTCCCTGAGGTGTGTGGGGGGGGGCTTTTGCAGGGGGGTATTGGGGTTACATTGCCTGAAACTGTAGGGTGTGTTGGATGTGCTATCCGGGGGCTACACTGCTAGTGGCAGGGGGCAGATTAGGGGTGCCATGGGGGCTACACTGCCAGCGGCATTGGCAAGCTGAGGAGGTGGCAGGGGCAGCAACAACAGTGGCCTCCTTCTTCTCGTAGCTTCCAAGTAAGGGATCGTTTTCCTCTTCTCGGACTCCAGACTCTAGAAGGCGATTTTCTCCACTCGAGCTGGATTGCACGGTAGGGCCTCCACACCCACTGTGGTTTCTT